>NC_000021.9:34884616-35194570 GCF_000001405.40 Homo sapiens | reverse complement strand
TCTTTAGTTTGCCATACCGGGACTTCCATCTGGCTTGGGGCGTGTCTGTCCAGTCTCTTTTCAAAAGAGGCTAGGACACCAAGAGACATGGAAATTAAAAAATGAACTTTTTATTAGAATCTTCAGTAAAAATATTATTGATTTCCTACTGAGAAAACTATTATAATTGGGTACTATGATGAAAGTCAGATTGCAAAGGACCAAGGAAGAAATGAGAAAAAAGTAAAGTGCATATAGGAAATATATATTGCTGTTTTGAAGACCTGTAGGTAAGATGGTGATATGGTTTGACTCTGCATCCCCACCCAAATCCTATCTTGAATTCTTATCCCCAGGTATCAATTGAAGGAGCTAGCATGAGGTGATTGGATCATGGGGGCAATTTTCCCCATGCTGTTCTCACGGTAGTCAGTGAGTTCTCATGAGGTCTGATGGTTGAAAAGTGGTATGTCACCTTTCGCACACACACTCTCTCTCTCTCTGTCTCTGTCTCTCTCTCTCTCCTGCTGCCATGTAAGATGTGCCTTCCTTCCTCTTTGCCTTCCGCTATGATTGTAAGTTTCCTGAGGCCTCCCCAGCCATGCGGAACTGTGAGTCAATTAAACCTCTTTCCTTTAGAAATTACCCAATCTCAGGTATTTCTTTATAGCAGTGTGAAAATGGACTAATACAGATGGGAATATGTAGAACAAGTTGGTGGTTAGTTCACCAAAACTAACCACCTGGAAAGTTCAATGCAGGAAGGAATGTTTAAATTGGGAAAACCTGGATGTATTAGTAGTCCGAAGTGCAGGTTCTAGCTGAGATTGGAATATTGGAGAGATTGAAGATATGGGACAGAGTAGGGATGATGAATGAAAAAGACTTGAGGAGAAGGAAAGAGATGCAAAGGCATAACTTGGAGACTTCAACAAAAAAAAGAGATGCCTTATGGACTGAAATGGGAATTACAGATGTTCAGGATTTATACATATATTAAAATAGATAACACTTGCAACAAAGTTGGGGAAGACACTGTCTGTTTACTTTAATATTTTATTAAAGTGGCAAGTTTGTCTGCCAAAATTAATGAGCTTGTATGAGATAGAGTTCTTGAGAAGACTGATGGAGCTTTTTCATAGACATTGAAGGGTATTGGAAAATGAGTCCCTGAATAGGAAGTAAATAAATTTATGGGAGATATTGGGAACCTATCTGATATATCAAATAATATATTTTTTCTAACAGTATCCAACCACTTTGTTATAGGAACTAAGAATGTGGCTTGAAACATTGATCCAATTTTGTAGTTTTGTTGAGGGGGTGTTACAGAATGATGGAGGGCAAGGAAATTGAGGGTCCTCGTTATTTTAATGATGGGATCCAGGGGAGGAAAAGAGGCCAGGAGAGGCTGATTCTGAAAGAACATTAGGTACCAAGGGACCTGGTAAATCTAAAAACCACATAGTTTTAGGAGTAACAGTAAAACCCAATGAATGAAAATTTTTTATCAGAAAGTGGAACATTTGTATTTGAGAATTCAAGGATGGAAAAATTCCAGGATTTAACCTTAAGAGGAAGTACCTGAAATGGAGCAGAGATGAAGGCCACTGGAGATGTGGAAGTTAAGATGGACAAAGGAAGACATTAGAGGGGTCATCCATCTGAACTCCAAAGTCACTGGAGATTATGGTGGATCAGTGGAATTTGGGTGGAGAGAAAACTTTGTCTCAGAGGCTAGATTTTTTGATAAATGTATAGGATTGGCTTGGAAGACAGCAGACAATTGAAACAAGTGGAAAAGATGATATGTAGAGAATTAACCTCAGTGGAGCAATGATATTTAGAGGGCATAGAGGATAATGATTTGGAAGCCTGTATGGGAAGTGAAGAGAGTACTTAATCCCACCTCAGGTGCCTAAGACCTAGAAAAATGATCTGAAGGGGCTTCAGGGAGGAGGTATAATGCTCAAAGAGAAAACAAACCACTCAACCAAACTGAAGTCGTATTTTACCCCTAAAATCCTTATCATTGGCTTCATCATCAGATGTGTTAACAGTCTACAGGTATCTTGCCCTCTCCTTAGCAGGTTTAATAATTACAACAGACACTTTTTAAAAACAATGGATATATTTGTATTTAAGCCAAAGTGATCTAGGCAAGCTCACATTTATTTATATTTATAAAATAAATTATGATATTCCATTAAGTAATTTTCTGCCAATTATTTTCAAGAGAGGATTTAAAACTGCTTTTTGGTACAAACATGTATTTCATAAAATTTTTCATGAAGTTAAGAATATCTGGTTGTCATTGTTTTGAGATGAGCTGTTTAGGGTGTAGGAAACTTTACTATGGGGAAAAATGCAGATACTATAAGTAGCATAAAGTCTGCTATTGACAATAGCACATTAATAAATATTACTATCTGGTTGTCATATAAGATTAATGAGTGATTATTTAGGGTTGAATACATATTAAAACCATTGGGCCACAAGGTAGCCTATTAAAATAGTGCAGGTGTGAAACTGCAGTATAATCCAGGAGCTGATAAAATATGGAAATATTTGTCTATCATTTAAAAACTATTATTCCATATTCATAATTTTAAATTCTTAATGTTTTTTGCAGAAGTCAGCAATTTGGCAGATCCTATGTGAGAGAACTAAACAGTTTCATAAGCTATCCAGGTGTCTCTCTCAGAATTACTCCTCAAAATGTTTTTTAAAAACATTATTCTGGAAAAGCATTGATTATGTAAGAAATGTACTGACTGACAGATATTTTACTCCTGCTTACATTATGATCTTTGTTGAACATATGAAGGCTTTTAGGAACTATTTCAATTTCTCTGAAAACATAGTATCATGTAGTTGTAAGTGGTAATAAAAATAATGATAGAAGCTAAAAACAAGCATGTCTTATGTCCTTGGCATAATATCAAGTGGATTTATTTGCATTATTTTATTTAATTCTCACATCCCCCAAAAATCAAAAAACCTAAAGCAAATGCTTTTATTCTTTCCATTTTAAGGATGAAGAAATTGAAGCTCAGAGGTAAGTGAGTAGAGGGTCAATTTGATGGCTTGTTGATGTCATCAAAAATCTGTGCTGTGTCTCTTGTTCTGCACAGAATCCTCAGGTCACAAGATAGAATTAATTGTTACGGAGGTCACTTGTAGGCACAGCAACAGCTGGCCGGAGAAGGGAGACACGTCCTTCCAGGCAGGGCTTTGTAATTAGAGAAGAAAACCTTTTCCAAAGTGCTCGAGATGCCTGCCTTCAGGTCCCAGTCCACAGCCAATACTCATAGCCCAGCTGCATGGGGGCTGATACATCTACTCTCTGATATTTTGGGACGCTGGTGGAGGGGAGCTTTCTGAGCAAGGAGATGTGTGGAGGTAGAAAAGCGTTGAGTGTAGACAACCCACATGGCTTACCACCCTACTAACTCCTTCATGCTTATACAGTTTAACTAATAGAAATCAAAATTTCATGAGTACTTATGTTTCCTGAATGACAATATGTAAGGCAAATAGAGCAAACATTGTGCTCTAATTTAAATGAATTATACCCAGACAGATATATTTATTTATTTGACTCTAAATAAGCAATGCTAAAGAATTTTAATTGAGAGATTGATTAAATGAAAAAGTACCCCTAGATAGAACAAAGCCAAATATGTCTCATATTTGTCAAAACTAATTGGCATTAAGATATTTACCTGTCTGGTGAAATTGTGTTTGGACTTGGGTGTCTTTTAATCTAATTTCTATCTTCCCTTACCTTCCTGTGGGCCAGAAGTCCCATGGTTGTCTGGCAAAAGTTTAACTGGACAAAGATAACTACATCAGCAATGTTGTTGAGCTCTCCCAAATCAAATGAATTGGAAGACTCCCCAGTGATGCTTAAAACTCAGCATAGAATGTCTTTATGTGAACCAGAACTTCATTTGACCTTTGCTAGCTTGAGATCAGTAGCAGCAGCCAGGAGACAATGACTCATTTCTGAATCAACCAGGATAATTTTCACACCTGTCTTAAAAAGCTTTGCCCCAGGAGTCCAGAGTCCCAGGGAAAAGACACTCTGTCTATTTCTAAAAGCCCTTCAAAGGAAACAGGGGCCACACTTACAGCCTAAGGGGCATTCGTTCTATTGAAAGAATGGGGTTACAGCATTGTGCCAGACCCCATGGCTACCATGGTTGGCAAAAATGTATTAACATATCCAAACACCAAAATCACCTCCAAGTAGTAGACAGGGCTATGCTGAAACCAAAGTTTAAAAAGGAAATTTGGGCAGTGTGCTGTGACTCGCACCTATAATTACAGCTACTTGGGAGGCTGAGGCACGAGTTGCAACGAGCTGAGATCGTGCCACTGCACTTCAGCCTGGGTGATGGAATGAGACTCTGTCTCAAAAAAAAAAAAATTGCTCCAAGTATAATTTGAAACACTAAGTATTAATCTATCTACCTATCTACCCATCTGTCATCTATGTTTCTATGAATATAACTACGTACTATCTGTATATATCTGCACTTTCCTATAATACAGATATATCATGATGGCTGTTTTAGAAAGGGTATTGTGTTTTTGAAATATTTTATACCTAAAAATATCTTTTAAACGTTTAGGGTGTGTATGAACACACAGACAGGTTATTATTTACATCCTCGTAATGCCGATTTGTCTTCCAGAAACTGTGAACAGCAATTCATTTTAAAGTTACTTTGGTATTTGGAGATGAACAGCTTGGTTATTCTTTGTTCCCTATCAAGCATCTGTCAAACTCAAGGATGAAACAGAGTGTTTTGTGTGTTTGTGAGCAGTTCTCCTGAAGTCACATGATTTTTTTCTTTTGGTAGCCCTTTCTGTATTAGTAAATATGTAAATGTATCCCCCACATGGAGCTTTCAACTGTGAAATTAACCTATCCCCAAGGCTTCTTTGAGTAAGACCAGGTGGTTCATACTATTTCCCTTCTAACTACAGCAAGAATCCCCTAGGGAAGAAGAGAGGAAGTGAGATTTTTGACATTTGTGCCGTGAAAAAGTGTCAATAGGTAATCTGAAAATGTCCAGAGGCATTCTACCAAAAGCCAGTGAAAATGATCTAATAAGTACTAACTTTTTAACTGTTAATTTGTGTAATACAACACTCATCTCTCTTTCTTGCTTAAAACAGAAAGCTCCCCCGCTCCCTTCTCGCATTTAAACTACAGTTATCAAAGGTTTAACGATTTCACCATTGGACATAGTTCAAACAGTACAGGCAGGAAAGAATGTTCAGCTGTCAGGGAACCAGCGCAGCCAGGGTGCTCCAGACAAATCGCTGTACATCATCAGCTGGTTTTAATTAAGAGCAGACTCTGTGCTGATTTTTCTCCCCCCCCCCACCCTTTCTTTGGTGAGTTTACACAAAGTGATTTGTAGTGTTCTGTCTTATATGGTATCTACTCCATTGGAAACAGAGGATGTTCGTGAAAATAACTCGGGCCAAAGTTTAAAGCAGATTGGACTATCTAAAGGATAACTTGAGATTTTTTTTTGTTTGTGTGTGTGTGTGTGTGTGTGTGTGTGTTTTATAGTTCACATCTTCTTTTTTTTTTTAACAGTTTACAGTTTTAAAAATATTTCTTTTTTTCTCTTTTTTTTTCTTTTTTTATTATACTTTAAGTTCTAGGGTACATGTGCACAACGTGCAGGTTTGTTACGTATGTATACACGTGCCATGTTGGTGTGCTGCACCCATTAACTCATCATTTACATTAGGTATATCTCCTAATGCTAGGATAGCTTGAGATTTTTATCTCGGCCCTCGAAGAAGAATGAGTTAAGTTTATTCATTTTCCCTTCTAAAGGGCTGAGTCTTTTGCAAAGTAGGGTTACATGGTTATTATTATGCTAGATTGTTATTAATGCTGATCTAATATTAAGGACATTTTATCTTGTAGTCAATGAAAAAATACTTTATGCTGCAAAGAGCTACAGTCAATAGATATCTTTAGAGCTTTATTTAATCAAAGTTTCGTTAGTGAGTAAAGACATTTTTCAGCAAGTAAAGACTTCCCTCAATGAGTAAATCCTTTTGTAGTCATCAAACAAAAAAAATATAATTACTGGAAGACACCTTAGAGATATGCAGTCTGACCCTTTGATTATGCAGATGAGAAGATATTGCTCTCCTGAAGAATGAATGAATGAAACTAAATACCCGGGCTTAGAGTTTTCCCTGAGGCCATGGGCCTTGGTACTCAGAGTGTGGCAGGCTGCATGCATATGACTGACTCCTTGGAAAAGGGGGTCTCAAAATGATTTAAAAACATTTAACATACTAACACAAAAGATTATGTTAAATACTAACACTTCTCTTTTACATGAAAACTGACAAACGCAACACTCCATTTGACTAATTGGCCATAGTGACCAATTAGCTGATTGGTAAAAGCAGAATTAGAACCCAGTATCCCCTAGTTGCCTTGAATAACATCAATCTTTTAATTTAATGTACTTCATTCAGAAATTAAATATTGTTCTTCACACAGTGGTTATTTTCCTCCATAGGCCTAGCCATTTTCTGGCCATGGAAGCACAGTGCAGCATAGTGGCCATGGTCGTGGACTCAAGCCGATCTACCGGGGTCCCAGTCTTCCACCTATCATTTACTCACTGGGGAAACTCAAATGAGTCCTCTAGCTTTCTCTGCCTTGGCTTTCCCATCTGAAAAGTGGGGGTAAAACTGTTACCTCCTTTCTGAAGTGGTTGTATTAACTATTAATATGTGTAAAGCTTAGCACTGTGCCTGGTACACAGTTCTATAGACACGCTGGCTTAGTAATGTGGATCTTCACCCTTCCTGATCCGACTTCCAACAACACGACGTCAAAAACTCAAGGCATCCTCTGTGGGCCTTTATTACTCTGTAAATTATCTTGGATCCAACACTCTTTGCTGTGGTTTTGATGTCTTTTGAGAAAGAGGAGGCTTGTAAATAGTCTTTCAATTTCAGTAAAACTCACTGGCATTTTTAATTGAAATCGTCAAGAGCAATGACATGCATACTACAAAGTGTCACTTGATGCCACCTTCAGGAGTACAACAGGGGCTGAATAGGTCACTGCCTTGCTGCAAGGAGACATTTGAGATGTCCTCATGTGACTCTGACTCCACATTGAGGTTACTCAAGATCACCAATTTATGAAGTTATAGAGAGACGAACCCAAACTCACCTTCTAGTTTTAGTAAATCACCACTGTGTCAGAATAGTTGTAAATGGCATATTCTGATTAATCACATAATTGGCAGAGAGGTTACACATATGTCATACCCAGTGCATCAAGCTTTGATGAATTACCAAAGGTTGGCAAATGGTGACTTGGGGAACAAATCTGGCCCATATCTTTTTTTTTATATGGTATCATGGGATAAGCATAGTTTTTCCTTTATTAAAGCATTGTAGGGCCTGGCGCAGCGGCTCACGCCTGTAATTCCAGCACTTTGGGAGGCTGAGGCAGGCAGATTAACTGAGGTCAGGAGTTTGAGACCAGCCTGGCCAACATGGTGAAACCCTGTCTCTTCTCAAATATAAAAATTAGCTGGGAGTGGTAGTGGTGCCTGTAATCCCAGCTACTCAAGAGGCTAAGGCAGGAGAATCACTTGAACCTGGGAAGTGGAGGTTGCAGTGAGTTGAGGGCACGCCAGTGCACTCCAGCCTGGGCAACAGAGTAAGACTCCATCTCAAAAAGAAAAAAAGCATTGTAAAAATAACAAAGAATATGCAACAGAGCTGCTTTTAGCCACAAAATTTAAAAGATTCACTATTTGGTCCTTTATAGAAAAAATGTGTTGATCCCTGAGTTAGGGTTTAACAAAATGAATCTAACATAAAGGCCACGTGGAGCATAATGTTTGTGATTCCAAAGGCACTTCTGACTCTTACAATATCCCAGGTTCAAGATTACAAACATCAGTTAGGATTGGACTACACAATGGTTAAAAGTAGGAATTTCTGAAATCAGACTGCCTTGGATGAAATCTAGACTCTACCACTTATTAAGTGTGTGATCTTTATCAAGTTACTTAATCTTCCTAAGCCTTGGTTCCCTCACCTGTAAAAAATGAGCATTATAAAAGCCACCTCATCCGGCTGATGTGAGGATCAAAGGAGATAATGCATACAAAGCACTTTGCACATGGGAAGTGTTCATTAAATGTTAGTTGTTGTCATACTTCCCAGAAAATTAGTCTGATTTCTTTGAACTTCCTGGTTATTTACAGGTTGTGTGATTCCAAGTAGACAACACTGTCATCCTGGCCAGAATGACCTATCCAGTTTCCTGACTCTAAGTGGGATATCTAATTGATGATATGTGCATTACAATGCATCAGATTTAGAAGTTCTATATGTGGCTTTCACCGGTAGCTGGAGCATGAAAAGACTGAGGGAGGAGGTTAATTCCTGGTGTATTCTACACTCGCATTTACATGGCCCTGCCATTCACCCATTCTGGTGCTGGTAGCCACATGTGAAGTGTGCACAATTCTGCACCTTCTAGCATCCTTAGAGCCTTTGGTGGCTTCAAAATGGCTGTCTTGCCCCTAAGCATTGGCCTGCAGTCACAAAGGCAGGATGGGTCTAAGTTCACATTGACGGCAACTCCTGGCTAACACTCTCAGCAAAAGGTTGCTCCTTTAATTCAGATGCCGGCATGGAGGAGGTAATGTACAACACATGAGATGAGTGGAAAACGAAACTTCATTTTTATAAGCCTCTCAGATTTGGGGGTATTTATAATATATTACTATAACATAACCCTGCAAAGTCTGATTCTTGCAATAACCAACAGGAAAGATCTACTCCTGTGGGACTTTCTAGTAAATCCAGGTTACTCAGATAAGGAGCATCACCCGTCCCCATTTCTAAATACAAAATTTAGAGAAGGGAGATCTTTGAGATTTGTGATTTAAAGGCACGAAGTCAATTAAGAAAAGGTAAATAACAGGCTGTAAATCATACTGGGAAGTGTTTCATCCATGTCCGAATGTTCTTACCTGCTTATATCTGTGTTTTTATGAGTCGAAAAAGTATGAATTTTCCTTTAGGCTTACATGACAAGTATTTCCTTTTAACACTTTGATTAAAA
Organism: Homo sapiens; assembly: GCF_000001405.40. Taxonomy (NCBI): domain Eukaryota; kingdom Metazoa; phylum Chordata; class Mammalia; order Primates; family Hominidae; genus Homo; species Homo sapiens. Next base: position 35,185,446 of record NC_000021.9, on the reverse strand, counting down.
AATATATAGAAATTTTTGGCAGTAAGTAATAGCCTACCAACAAAACAAAGCCCAGGACCAGACAGATTCACAGCCGAATTCTACCAGAGGTACAAAGAGGAGCTGGTACCATTCCTTCTGAAACTATTCCAAACAATAGAAAAAGAGGGACTCCTCCCTAACTCATTTTATGAGGCCAGGATCATCCTGATTCCAAAACCCGGCAGAGACACAACAACAAAAAATTTCAGGCCAATATCCCTGATGAACATCGATGCAAAAATCCTCAATAAAATACTGGCAAACCGAATCCAGCAGCACGTCAAAAAGCTTATCCACCATGATCAAGTTGGCTTCATCCCTGGGATGCAATGCGGGTTCAACATACACAAATCAATAAACGTAATCCATCATATAAACAGAACCAATGACAAAAAACACATGATTATCTCAGTAGATGCAGAAAAGGCCTTTGATAAAATTCAACACCCCTTCATGCCAGAAACTCTCAACAAACTAGGTACTGATGGAAAGTATCTCAAAATAACAAGAGCTATGTATGACAGACCCACAGCCAATATCATACCGAATGGGCAAAAGCTGGAAGCATTCCCCTAGAAACTGGCACAAGATAAGGATGCCCTCTCTCACCACTCCTATTCAACATAGTATTGGAATTTCTGGCCAGGGCAATCAGGTAAGAGAAGGAAATAGAGGGTATTCAAATAGGAAGAGAGGAAGGCAAATTGTCTCTGCAGATGACGTGATTGTATATTTAGAAAACCCCATAGTCTCAGCCCCAAATCTCTTTAAGCTGATAAGCAACTTCAGCAATATCTCAATGTGCAAAAATCACAAGCATTCCTATACACCAATAATAGACAAACAGAGAGCCAAATCATGAGTGAACTCACATTCACAATTGCTACAAAACGAATAAAATACATAGGAATACAACTTACAAGGGGTGTGACGGACCTCTTCAAGGGGAACCACAAACCACTGCTCAAGGACATAAGAGAGGACACAAACAAATGAAAAAACATTCCATGCTCATGGATAGGAAGAATGAATATCGTGAAAATGGCCATACTGCCCAAAGTAATTTATAGATTTAATGCTATCCTCATCAAGCTACCATTGAATTTCTTCACAGATTTAGAAAAAAACTACTTTAAATTTCATATGGAACCAAAAAAGAGCCCATATAGCCAAGACGATCCTAAGCAAAAAGAACAAAGCTGGAGGCATCATGCTACCTGACTTCAAACTACACTACAAGGCTACAGTAACCAAAAGAGCATGGTACTGGTACCAAAACAGATATAGAGACCAATGGAACAGAGCAGAGACCTCAGAAATAACCCCACACATCTACAAACATCTGATCTTTGACTAACCTGACAAAAACAAGCAATGGGAAAAGGATTCCCTATTTAATAAATGATGCTGGGAAAACTGGCTAGCCATATGCAAAAAATTGAAACTGGTCTCCTTCCTTACACCTTATACAAAAATTAACTCAAGATGGATTAAAGGCTTAAATGTAAGACCTAAAACCATAAAAACCCTAGAAGAAAACCTAGGCAATGTCATTCAGGACATAGGCATGGGCAAAAGCTTCATGACTAAAACTCCATTAACAATGGCAACAAAAGCCAAAATTGACAAATGGGATCTAATTAAACGAAAGAGCTTCTGCCCAGCAAAAGAAACTATCATCAGAGTGAACAGGCAACCTACAGAATGGGAGAAAATTTTTGCAATCCACTCATCTGACAAAGGGCTAATATCCAGAAACTACAGGGAACTTAAACAAATTTACAAGAAAAAAACAACCCCATCAGAAAGCGGGAGAAGGGTATGAACAGACAGTTCTCAAAAGAAGAAATTTATGTGGCCAGAAAACATATAAAAAAAAGCTCATCATCACTGGGCATTAGAGAAATGCAAATCAAAACCACAATGAGATACCATCTCACACCAATTAGAATGGCAATCATTAAAAAGTCAGGAAACAACAGATGCTGGAGAGGATGTAGAGAAATAGGAACACTTTAACACTTGTTGGTGGGAGTGTAAATTAGTTCAACCCTTGTGGAAGACAGTGTGGCTATTCCTCAAGGATCTAAACCAGAAATACCATTTGACCCAGCAGTCCCATTACTGGGTATATACCCAAAGGATTATAAATCATTCTGCTATAAAGACACATGCACATGTATGTTTATGGCAGCACTGTTCACAATAGCAAAGACTTGCAACCAACGCAAATGCCCATCAATGATAGACTGGGAAAAAAAATGTGGCGCATATACACCATAGAATACTATGCAGCCATAAAAAAAAGATGAGTTCATGTCCTTTGCAGGGACATGGATAAAGCTGGAAACCATCATTCTCAGCAAACTAACACAAGAACAGAAAACAAAACACCGCATGTTCTCACTCACAAGTGGGAATTGAACAATGAGAACACGTGGACACAGGGAGGGGAGCGTCATACACTGGGGCCTGTCGAGGACTGGGGGGCTAGGGGAGGGATAGCATTAGGAGAAATACCTAAAGTAGATGACAGGTTGATGAGTGCAGCAAACAACCATGGCACATGTATACCAATGTAACAAACCTGCATGTTCTGCACACGTATCCCAGAACTTAAAGTATAATAATAATAATAATAATCTGAAAAAAAAAAGGAACGAAATTTTCCACAGATCTGAAAGGCTGACAAGCAAGATGAAATTTCCAGCAAATATTGGAGGTAGGTCCCCCAGATGGAACACAGAGGTGGGGTGAAGAAAGCAGACTTTTTTTTACAAGGTTTGGTAGACAAATAAAGTTTCTCCATCTCTCAAAACAGTCTTTGGCCAATGACAAAAATGTCCCCGTACTATTGAAAAAAAAATGTAGCCTGTGACTTACAGAAATATTGCAGTAAACTATTTGAGCCTCTTTCAGCCTCAAGCACAACGTCAAAGGGCTTTTATATGTTGGGAAAGATAAACCAACTTTTCCTTCTTTTTGCTTTATCAAAGAAAACATCAGTATATTCTATAATATTTCTACCATGTAACTTTAGTTAATATGCAAAAATCTTAGTGGAAAACTGCTTTTAAATTATTTCTAATTAACAAAAACTGTCATCTTTGATACTTGAGAAATCTAGGCTCAGATAATGAATGCGGGCTTTCTTAAGAATTTGATTGATTTTTTTCTTAGTAAGATTTTCCACTGGCAGTATTTTTCTCCATTTAGTCCTAAGAAGATGTTAAGGAGGAATTTTGTTGTACATTACATGTTGTTTTGTATATACTGTGAGTGCAATAAAATACTTGTTTTCCATTTCTTTAAGGAGTTATTTCTGTTTGCAGCACTGCCTTCTACTGCCATTAAAAGATTTCATCTTTGTTCATGGAATAAGTTACTAAAATAATCTAAATTTGTCCTGTTTGAGGAACAACTCTTCAGACTCAACTGGAGTAGAAAGCAGTGGGAAACACTATTCTTGAGGGTTCTGTGCAATTTTCACTAGAATTCGAGCCTGATTGCCTGGTCTCCCTATACGTCATCAAATGTATGAGTTAGTTCCGCTCTTGTTTTTCTTGAAATGCTCTTCTTTGACCTAGCAATGAAATATATCCATAACCATCATCTCTTCTATTTTATCCTTTCATCAGAATTACAGATATGAGATGCAGTTAATAATGATGAAAATTTAAAATTTTTTTTAATGATCAGTGCTGGTGTCGTGCAAATGGTGGCTTAATTAGAAACAGCATTTAATCCTGAAGCCCTTGGGGTCCTTAGTGTTCCATCTGTCCCATGGTGATTACTGTCCACTCACATTTTTTTCCAACTCCACCTCCGCCAGGAATGTATTTATCCTCCTTAAATATATCTCCTAGTGGGATTATTCTCAAGAAATACCTAAGCACTGTGGCCAGTTCTGTGATTCTCCCACTTCATCGACCTCTTCCATTGTCTTCTCAGGACCCAACAATGGCGACTTTCCATCTCAACAGGAATTGTGGTATTTTTCTCCTTTTCAACTGTAAGCCAGCCCAACAGGCTAGGCCAGCAGATGAAACCTTTTTTTATTCACCTTCCCTTTTTTGTTTTGGGTCTCCTGTAGCCTCCACCGGGAACTTTACATCTTATTTAATATTTCTCACAATGACTCTAAAAATAAGCGCTATAATTATTGTTATTTTGAACAGATGAGGAAACTGAGGCTCAGAGAGGTTTAGCGTTTGTCCAAAGGTCATACACCCAGGCTACAGAAAAACTGTATTATTCCAAAGCCTTCACAATACATTGCATCTTTCTCCAGCTCCTTCCGGGTTAATAATTTTCTTTAGTGTTTTTCTTTACATTATTTTGATCCATGTCAAATCTTCTTTCTGTTTGAATGAATCACATCCCTTCCCTCTCTTCCAAAGCATCTCTGATAAATCTTGCCCCCATCCATGCATTCATTCTTTCACGAACCAGTGTTTCCTAATCATCTCCTTTGCACAAGGTACTCACTGCATAGCCTTCTATTATGTAAGTCAGACATTGACATAAAAATAGAGTCATCTTGTTGACACTCACTCCAAAAAGACAGTCAAGATATGAACCTTGGGGTAATGTTGGTCAAAGTATGTGGACTTTCAGTTATAGGATGAATAAGTTGTGGATGATCTAATGTACAGCTTGGTGACCATTGTTAATAATAATTTATTGAATACTCAAAATTTGCTGAGAGAGTAGATCTTAAGTGTTCTCACTATACACACACGCAAAGGTAATTAAAGGTGATATGTTAATTAGCTTGATTATGATAATCATTTCACAATGTTATGTAGATTAAAACATCACACTGTATACCTTAAATACCTACTTTTTTGGCCAAGTATACATCAATAAAGCTGGAAGAAAAATAATACAATATTAAATTATAGAAAAAGATGTGGATCTTTCAAACTGTACATTTTACACAAAAGATAAGAGCTAAAGGGCTCCGATTTTAACCATGTTATTAAGCAGCTGCAAGTATGAGTCTGTGATTTTCTTCAACCATATGGCAGGATTCCCAGCAGTTGCCCATAGCCCATAAATGAGTCACATCTCTTGACTTCAGTGAAGTTAGTGGTTTAGAGGTGGGGGAACAGCAGGTGGATATGCTAGGGGTAAGGACTGAATCAGTCTTCAGCCCTAAAATGTTTTTTTAGAAATGTCCTCTTCAGCATCATGCACTTCTTATAATCTTGCAACCTTCATGTTTTTTCCTATGTAAATACCTGTTGATCTCCCTAGGGACCAGTTTTTATGACCAGGTTTAGTTTGAGGGTAATTGGATTACTTGTGTCATGGACTGCATTTCTAAAAGAAGTATTTTGATAATTTTTCAGATTAATGGCATTTATGTTGAAATATTTTCAACTCTATGAGAAGCCCTAGGGTTTCTCTTATCAGTTTCTTTTAGTTTTTTTTCCAACATTTTTAAATGAAAAATTTCAAACATAAAAATAAAAAGAATTGTACAGAAAATACCCACACCCACCACCTAGAATCTGCAATAATTAGTTTGTTAGATGTGCTTTATTATTATCTAACTGTTCTCTATCCATCTGTCTATCCATCCATCAGCCCATGTTATTTGTGTTGTATTTTGAAGCAAGTTGCAGGCATGAGTACACGTCATCTGTAAACACTTCTATGTGCATATCATTAGCAATAGTTCAATGTTTCTTTGTGTATATTTTTAGGAAAAAAAACTGCCTGAAGTGAAATGCAAAAGTTTTTACAGGTATCATTCTAAACTTTTGACAAATGCATGCATATGTACAATTCAATCTTTGGCAGGATATAGAACAAGCCCATAACTCCAGGTAGTTCTCTCATGCTCCTTCTCAGTCAATTCCCACCCACTTGAAGGTAACATTTATTCCTTTTATTTTTAATTATTCACGAAATGCTGTTTTCCAAATGAAGATTAATTCAGGGTTTACATATATTCTGCTGTTGGAATTTGGAGACAAATCATCTATTACTACCTCGAGTATAGAATCTCAAATAGGAGCCTCACACTTGCCCCTTGTCACACTTGACTCCGTTTGTCCCTTCTCTGAGTGTTTCCTCCACCATGGGCCAATGGTTGATTTGTCTTTTTGTGATGTCCAAAGCTGCTTGAACAAATTTCAGGGAAGTTAAGGCCAACACTCTGTGCTTCCCCTGTTTGGCCTTCACAGCTTCCGTTTTTCAATTGGTGTTCCCCCATTTGGCTTTGGACATGGTCTCATTCTTGGGCACTGCAGTGTACTGGGTGCAGAGACCACTTGTAACAGGCAGACACTGGAGATTTTTCTGCACTCACTCACTGGGGCTTCTTGGCATCATCTGGCATTGCCCATTTGACACGGGGTACTGTAGAGTGATAGGAGCACCTGCTGAAGCTATACTGCACAATGCTCAATTCAGGTCCAAATGTTACTCATATGACACATGCTTCTGACTAAGCTGATTTTCTGTATGTGTCACAGGATGTCATGCAATGGAGTGACCTTTTCCAACATGAGCTGGTACATTCCATTGTAATCAGAGGGTTTTTGTTGGATTTTCTACTTCAGGAATCTGCCAAAGAAAAGTTGTAAGGGTTAAAAAATAAATACATAAAAATAAAAATAAAAAACTATCTGTTGTAGAGTGAGTGCTCCTAGCTCAGTGGAGAAGAAAGATGACTGAGAAGCTGCAAACTTGGGCCCAAGGTATGTATTTGCCATTGAAATGTTCCTGGGCAAAAGCATGAGAAATGGGGTAGGGCATTAATAACCTATGACTTGCTTCAAAACAAGCCTCAAGAGTTTCATCAGCAGATATAGAGGAACTCTTTGAAAAAAGTAAGGAACACAACACAAAGCAAGGTAATCTCAGGCTCCTGTAGAGGCACATTTTCCACAATGGTGGCTCACACACAAAATAATCTCATCCTGTAGTTCCCACCTATAGACTGACAGGTCTCTAGGTTCTTGTTGGATATTCTTGTTGCATAGGTTCTAGGTTATTGTTGGCTATTCCAGGGTATAGGCCAATAATGGTAAAAAACGTTTACTAATATTTCTTGGTTCTTATCATAGTTGTGTGACTCCTAGTAGAAAGCATGTGCAGCCAACATATTGTGGAAATTGGGGAGAATTTAACTAAAGTAAATATTTACAGATATGTAAGCTTGGGAAACTACTAATAAGGAATTATGAAGCAGCCAGCCCAGGAGCGAGCAATCTCTAGGCCTGAAAAAGCGAGGCGGAAACAGTGGGTCCTCCAAGTCTCTAGAGAGGTAGAACTGCAGAGAAGGGAGTCAACTAAGAGCTCTCCACACATCTTCCCACACAACCGAATCCCTAGGGGAACTACAGCAAGGCAGGAGGGAGGGAAATTCTTGTTTGATTTAACAGTGCTAATGGGACATCCAAGAAGATGTTTTTCAGGTAATTGGAACAAAGGTCCAGAGCTCTTTGGAAGAGTTGGAGATCAGAGTTTGAGAGGCATCATATGTAAGCGGAGAGACTGTTGAAGTCATTGGAACGGATAACATTGTTCAGGGAGATGGTAAAGACAAGAGAATAGAAGCCAGAAATGTGGACGAGCAGGAAAAGGGTGGGCAATGTGGGGGAGCCAAGGCCTCAGAAAAGAAGCGCTCCAGAATTGAAGATGTCAAAGGAGAGGGCTTCATTAAGGAAAGAAGAGGGAAAGAAATAAACATCTCCTGAGCTGTTAGCTTGCACAGGCTAGGAGCTGAGACAGCTCATTTAATCTTATTGACATTCACATGAAGGGAGTTGATGTTCACATTTTGCAGAAATTAATAAAAACAATTTAGTTGAGAGAATTTTTACAAAAAGACACACACCATATTTCTAGTACTGGTAAAGATGAAAGCCAAATTCCACTCCTACTAATTAGATTTTCTTCTCCATGAGTTAGGGGACAAAGAGGGTGGAGTGAAAGTGTTTCGGGTGGGGGTGTTGATGAGAGTGGTGCATGGACAGGAGGCTGTGGTCTGAGAGTTGACTTTCAGAGTATATATAAGCTCTGGGAGGACAGTGGCTCCAGAGGATCACATTGCACTTTGCAAGTGCTTGCCTGTACAAGGTAGAGATGTGTGTGGTAGATGAAATAATATCCTCCAGCTCCCCAAGATGTCCACACCCTAATCCCTGGAACCTGTGAAAATGTTACCTGACACAGTGGAAGAGACCTTGCAAATGTGATTAAGGTAAAGGTCTTGAGATGAGGGATAATCCTGGATGGGCCTGATCTCATCACAAGGGTCCTTACAAAGGCAAAGCAGGAGGGTCTGAGGCAGAGAAGTTGTCACAGTGGAAGCAGAGATGGAAATGAGTGTGGCCGTGAACCAAGGAATGAGAAGGGCAGCCTCTAGAAGCTGGAAAAGGCGAGGAAATGGTTTCTCCACCAGAGCCTCCAAAAGAAGTGGTCTGCTGATACCTTGATTCTAGACCTAGAAGATCCATTTGGGGACCTCCACCGTCATAAGATCATAAATCTGTGATGTTTCGAGCCACTAAGTTGGTGGGAATTGATTACAGCAGTGATAGGGTTTGGCTGTGTCCTCACCCAAATCTCATCTTGAATTTTAGCTCCCATAATTCCTATGTGTTGTGGGAGGAATCCAGTGGGAGACAATTGAATCATGAGCATAGTTTTCCCCTTACTGTTCTCATGGTGGTGAAAAAGTCTCATGTGATCTGATGGTTTTATAAGGGGAAACCCCTTTCACTTGGTCCTCAATTCTCTCTTGTCTGCTTCCATGTAAGATGTGCCTTTCACCTTCTGCCATGATTGTGAGGCCTCCCCAGCCACATGCAACTATGAGTACATTAAGGCTCTTTTTCTTTATAAATTATCCAGTCTCAGGTATGCATTTATGGGCAGTGTGAAAACAGACTAATATAAGCAGCAATGGAAGGCTAACACAACGTGCCCTAAAGGCCATGTGCAAACAATCCGTTCATTTGGACAGCCACTCTGCCTTCCTGTCAGTACTCCCAATTCTCTCCCCCACAGGTCCCACTGTCACCACCAGAGGAAAACTTACTCTTACCTGTGAGAACTGTTCCCTCTTATGCTATGTATCCAAGCTCCAGCAGAACATCTGTATCTTTTGTTCTTGACGAATGCTTGTTTATTCCTACCTCCTTGTGTGATGGGTGCTTCCTGCTGAACAAAGAGGTGGGAATCTTACCTTGGGGGCATGCCCTAGATCCCCCAGTGGGAGCTTGGCTTCTGAGTCCCCATAGTATCCTGGACCCAGGGGTGACATTCTATAGTGCCCCTCATGGTTTAGTTTGATTCTGGGTAAAGAGGGCTCGCACAAGGATATTGAGTAGCAGATAACTAGAATAGTCACCCAATTTTGAGACACAACTTATTTCTAAGTGTCTGTAAACCAAAACATTATTTTATATTTTCATAGTCACCATGACTGCATGCCAACTACAGAGCAACTGTACCTTCCAACTGAAGTAAGAGATAAATCATACATATTAAATAGGGCATGCTAGAAAACCCCAACAGCCAATCAGAGCAAGCAGAGATGGTCATTCCACCAGGGGAATACGGTCCATAAAGGTGCTGGGCCTGAGCAGCAGAGTATCACCTAACTCCTCAATGCAAGCCAAGGGAAAAGAAGGGCTGAGGCTTGCCGAAAACGTTCCCAGAGCAACAGTTCTCAACTGATGTTGCCAAACATGTTGCAGTCTTAATTACCAATAGTAGTCCAAGAACAAAACTTTGAGAATAGCTTACAGAAATGAAAAACCCATAAGGCAGAATCAAGAGCAATATCTTTTTCAAACATTTGCATAGTAGTATCTTTTCCAAATATTTGCACTCTAGCAGGCTTTCCTGAATAAATGGATATGTTTATTTCCTAGGGCTCTTATAACAAACTTACACAAACTCGATGGCTTAACCAACAGAAATTTATTCTCTCATAGTTCTGGAGACTAGAAGTTCAAAATCAAGGTGTCAGTAGCACCATACTCTCTCTGAAACCTCTAAGAAGGAATGCTTCTCTGCATCTTCCAGCTGCTGGTAGCTCCTGCCATTTCTTGGCTTGTGGGTGCCTCACTTTGATCTCTGCCTCCATCTTCCCATGGCCATTCTCCCTGTGTGTCTTGGCTTGGTCCTCCCGTTGTGCACGTCTGTCCATGCATCTCTTCTCTTGGATTAGGACCCACCATAATGACCTCACTTTAACAACTTAATGACATCTGCGAAAGACCCTTGAGTTAGTATTCTCAGGTTGTCATAACCAGATACCATAGACTTCGTGGTTTAAACAACAGAAATGATTTCCAATTTCATCCGTGTCCCTACAAAGGACATGAACTCATCATTTTTTATGGCTGCACAGTATTCCGTGGTGTATATGTGCCACATTTTCTTAATCCAGTCTATCATTGTTGGACATTTGGGTTGGTTCCAAGTCTTTGCTATTGTGAATAGTGCCGCAATAAACATACGTGTGCATGTGTCTTTATAGCAGCATGATTTATAGTCCTTTGGGTATATACCCAGTAATGGGATGGCTGGGTCAAATGGTATTTCTAGTTCTAGATCCCTGAGGAATCAGCACACTGACTTCCACAATGGTTGAACTAGTTTACAGTCCCACCAACAGTGTAAAAGTGTTCCTGTTTCTCCACATCCTCTCCAGCACCTGTTGTTTCCTGACTTTTTAATGATTGCCATTTTAACTGGTGTGAGATGGTATCTCATTGTGGTTTTGGTTTGCATTTCTCTGATGGCCAGTGATGATGAGCATTTTTTCATGTGTCTTTTGGCTGCATAAATGTCTTCTTTTGAGAAGTGTCTGTTCATATCCTTTGCCCACTTTTTGATGGGGTTGTTTGTTTTTTTCTTGTAAATTTGTTTGAGTTCATTGTAGATTCTGGATATTAGCCCTTTGTCAGATGAGCAGGTTGTGAAAATTTTCTCCCATTTTGTAGGTTGCCTGTTCACTCTGATGGTAGTTTCTTTTGCTGTGCAGAAGCTCTTTAGGGACATGGATGAAATTAGAAATCATCATTCTCAGTAAACTATTGCAAGGACAAAAAACCAAACACCGCATGTTCTCACTCATAGATGGGGATTGAACAATGAGAACACATGGACACAGGAAGGGGAACACTCTGGGGACTGTTGTGGGGTGGGGAGAGGGGGAAGGGATAGCATTAGGAGATATACCTAATGCTAAATGATGAGTTAATGGGTGCAGCACACCAGCATGGCACATGTATACATACGTAACTAACCTGCACATTGTGCACATGGACCCTAAAACTTAAAGTATAATAATAATAAAAAAAAGAAAAGTACTCAAATGATATATATGTTAACATCAATAACTGAATTGTTGATGAAAGCAAAAGAAATTCTCTCATTGATTGGAAATGCCTATTAAAGTCAAGCCTTGGTAGCACCAAAGCTGAGAAAAACAAGATAAGTCACAAGAAAAAGGGAGAGAAGATGATGTTCATGTTTACAGCCCTGGGTTTCAGCTTCCCTTCTTTTTGGCGTTATATATTTCTGTGACTTCCATGGAAGATCAGTTGTGCATTTAAAGGGATGTTTGTTATATTTTATCCAAAATTTCTAGATGTTTTAAAGTCGTTTTTAGGTTATCTATTCTACCAGAGTGCCAAAACAGCAGATGGAAAAGGGATGCAAAGATGTCAGAGCTTAGCTGCACTGGTTCCCCCAGTGCACTCCAACCATAATTATCCTGAAGCCTGCAAAAGAGAATAATGAGATAAAGGAAGACTGATTCTTGATTAAAGGAGAAAATAAAGATAACAATTATGATAAGCAATAATGATTGTGGTGATGATCAGTAGAGAAAATAGCACAGACAGCATAAAACTGTGAGAAGCAAGACCCACAGCTATTGTAACAACTGGTGAATAAAGATAACCTTACTGGAGATGAAGAAAAAACAACTAGAATGGCATTTAACTCAGAAGTAAAATTCCCTAGTACCCTGTTTGGTACTTAGCCAACGTGGGCACCTCTTGGAATTAAAAAAAAAAAAAAAAAACAAAAACAAAACTTAAAAGATAACAACTCAACTTAGCGTTTGACAACAAACATATGATGTCTGAACAAGTTGGAAGGCAGCAGTTCTTTTGCATTAGCTAGACCATATCTAGAGGAGTATGTTCAATTGTGGGTATCTAAATTTTAGGACCAATGACAGAATACAATGTGTCCAGAGAAGAGAGTGCCAAAGAATAAAGGACCTGGAAAAACATCATGTGAGGAATAGAGGTTATGAGAATGTTTAAACTGGGAGGAAAATGGCACAAGAGAAATATGACATGTCTTCAAATAATTCAGAATACCATTGTTGCTATCAAAAGAAGAAATCTCCCTCTATTAAACTAGGGACTTCAAGTCTTGGTCTTTACTCATTCTCTCTTCCTTCACTTCATATCAAAGGAAGCATCCTTCTTTTCATTAACACTAATTCTCCACTTGTGCTCTTTATTCTATCACTTTCTGCTTCTTCTTGAATTTTGATCATCTCTTCCTCTTGCATCTTCAAGGCAATCTTTCTCCATAAACATATACATCTTTCCACTATTTAAAAACAAAACAAATGACCAAAGAAACTTCCTGTGAACCTGCTTTCACTTCAAGCTTCTATCCGCTATCTTACTTTTCTTTATTCCACACTTTAAGAAAAGTCATCTTCCCTCTTTTAGGCACAATTTTTGCCTAGTTTTGTTACTGCTGTATCCTCTGGCACATAGTAGGCACTCAATAAATATATGATAAATGAATTGATTACATGAAAAAAAAATAAACAACAGAAATGTATTTCTCAAGTTCTGGAGGCTGGAAGTTCCAGATCAATGTACACAAATTCAGTTCTCAGTGACGTCTCTCTTCGTGGCTTGTAGATATCTGCCTTCTTTCTGTGTCCTTTTATACTAGAAGAGAGGAAATGCTTTTTCTTCCTTTTCTAGTAAGGCCACAGTCCTTCCTGTTGGTTTAGGGCCCCACCCACCTGACCTCATTGAACCTTAATTACCTCCTAAAGATCTCTGTCTCTAGGTATAGTCACACTGGGGGCTAGGGCTTCAAAATATGAATTTGGGAGGGACACAATTTAGTCCATAGAAACCTCATTTTCAAATAAAATCACATTTATAGACACCAGAGGTTTGGACTTCAATGTATCTTTTTTGGGGACATAATTCAACCCTCAACAAAAGGTCATCAGTGTAGGGGTTCCAGTAAATGTGTCTGGAATTGGCATTGTCCCCTGGAGGGTGACTCCAGAGAGCCCACTTCCCATGTATGCCCTGGTGACAACCCATCCGAGAACAGAGACTCTCCTGCCAGCCCCCTCGGGGGTCCTGAATCCCAGAGCACAAAGGTAGCTGTAGCTGGGATGAGCTTGGGAAAGCAGCACTCTCCCTGCCTACACTTCCCACACAGGCCCAGGAAGGATTCCCACAAGCCCCAGGCTGCAGCAGCCCATCACTTTGGCAGGGGAAAGCAAACCCTCCCACATGGGCCCAAGCTGCTGCCTCTGGCCTGTGGCACTGGGGGCTTTTGCCCCTCTTTCTTCTGCTGCACAGATACCTTCGACATGTTGAACACACAGGGGGCCCGAGTCATTTCCTTCTTTTTTATGACACTGATTGGTTGCATATGCCCATTCTGTGTGGATCTGTACTGTCTGAGGCATTTGACACACCCGAAGCCCATCCTAGTGAGCTTGGAAAGGGCAGAGACCTGGAAGTCAGACACAAGCAGAACCACGTTAGCTCAGGGAAGCTAGAGTGCCTCCCTGCTCCCTGGGCAGGAAATAGCCTCAACTACAAACCCCACCTCTCACTGAGGGGTGTGCCTGTGGCATGACTGGGAGTCTGGAATATCTGCTTTTCAGTGTTGGTATATACATGAGTCTCGACAAGTTGGTTAAGCTCCCCAAGGCTTGCCTTCCTCATCTGTAGAATGAAGCTGATATTGTGTCTGTGGTGAGCATGTCTACGCAAACCTACCCCCAAAGTCCAAGGAAGCTGAGAGGTGAAGAAAGAGGCTGACAAATCCAGTTTCTTAGAAAGAAAAGTTGAATAGGGACTTAGGAACAGAAGCCATGTCTGTATTTCGGGCAGTGGCAAGACGAGATGGTTGATCCCTATGCTGTTACTCCCCAGACCAAGGGCTTGAGGACCATAGGGAAAGGGGGATTCCGAAGGGATGTATAGGACAATGGAAGTACGATAACACCAAGGTTGTTTAATCTAGGGGCAGGATTTACAGTAAGTATCTGCTCTTACCTAGGAAATAATAGACAAACAGGAAATCTTACAAGCCTTCCCAGAACTGATGTTAATCAGAAGCCAACATGGTAGATTAGCTTCCAAGATGGAGTTGCTTCAGCCTCCGCATACCAGCACCTACCACAAAAGATCATTGTAGAGACCAAGTGAGATGATGATTTTAAAATGCTTTGTGTATTATGCTTCGTACTGGTGATTAATTGTCCCCAAAATTAATAGTAATGCTTGCCATTTTTCTACACACATGCCTAGTAATATGTGTGCATCCAATGAAGCCTTTTATTGAACACCCAGGGAAGAAGAGAAGGAAGGAAGGGCTGCAAGATCCCCTTACCCACTGTTTGAAGCCACCTGCACAGTTCCCACCAGCTCTCCCACCCACCAGGTTGAGCTGGGGTGGAGAGAAGGAAATGTCAGATCTCTGGGGCATGTCAAGCTCCACCACCACCCAGGAAGCCCCATCATGAGCTGATTTAGGGAATGTCTTTAATGTGGCCTCTAGGACCTCTAAACCCTTTATAAAGTAGATTTATGCATGTCTCTGCTTTCACGACTCTTTTAACTCCAAGCTTGAGTTGTATTTGTTTCCCTGGTCCTGCCAACTTAGCCTTGTGATGGGGAGGGAAGCTTCTACTGAAGTGAGCTGTCACCCATGTAAAAGGAGTCTGCTATGATTTGCATATGTGACACAGCTGGTCCCAAAGCCAGGGGTGATAAAATACAGAGCAGAAGACTCACCTAGGACTTAATTATACAATGGGGATAAATGTTACCTACACATCATTTTGTTGTTAGAAGTATTCCTATCACTTATAATTTGGAAGAAAGCTTGTAAATTGAAGAAAGGTAGGTAACTGTTTGCTTTTGGTAGGTGAAGAAACTGAGGTTCATGGTGTTTTAATGACATTGAAGTCAAGAAAATGGGAGTTTAAATACTGCCTCTGCCTGTCTACTCATTCTATGATTTAGACAAGCTTATTATTTTCTTTGACCTTGCATTTGTTGGGATAACAGTATATATTTTTCAAGGTCATTGAACAGAAGAATTGGGTGGCATATACAAACCACTTAATTTACAGCTTGGTACATAGTAGATTATCTTACCTAAAGCAATGAAAAGTGATGCAAGTCTACAGGACAAGCATTCAGTAAAGGTCCCTGTACTTCAAACCCCAGGACCTAGACAGGGATCAGCAATTTTTTTCTGCTAAGGCCCAGATAGTAAGTATTTTGACATCACAGGTCATATAGACTCTGTCACAATTATTCAACTCTGCTGTTGTAGCAGGAATGCAGCCACAGACAAATACATGATGAATATTACTGTGTTCCAATAAAACTTTATTTATAAAAACAGACAGTGGGCCTGATTTGGCCCCTGGCTCATAGTCTGATGACCCCAGGTGTATATAAAACTATGTTTAAAAGCTTGAGATAATACAAATGACAATATCTATTAGATAAACCCTATTTGTCTTTTCATATTTTAGTTTCAACTCTCCCCTTTCTGAGAAATTTTTTCTTTCTGACGATGCTGGGCAGACTGAAGGCTTTCTGTGACCTCTGCCCTTTGAAGACATGACATGACGGCTACCTCCCCATTGTGGGGAGAAGGCAGGCCCATTTCCCAGTGGTCTGTGAGCTCCCAGAAGTCAGTGACTATGTCTTTTCATCTGTCTCAAAAGTGTATATGGTGAACAGCGATACTTCCTTATCTCCCCAGGAGATAGAAAAATAGTTAAAGGGCTTAAGCAGTAGTTGGGGGAATTTAGACTCACTGGTGATTCTCAGCGAGGGGTGACTTTTCCTTCAGGAGGGCATTTGGCAATGACTGGATGTATTTTGAGGTTTCTCTACTGGGGGGTGGTGTATTGCAGAGATGCTGTTAAACATCCTACAGTGCACAGGACAGCCCCCGACAAGAGAATTATGCAGCCCCAAATGTCAGTTGTGCTGACGTTAAGAACCGTGGACTAGCGAAAATGAAGCATTGTATAGGCTAAGAGCATAAATCACTGCACTTTGCAGTTTGTACAATGTGTCTGACCCTACCCTTTCAAAGGAGTGTCAGGAGAATCAAATGAGACAAGCAAGTAGAGAGACTCTGCATAAGTCATTAAGTGTTGTGCAAAAGCAAAGTGTTTATGGTGAGTTAACCAATCCTGGAGTGCCCATGCCTTGTAGGCTCTGAACATTCTTCAGTTCATCCGCCTAAATCTCCCCTTCAGTTTAAGCCTTTTTCCCATCACGCTCTTCTCAGCAGGAATGGGAGTGCCTCTGGCCACCTTTCAAATGCGGGGGAACTGTGAACCACACCTCAGTCTGCTTCTCTGCAGGCAAAATTATCAAATTCCTTTTTCCTTTTTCCCAAGGTCCTATTTTTGAAGGCTTTAATTACTTTAGTTTTGACAAAGACTCTCCTGTGGACTTGCTCCTAGCTTGCCACATACCTCCCACGATATTCAGTCTTAGCCTAAAAGAGCTTCCAATTAATCTTCCACTTGGACAGAATTACCCACTGGTTTTTGTGAGCCACAATGGCTTTTATCTCATGTACTTACCTGCGTGTGACATGGGTGATAGTCTGTCTTCCTGCTGAAAGAGTTGGGCCCACTTTTCTCTTTAATGTAAGTGAGCAAAGTGAGAAATTACAGTGGCGGTTGGTTGGAGGACCTGCTCTAAAACACCTAGTTAAACAAGGTGCACAATTCCTTGTTAGGTGTTCGCCCACTTAGGGCCACCGTGTGGGGCATGGTGGTAATCTCTCTCATTTGGTCATAATGGGTTGAATTGTATCCCCCTCCCAAGAGATATGTTGAAGACCCAAACCTCCAGTACCTAAGAAATGTGACCTCATTTGGAAAGAGGGTTTTTACAAAGGTAATCATATTAAACTAAGGTCATCAGGGTGGACCCTAATCCAACATGACTGGTGTTCTTATAACAAGGGAAAAATGTGGACACAGAGGCACACATGGAGGAAAGCTGATGTGAAGATACAGAGAGACAACAGCCACCTATAAGCCCAGGAATGCCTGAGGCTACAGAAGCTGAGAGAGAAATCTAGAGCAGATCCAGGAGTCCAATACCTTGATATTGGACTCCTGACCTCCAGAATTGTGAGACAGTAAATGACTCAATTTGTGGCACTTTGTTACAGCAACCCTAAGAAATTAGTATGGTCATTGATGCGCTGGCTAAGTTTCATGATCCGAGCAGAACATTTTTGCCAAGGATTTTTAACTGCCATTCCTCTTCATAGCAGATGCCATCACTGGCCCACCCATTTCCCTGCAGTCTATCTCAGTGGCTGCCAGCAGCCATGTGGATAGCCTCTTGCATCTCCTGGCTGAGGGCATCCTCTGACCACAGACACACACCCAGGTATAGAACAGACTGGAAGTGCCAGCAAGTTCCTAGAGTGACCTATTACCAATGAGAGGCAGCAGTTGCAAATAAATACCCCAGTTTCTTCACCTCTGGTTAGGATCACTTGGACTGGGTTCACCAAAAATTTTCAGAGGGTCCCCAGCAGGCCTGAGTCCTATTTGCCTAAAATGGAACCTACTAATCAAGGTGTCTCTTTGTAGCTTTCCACCCTCTACTTTCTCAGTTCCCTGCTCCCTCACAGTGCTTCCTGGCATCACCCGCCAAATAAAATACTTGGCCCAAATCTTTTTCTTTGGGTCTGCTTTTAGAGGAATTCAAACTAAGTCACTCGATAATGGGCATGTGAATGCCTAGAGTTGAGATCTGAGAGGCACTATCATCCCTGCAGCTTAAAACCAAGTAAAAGGGGGAGGAATGAGGTAAGGAGCCACACAACATCAGAGGCAAGGTTGGGACAGCCGATAGACTCAAGAGGTTCTGGCCAGGATCATGTCTGAGTGTGAATGGTCCAATCTACTGCCATTGAGGCAGGCGGTTAGCCCTACACTCATTCATGAACCCAGACAGCAGACACTGCGTGAGAGAAGGCCAGGGTCACAGAAGGAGAGAATATTCCCTGAACTCAAGGAGCTCATCTTCTTATAGGAAGAGACCAAGGTATAAAAAATCTGGTTTAAGTGCCATGAGACAAATGCTTAGTGGGGACCCTAGGGAACCAGATTCTGCCTAAGGAGTGTGGGGCTAGGGAGTGGAGCAAGATGGGTTAAGGGTTTGGAGGAGCTGGGTGGGTGTGGAGGGTGTGATGATGGAACAGAGAGGATGCACACCCCTGACCCTGAGAGGGGCACGTGCAAAGGCCCTCAAGTAGGGAAACATTATAGAAGCTGTGAGGTGTTCACGAGGGGCTGGGGTCCCCTTCTGAAGAGCCCTGGATGTCGTGCTAAGGAATTTGTATCTCTCACCTGTAGGGAGTAGCCAGGGCTGGCTTCATGAACAGGTGACCTGATCAGTAACAGGAGGCCCCATGCTTAGAAGGGTCCACACTCGGGTTAATGTTCCCCTGTCACCACCTTGAGATCCTTAATTCTTTTTCAACAAGGGGCTTCGATTTTGCAGTGGGTCCTGAAAATTATGTGTCCAGTCCTGGGCATAAGGAACCAAGAAATGAATACCCTGAAGAGTGGTTCCGAGCCAAGTCTATGGTGTATGTGTTGGAGATTTCTAAGGATGGCAGGGTGCTGTTGGAGCTGGGCAGGGAACCAACAGTGATTACTCCATTTGGGGGATTTTGAGGAACTCAGCGTCCAATCAGAATTTCTGCTTCCGATTATGTTAGGTGTGAAGGTAGTCAGGCATTCAAGGGATAATTTCTTTTCCTTCCTTCCTTCGTTCCTTCTTTCTTTCTTCCCTTCCCCCTTCCTTCCCTCCCTCCCTCCTTCTCTCTCTCTCTTTCTCTCTCACTCTTTTTCTTTCTTTCTTTTCTTTTATTCTTTCAATATATTTGAACTGTTTTCAAGCCCGTCGGTTTATTAATCTATTACTAAACAATATTTATTATAAAGTGAAAACCCATCTTTAATCATGTCATTTTGGGATGACAGTCAAGACTAGAGACTAAACAGTCTCTAATCTTACCATAAATTAGGCAGTATTTTTTTTCCATCTCCGAGTATAATTCTTTCAGTGTCTCTGTGAGGAAGGCGTCTCTACCCTTTTTTCACAGATAAGAAAAATGAAGCTCGGGGAGAGTTCGGTTCATTCAGGGTAAATCCAGACTTTTCCAGGGTCACCTCCAGAGTAGGAGTTGCAAGCCAGGACTTCCCAGGTGTTTTCTCCTCAAGGGCCCACTGTATTCACCACCCACCTCTCTCCCTAAATCATTCTCCTACTCTCATCTCTTCTGTAAAGCTGTCTCCAATGGGAGGTCTTCTTAACGCAGTCACCATATTTTGTATCCAGTTTTGTATCTGTTTTATGTCTCCTTCTTGACTGTCCTTTAGATTTGCCAAGTGTTTCTGAGTCTTTGTGAGGAAGTTCAGCCTTTCTCCACAGCACAAAATGTGTGCCTCCTAAGTACACACACTTGGCCACCGTATGGGTGCAAAGGGATTAGCCACGCCTGACTGGTCTAACGACAACCCCCTCCATTTGTCTGTCATGACTGATTTAGGTATAGTCATGTGACCTCGTTTTGGGCAGTGAGACCTGAAGGAAAATTTGGGGGAGGTTCAGAGAAAAGTTTTTCTCTGTCAAGAAAGAGTCACTAGATGGATATAAAATTGGTATGTCAGAGAGATGCCTGCACCCCCACGCTCATTGTAGCATTATTTACAATGGCCAAGTTAGGAGATCGACCTAAAGATTCATCAATGGATAAAGAAAATGTGGTATATGTACCCAGTGGAATACTATGCAGCCTTAAAAAAGAGAGAACATTGTGTTAAGTGAAATAAGCCAGGCACAGACAGACAAATACCACATGATCTCACTCATATGTGGAATCTGAAAAAGTCAAACTCGTAGAAGCACAGAGTGGAATGGTGGTTTCCAGAGGCTGGGGATGAGGGTTGGGAAACATGATGGTCAAAGGATACAAAATTTCTGTTAGACAGCAGGAATCAGTTCTGGAGATCTATTGTGCAGCATGGTGACTCTAGTCAATAACAGTATGTTTTATACATAAAAATTGCTGAAAGTGTAAATACCAAGTGTTCTCACTACCAAAAAATATGATAAGTAGGGTGATGCATATGTTAATTAGCTTGATTTAGCCATTCCACAAGGGATACATGTATCAAAGCATCATGATGTTCACAAATATATACGTTTATTGCTCGATTATTAATAAATAAATAGAATGAGTCACTAGAAGATTCAGACTCCCTCTGACCTCTCTACATAGCCTTTTATCCACCCATCTTCCAACCACCTGAGTGACCCTGGGTAAGTCACTAAAAACATATAAGGAATATTTTCATATACACTCATTTTTTTTTCAACTCAGATGAAATTCAAAAATAATCTTGATCATTTTAAAAGTGAACATTTCAATGGCACTTAGTACATTCACGATGTTGTACAACCACTACCTCTATCTACTTGCAAAACAGTTGCATCACCTGAAAGGAACTCTGTGGCCATGAAAAATCACTCCTTATTCCCTCTCCCGCAGCCTATGGCAACCACCAATCTACTCTCTGTTCCTGTGGATTTTCCTATTCTAGATATTTCATATAAATAGAATCATGCAGTATGTGGTCTTTTGCATCTGGCTTCTTTTGCTGGGTGTAATGTTTTTGAGGTACGTCCACGTTGTAGCATGTATCCAAATTTCATTCCTTTTTAGGGCTGAATAATACACCATTGTCTGTATATACCACATTTTCTTTATCCATTCATCTATTATTGGGCGTTCGGGTTGTTTTCATCTCTTGTCTCTTGTGAATAATGCTGCTGTGAACATAGGAGTACCTGTATTTGTTTGAGCATCTGTCTTTAATTCTTTTCAGTATGTAGGTAGGAGTGGAATTTCTGGGTCGTATGGTAGCTTTAACTCTTGGAAGAACCATCAAACTGTTTTCCACTGTGGCTGTACCACTTTGCATTCCACCAGCAATGTATATACCCTACCTTGTTTTGCCATGACTCCACCCTGATGAGGTTGGGTTACTTTATAAAGAAGGATCCTGAGACTCAAGGATGTAAAACCATTTGGCCAACTCAGTTTGTCAAGTGTCAAAGTTTGATTCCACATCTTTGACTACAGATCCCATTCCTTTCCATTGTATACACTTCTCCAGTCTTCAGCTTCATCCTTTGGAGAGAGAAAGCAGAGATCTATGAGGAATAAGCTTATCCAAATGCTGTCTAAGAATTCTGATAAAATCCCAGTGCAGGGCCCCAGGTGCTGAATACTGTGTTCACATAAGTATATATGTTTACTTTGCAGACTCAGCATCTGCAATCATACCTAGCCCCTAGTAAATCCTCAGAAAATATTTGTTGAATGAATGAGACTTATGCATTTATCTGAAAGCCTTTCATGTCTCTGGTAGTTAGCAAACCATATGCTGCCTTTTCCTTAAGATCTTTCTTTGCAAATGTGGCACATTCAGAAAAATATAGGACTGGATCGACCAGATGTGATGTGACTAACAATGGTAGAATGTCTCTCTCACACTCTAAATTGAAAATATGTTGTAATCAGATGTGTCAGTAGTCTACCTCAAATACAGTGGCAACGTGCCTTTCTCCGTTTCACTTAATATCATCTGATTATTTAATCTACAGACATACATCACTGATGTATTTTAATTAGCATGTTTGCTATGTATTTATAAATCAGTTTTCACCTTCTAAGACTTGGATGTTTTGCTGTCAAGAAGTCACTAGTACTAACCCCAAATAATGAATATGTTTTATAGTTAACAAAATTTTTCCCAGATCAATAAGGTTAATAAGTGATACTGTCACTTGGGCATGTTAATAAATTTTTTAAAAAATAGGCTGAGCCAGCTGAAAAGCTACAACTGGAAATAGATTATAGCATTTTGCCCCAGGCTTTGGCAGCAATTGAAACAAAGTATTTTGAAACACAGCAAATTGGCATTTCTCTGACTTCCAATGTTCAGTCTCTCCAAGCGGGACACCTGGTTCAACTACACAAAACAGCTATTCAGAATTAGAGTCTGGGCTTTTGTTATGCAAAAGGTAAATGAGGGTAGCATGAACTTTTCCAGGAAAAGCTGTTTTTACTTTTTACCCTAGGGAGACCTCTCTTCAGAAAGAAAGAAAAGAAAAAAAAAAGAAAACTGGTACTGACAGGAGATCAGAAGTTATGAGGATGGGTGGGTTCGAAATTTACTTTATAAAAGAAAACTTCATGCGATGCTGTAAAATGTTTCCACTGTAAATGAATTAAATTGAACCCCAAACCTACCCTGCTTGGGAACACTAGGTTCCCGTGGGACACTCTGAAGAGCTTTCACCAGGCTCACCTCTCCCCAACTCTCAGACTACAGAGACTTGCTTCTATTTGAGTTGCATTTATGTTGTAATAGAAATAGTTTGACCAACACTGTGGTTGGCTTGCTAAAAGAGGATCTATGCCCTATATGATAACATGTCTGTGACCCTGTACGTGTACTCTCATGCGTGCGTGTGCTTTGCGTGATACAGTCCAAACAAGGTTGGAAATTGCACTTGAATCTAGTGTTTGAGGTTGGTCATGCTACCCAACCCATGAATGGGAAAACCCAAAGTCCAGAGTGAAGGAGAATGCAGTGAAGGTTCTTTGACCAAAGCAGGCTCATCCAAGATGCCTGGCATTTGGTCCTATGACTTGTAACCCTTTGGATCCAATGGCCTTCCTATGCTGTGTTGGGTGGGTGTTAGGCAAATGTAAGGCCAAACAGCTTCAAAATCGAATTGAAGAGTCCTTGTTGGATGAGTATTAAGAGAGTCAGGGATCACCTGTCATTGCACCCCAGGATCAGCATCTTAGGGAGCCAGGCCCCAGACAGGCATTCTTCCCTTTACTTAATTGGTAGCTATCTCTTGAGTGACCAAGTGCTGGTGCTGCTCTGGGGATGGGACAAAGCCGTGCTCTCAGGGAGCTCACCTCCCAGCAAAGAAGACAGATGATAAAGACAGAACGAGGCCATTAAGTCATAGCATTTCAGATGATCAAAGTGCTGTGAAGAAAGCAGGAGGGCAGTGGGAGAGGAGGAGCTAGTTTAGATTATAGAATTGGAGAAAGCCTTAAGGAGCAGCGTTTTGGCAGAAACCTGCACAGTGAGAAGGGGCAAGCCTGGAGAACATTTAGGGGAGGCATCAGAGGAAGAAGGTACAAAATGTCCTAAGGTAGCAATGGTGCATCTGAGGAAAGCATGACTGGCCAGGATGAGAGTGACCCAGGAGGAATGCATCAGCGAGGGTACGCAGGATAGGCAGGACCAGAGTATGAGGGCCCTGTAGGGCAGGGTCTTCCTGCCTTGGCACCATTGGCATTTGGGGCTGGATAATTGTTTGTCATTGTAGCTGGTGGCGAGTCCTGTGTACTGTAGAATGCTAGCAGCATCCCTGGCCTATACCCACTAGATGCTATTAGCAACCTCTCCCCACAAATTGTGACGGCCAAAAATGTCTCCAGACATTGCCAGGTATCTTGGGGGTGGATGTGAAATCACCCTACATTGAGATCCACTGCTACAGATTATGGCAA
The DNA here is from genome assembly GCF_000001405.40 of Homo sapiens. NCBI lineage: Eukaryota > Metazoa > Chordata > Mammalia > Primates > Hominidae > Homo > Homo sapiens. Next base: position 35,161,494 of record NC_000021.9, on the reverse strand, counting down.
GGCCTTTAGATCATGGCCTTGACCCTCAGCTTTAGTCTAAGCATGATGGGAAACCACAATAGAGTTTTAAGCAGGGGAGTGCTACAATATAACTTACATTTCAAAGGGAACCTGGCTGAGGGGCCAGATGGAGACTGTGGGGAGCAAGAGTGACAGCAGGGACTGGCGAATGTTCATGAAAAAGATAAGAGCAGGACCAGAAGCTTGGCTTCTACAGAAGATGGAGCTTGGGAAGAGATTTGCCTCTTCATGCGTGTCCCCGGATAGCTCACCGTCGTACCAAATGATAGGAATAGGCTCTTGATAGGAATGGGCTTCAGAAGAAGACGGCTTCTTAGGTGGCTGAGAGCTTAGTGGTCAGGAAGCCAAGGCTATGGCTTGGCCCATATCTAACCAAATAGATTTGAACAAACTCTACCTTGGGTATATTACCTTTCGCTAGCCTTGACTATCTCACAGTCACAAGGAGCACCAACTGCAATATTGCAATAAACCAACCCGAAAACAAACTTTCATGTTGGAGGGTCTTTCTTCATCTTGCCACTCCATTGTGGGGAAAATGCAGGTGCCACCTTGGTCTGCAGGCCTCTGAAAGCAAGTGACTTGTCATCTCATCTATGTGCTCCTCTCAAGCAGTGCATAACCTCCTGTAAACCTCTTCTTGGAGGAACTGAATCACCCTTGACTTTGAATTGCTAGATCTTTTCACCTACATCTCAGCTCAACATTTCCCACAACAGCACCCGGATGTTGTCCTATGTGGACAATGTCACTTCACCTCCAGAATTCAAATTTCTTTTTTTTTTTTTTCTTTTTCTTTCTTTCTTTCTTTTTTTTTTTTTTTTTTTTGAGACGGAGTTTCGCTCTTGTTTCCCAGGCTGGAGTGCAATGGCGTGATCTCGGCTCACAGCAACCTCCACTTCCTGGGTTCAAGCCATTCTCCTGCCTCAGCCTCCGGAGTAGCTGGGATTACAGGCATGCACCACCAGGCCCAGCTAAGTTTGTAGTTTTAGTAGAGATGGGGTTTCTCCATGTTGGTCAGGCTGGTCTCGAACTCCGGACCTCAGGTGATCTGCCCGCCTCAGCCTCCCAAAGTGCTGGGATTACAGGCGTGAGCCACCGTGCCCAACCCAGAATTCAAATTTCTAATCTTAGCTTCCACAACCACTTTGGAAGCTCTTATTGCAATTCTCCCACCCACCTTGCTGCTCTGAGTTTGCCTCCTAATTTCTTATAGCATTTCTTGATTCTCCGTAGGATCCTCTGCCTCCTCTCCTTGTTTCCCTCACTGACTCATCTTTCTTGGCACCACTCTTACCCGTTAGTGCTCCCCCGGGTTTTGTCCTCAAGGCTCTTCACATCACAAGTCTAGACGTTCTCCCAGGAAAGCTCCTTCATTCCCATAGCTTTAACTATCACTTCCATGTAGATGACTCATACCTTTATTTTCCCAGACTCAGGATCTCTCTAGATCTCCAGACCTTGATTCTCTGCCTCTAACTTGACCTTTCCCCCATTAGGGATGTCACCACCAAACCTCTCACCTAAGCTAGGCATTCAAAAGGTATCTTTGATTCTTTTCTTTCTCTCTCTCTCTCTTTGTTTCCCCAAATTCAGAATGGTCCCAGGATATTGTGATTCCATTGTTTTCCTTAAATATGTGGTCTCCTGAGTCATCTTTCTAACACGCATCTGATCATGTTATTCCCCTGCCTAGAAGTTATTGATGGCTTTCAGTTACTGGTTGTCAAATCCCAAGTCCAGTCTCCACGGCATCCTACCTTTCCAGCAACACCTAACTTCATCTTCTTACCCGGATAATTTTTATTCTAGCTCCATAGACACTGGTTGTGGTCCCTAAAATACACTATGTCCCCACTCCTTTTATTGCCTCCTCTAATTGTAATTGCTCCACCACTAATCCCCTTCTTTTGTATCCAGTCTTTCTCCCTTGTCCCTTTTCTACTATGCGAAACCATACCCATTCTTACAGACCAGGTGTAAATGTACCTCCATCCATAAAGCCACCTTCCTTGTGCCAGACAGAGTCTCCTGCTCCATTTTCTGGGTTCCCAGGGCCTTCTACATGCCTGTCTCTCTTGCTTGATTAAGCTCCTTTACTGTTGTAGCCATGTTTCATCCATTCTTGAAGCCCTAAATTACCTGGTATTACTCCTGACTTTCAGGGTGTGCTCTGAAAAATAGTAGTCGAACTAATGAACAGTGTCTCCTGCGATCACTTCTGATGGAAAGCTCTTCCTTGTTCTACTGTGCCTAAAATGCTGAGATTACAATCAAGCTCATGATTGGAATGCAGCAACAGAGATGTAATTATTTCAGTAGAACTAGATTCAATAGAACAATTGGGGGGAGTAGAAATAAGGTACTTATTTTCATACCTCAGGTCCAAAATATTGGGGACATGGCTGAGTGGAGAGAAAAGAAAAATAAAATAGTCTTGTTAGCACCACTTATAGAAGACTATTCCCGATTGCCTAGCCAGTAAGAAAATACAAAAGATATTGCCTCATTCTAAATTAATCTATAATTGTAATCAAAGACAAGATACATCCAGTATTTTACCAATAATTCGCTTTGTTTTTTTTGTTGTTGTTGTTTCTTTTGTTTGTTTGTTTGTTTGTTTGTTTTTTGAGATGGAGTCTCGCTCTGTTGTCCAGGCTGTCCAGGCTGGAGTGCAATGGTGAGATCTTGGCTCACTGCAACCTCTGCCACTTGGGTTCAAGAGATTCTCCTGTCTCAGCCTCCTGAGTTGCTGGGATTACAGGCACATGCCACCATGCCCAGCTAATGTTTGTATTTTTAGTAGAGACAGGGTTTCACCATATTGGTCAGGCTGGTCTCGAACTCCTGACCTCAGGTGATCTACCTGCCTCGGCCTCCCAAAGTACTAGGATTACAGGCATGAGTCACCACACTCAGTGGATTTGTTCTGTTAAAGGCAATTATATTGAAATATAGCTGTCAAAGTAGTTTCTTAAAATTTGTGAATAGTAACAGTTATGTATCCTTATTGACTCATTCAATATCAAGACCTATTGCCAAGTCAGACCAACCAGGTGATTGACTTGGTGGCAGGTTGATTACATTGGACCACTTCCATCATGGAAGAAGTAGTGTTTTTTCTTACTGGAATAGATGGCATAGATACAGATTTGTCTTCCCTGCATGCAATGCTTCTGGCCAAAACTACCATCCGTGGACTTAAAGAATTGCCTTATCCACCATCATGGTATTCCATAAAAAACTGCTTCTGATCAAGGAACTCACTTCACAGCAAATGAAGTGCTGCAGTGGGCCCATGCTCGTGGAATTCACTGGTCTTATGTTTCCCTCCATCTTGAAACAACTGGTTTGATAAAACAGTGGAATGGCATTTTGAAGACTCAGTTACAGTGTCAGCTAGGTGGCAATATCTTGTAGGGCTGGGGTAAGATTCTCCAGAAGGCTGTGTAGGCTCTGAATCAGCTTCCAATACATGGTCCTGTTTTCCTCATAGCCAGAATTGATGGGCCTGCAAATCAAAGGGAGAAAATAGCACCATTCACTGTTAGCCTTAGTGACCCACTAGTAAAACCTTTGCTTTCTGCTCTGATGACCTTATGTCCTTTGGCCTAGAGGTCTTAGCTCATTTACCGTATTAGTCTGTTTTAACACTGCTAATAAAGACTGGGCAATTTAAAAAAGAAAGAGGTTTAATGGACTCACAGTTCCACATGGCTGGGGAGGCCTCACAATCATGGCAGAAGGCAAGGAGGAGCAAGTAACATCTTACATGGATGGCAGCAGGCAAAGAAAGAGAGAGAGCCTGTGCAGGGAAACTCCCATTTTTAAAACCATCATATCTCCTGAGACTCATTCACTATCATAAGAACAGTGCAGGAAAGACCCGCCCCTCATAATTTAATCACCTCCCACTGGGTTCCTCCCATGACACATGGGAATTGTGTCCCCACCCAAATCTCATCTTGAGTTACAATTCAAGATAAGATTTGGGTGGGAACACAGCCAAACCATATCAGCTCCTGGGAAGGGAAGAATGCTTCTACCAGGAGACACACAATGATTTCATTGAACTGGAACTTAAGATTGCCATTCTCCCACTTTGTACTCCTCATAATGCTAAATGAACAGGCATAGAAGAGAGTTACTCTGCTGGTAGGGGTGATTGATCCTGACGAGTAAGGGGAAATGGGACCACTTGGAGGGAAGGAAGAGTATGTTTGGAACATAGGAGATCCCTTAGAGTGTCTTTAGTATTACCACGCCTTGTCATTAAGGTCAATGAGAAACTACAACCACCCACTTCAGGCAGGGCTAGTAGTGGCCCAGACCCTTCTGGAATGAAGGCTTGGATTATTCCACCAAGTAAAGAACCATGACTAGCTGATCTGATTGCTGAAGGCAAAGAGAATACATAATGAATAGTGGGAAAAGGGAGTTGTAAATAGCAGTTACGGTTACATGACCTGTTATGGAAATGAAGACTGTAATTGTCATGAATATTTCCTCCTTATTTTGTTCTGAATTTACTTGTGTGTATGTATGTGCACACAGATATAGGGCAAATTTCTGTGTTTTCTTCCTTCTATTATTCCTTTATCATGAAATATATAATGTATTGGTTTTATATTACTGTTTTTGAGTACAGACTATCAAGGAGAAGAGTAAACATTACTCAAGGGCTTTATCTCCTCCTCTTGGGAAAGGGTTAGCACATTTTTTATTGTGAGCAGGAAAGCTGTATCATGTCAGGCAGAATTATAAACTTGCTACTGTCTTCATGTGGTGATTAATTAAATACATCTTAAGGAGATGAGTATGTGTTCCAAGTTAACAACAGGTGGACTTGTAATGGTTAATTTTATGTCAACTTCACTGGATCCCAGAATGCCCAGGTATTTAGTCAAACATTATTCTGGGTGTTTCTGTAAAGGCGTTTTTGGATAGGTTTAATATTTAAACTGATGGACTGAGTAAAGTAGATTGCCCTCCCTGATGTGAGTGGGGCCTCATCCAATCAGTTGAGGCCTGAAGAGAACAAAAGGCTGACCCTCCCCCAAGTAAGAGGAAATCCTTCCTGCCTGATTACCTTTGGGCTGGAAAGTCATTTCACCGTCAGCTCTTTTAAGTCTCCAGTTTGCCAACCATTCTGTTTCTCTGGAGAATTTTGGTTAATATAGTTATCAAAATGCTTCTCTAAAAAATTGTGAATAATAACAGTTATGACTCTTTATTAACTCATTAAACTCATTAAATAACATGACCTATTTCCAAGCCCAAGGACTGTAATTTCAGGGTAGTGATGAGCATACACAATATTTTGGTACATTTGTAAGCACTATAATGTGATTTGAAGCTATCCATTATTTCAATCAACTGGTGAGAAAGTTACCCCCCCCCGCTTTTTTTTTTTTGAGACAAGATCTCACTGTGTCACCCAGGCTGGAGTGCAGTGGTGCGATCTTGGCTCACTGCAACTTCTGCCTCCCGGACTCAAGCAATTCTCCTGCCTCAGCTTCCCAAGTAGCTAGGACTACAGATGCACACCTTGCTAATATTTGTATTTTTTTGTAGAGACACATTTTTGCCGTGTTGCCCAGTCTGGTCCCAAACTCCTAAGCTCAGGTGATCTGCCCACTTCCGCCTCCCAGAATGATAGGATTACAGACGTGAGCCACCGTGCCTGGCTGAAAGTTACACATATTTCTAATACTACTGCAATTTCTTTTCTATATTTATGATAGAAGAAAATGCTATGTTTGAGTTAGGAGTTTGTAAAAATAAAGATGGAGTTTGTAAAAATAAAGATGTATTTTGTCCCAGCCAAGTTCACAACAACCCTAACCAAGGACCCCTCAAAGTGTCCAACAAAAGGACCCTTGAGATAAAGAAGAGCTACTGTCCCTCCGCTCCTTCCTGCATAGACTACACTTTGAGAAACTACCTTCAGAATGACATCACTATTTTCCAGCGGGTTCTTCGATTCTCAGGAAAGCCAAACATCTCAGTGATATAATGTGTGCAGTAGACAGGGAAACTGAAATGGACCTTCGTAAACAAAGGGAGTGAAGTCCCCTTTTTCATGATTGATTGGTATCTGGGACAAAATCTTTATCTGTTCCTTAAACTCATTTTCTCCCCTCTGGGCCCCTAGCATAGTGTTTCCATGTGACAGATACTGAATTTGCTGGATGCATGGCTACAGATGGATAGACTAATGATCCCACAAAAACATCACTTGAAGTTGCAAAGAAAGCATCGGCCTCACATAGGATATGTTGATGATGTCTTTTTTCTCGAATGTTCTCTTTCCTCTCTACTCATGCCATCCATGAGGCCCCAGAGCAGGTCTTTCCTTAAAGCAGCTGCTTCTGAACACTGCCGAGCTCCATCAGCCTGGAACCATGTGGCCTTACCTTCAGTTCCTTCCACACTAGAGGCAAAAGGGTAAGATGAGTGAGCCTCAGCCACTTGGTGGGGGAAGAGGTTACATCGCAGCAGGAGCTCTGCCCTCTTTGGTTAATGAGTCCTTTTCTAAATACACTCAGTGAAAGCACATCCCCCTCATCAGATAACAGAAAGTGTCATCATTTCAAACAACAACGTTTTGTTTTGTTTTTTTTCTGAGACAGAGTCTTGCTCTGTCACCCAGGCTGGAGTACAGTGGCGCCATCTCGGCTCACTGCAAGCTCTGCCTCCCGGGTTCAAGCCATTCTCCTGCCTCAGCCTCCCGAGTAGCTGGGACTACAGGTGCCAGCTACCACGCCAGGCCAATTTTTTTTTTTTTATAGTAGAGACGGGGTTTCACCGTGTTAGCCAGGATGGTCTCAATCTCCTGACCTTGTGATCCGCCCACCTTGGCCTCCCAAAGTGTTGGGATTACAGGCGTGAGCCACTGCGCCCAAACAACTTTTATATGAATTAACTTACATGTTAATCCTAATGCGAGCCCCAAGGAGAACTGGGAAATACAAAAAGAGGTGCAAATGCATTTCTGATCCTGCAACCCAAATATACATGCTACAGTTCTAATATTTCAGTGTATTTCCTTCAAGAATGTATAATATTTTGCATAGTTCTTTTTCTCCTCTGAGGATTTTTGTCAAGAATACATAGGAATTGGGAATTGTACCAGTTTGTGATAATTCTGGCATATGCTCTCTTGTTTACTTTCCCCTCCACTTAATATAACTTTTTATTTTATATATGTGTGTGTGTGTATATATATATATATTGCTTTTACTTATAATACCCTTTTACTAGCCACATATTATTTCACTAAATGTGCCATCATTAATGATACATTCACACCGTTTGATCTTTTCACTGTCACAGATAAGCCTGCAATGAGCATCTCTGTTTATCTATTTATTTTTCTATACTTATTTTGTTCTTGGGATGCCTTCAGAAATGTGCAAATGCTCCGTCCAAGAATGAAATTTCTTAAGGCTTTTAATATACGTGGCAACCAAGCTTCTCTCGATATGTTTTTTTTTTAAGTTTAAATATGTTGGTGGCTTAATTATCTAATCTGAAGGAAATGCCTGAAGTCGGAAACAATCTATTTTCTTTCATGGCAGACAAGTCTAGATCTTTCTTTGTGCTACCACAGGAGAGGCAGGGTCATCGAGTACAACATGGTGGTTAGAATATCACACTCAAAGTTAAACACATGGTTTCAAACTCCAGCTGTGCTCCAGACCTGCTGGGTAATCCTGGGACAGTTATTTAACCTCTCTGTGCCTATGTTTCCTCATGTTTAAAGTGAGGATAATAACAGTCTTTGCTGGGTATGAATACTCTGAGGATTAAATGAGTTACTTCATGTTAAGTAGTTAGCAGACAGTATTACTTCAACAAATTAATGGCTAGTATTATTGTCAGTCCCTAAGAACACAGTTTACAATCACTATGCTACTATTAATACTGATATATTTAGGGCATAATTTATTATTCTATTATTTGCTTTTTACTTCTACCTGTTTCTATATTTCTTTTTTCTTCATCCTTGTGTTCTTTTGCTTTTATGGAATATTTAAAATTTATTCTATTTTGATTATGAAGTAGAATATGAGTGTGATGGTTAACACTCTTTCAGTATTTTTTTACAGCTTACCTAGAGATTGCAGCTGGCTTTCCTGACTTACTCAAATATGATATAAATCAGTACTCTTTGCCTCATCTCAGTTAATGCAAAGACTTCTTTTCACTCCCTTCTAACTTATTGCTGTTGTTGTCATTTATTTTAATTGCATACGTATTTCTTTTTTTTTTTTTTTTTTTTGAGACAGATTCTTGCTCTGTCACCCGGGCTGGAGTGCAGTGGTACAATCTCAGTTCACTACAATCTCTGCCTCCCAGGTTCAAGCGATTCTCCTGCCTCAGCCTTCCAAGTAGCTGGGACTACAGGTGCACGCCACAATGCCCTGCTAATTTTTATATTTTTAGTAGAGATGGGGTTTTGCCATGTTGGCCAGGCTGGTCTCAAACTCCTGACCTCAAGTGATCCACCCGCCTCAACCTCCCAAAGTGCTGGGATTACAAGTGTGCACCACCATGCCTGGAATATTTCATATTCTATTCAAGTGTTATTATTATAGATTGGTATAGTCAAGATGCATTTCAATTTACAGACATATTTGCCTTTTCTTGCTTTTTGCTCCTTCCTGGAATCATTTTCCTTCTTCCTGAAAAATATCTTTAATATCCTCTTTAGTTCAGGTTTACTAGTGACAAATTCCCTGGGTTTTTTGTTTGTTTTGGTGGGGTTCTTGGTCTGAAATTGTCTTTATTTTGTTTTCATGTCTTCATTCTTGAAGAATATTTTCACCCTATATAGAATTCCAGGTTGGAGGATAACTTTCAGAATTTCTTTTATTATCTTCTGGTTTTCATTATTTTTATTTTATTTTATCATTTTATTATTTTTTAATTTTCAAGGCAGCAACTGTGAATTAATGTTCCTTCTCCAAAATTAGTGTTTCTTTTTTCCTCTAGTCTCTTTTAAGATTTTCTCATTGTCCTTGGTTTTCAGCCATTTTCTCTGATGTAGTTTTCTCTGAATTTATCTTGCTTCTTGAACCTCTAGCTTGATATTTTCTGCCAGTTTGGAAAATGGTCAGTCAAGGCCTCTACATATAACGTATCTACATCATTCTCATTCTGTTATTCTGTTAAAAGGAACCTCATGACATCTATGTTAGAACTTCTGTCTCTTACCCTTTCTTCTATATTTTTCATACTTTTTTTTATCTCTATGCCTCCTTCTGAATTTTTTTAAATCTATCTTTCAATTCACTGACTCTCTCTTACTCTTTGATATGCTTCAGTCCTTCCACTGTTTCTAATTTTAGCTATTGCACTTTTCAGCTCTAACATTTCCCTTTAGTTATCCTTACAGGTCCCAATTATTCATCAAAATTTCTTATCTTTTCTTGTAATCTCCTTAACCGTTTAAGCATTGTTATTTTAAATCCTGTGCTTGGTAACTATTATCTGGAGCCCCTTTGGGTCTGTTTCTATTTTTCTTTTCTTATTCTTCTCTGTGCCTTAATATGTTTGATTGACTGTCTCATGTATATAAAAAAGTATAAACATGATTGAAGACTTTATCTTTAACCTAGATAAAGAAGGAAGGTTTATTTTTCTTTATAGCAGGTGGCCAGAAGTATCAGCATTCTAGGATCAATTTCAAGGACTGAGATAATCATAAAACAGACTTCAGTTCTTGTAAGGCTACTTCACTTTTCATCCACCCTTGCTCCCAGGATATAGTACTTGCCTGTCTTAATCTAAAGCATGGAAGGTTATCCAGAAGCTTCTTCTGGGTGGGCCCTGGACTTCCATTTTTCTCCCACTCACTACGCGAAGCTGGCAAAGGCCCTGATTACCTTTGCAAGTTCTCTCTCGAGAACTCTCCTCCCTCTTCCAGTACTGGCCTCTGCCTTAGGGTAAATTTCATCTCTCTGTTTCTGCTTTCTCTTGGATCTTGGCCTTTACTGCATTAAGAGCTTTCCAATGCCTTCAATTAGATGATGATGATAATGAAGATGACAGTGATACGTGTGTGTATGTTTTGCCTCGATTTCAAGTTGTCTTAGCATAGAGTTGGTCCAAATCATCTGCATCATCCCATCTACTATTTCAGGAAGTAGAAGTCTGGAGTCTGTTTTTCAAAGGTATGTGTTTTTTTAAAATATCATTTTGAAAAGAGAGCCAGGGAAAAAAATTATGTTTAACATTTTCAAACTTAGTTTACTACAAATTCTTTGTTTTTGTGAGGCAGCCCATGGAACAAATGTTCCATGGCATCTCAACTTACAAAAGTCTTAGATTTCAAAAGGCTCTTCCTAAGAATTTTGCTTTTAAGTTCAGAGTGGTGTTAAACAAGGAATCATTGTATTCACTTTTATGCAAAGTTAAGTTACAAGAAGAGAACTGTGTTTCATGGTTTTCCTGTGACTCATCCCACTCCATGTAACATTTGCCACTCTCTCACCACTTTCTCTTTTTCGAAAAAAATACTTCTACTTTTATTTTTATTGTAATCATACACACAGGGAACATGAGATTGGTTAAGAAGAATCCTAAGGTCAGGTACATAATAACATTTTTAAAGTTTTATTTTGAAATAACTATAGATTCCCAGAAAGTTACAAAAATAATACACAGAGTCCAGTGTACCCTTCACCCAGCTTCCCCTAATGATAACATTTTGTATAACCACAGTACAATATCAAGACCAAGAAACTGATGTTGTTAGAACATCAATTGTTTGGCTCTTAACTGTACTGCAGATCTTGTTTAATTTTCACCATTTTTTACATGTGGTTAATACTTGTATGTTTGTATGTGTGCATGTGTGTGTGCGTGAAATTCTATGCAACTTTATCTAGTGTATTGATTTGGGTAACTACCAGTGCAACTAAGAGGCAGAACTGCTCTGTTACTACAGAGGTCACTCTGTGACCCCCTCAGGTCACCTTCTTACATTCATACCGCAGCATCATCAACCCTGGCAACCACCAACTTGTTCTCCATCTCTATAATTTTGTTCTTTTAAGAATGTTATATAAATGGAATCAAACAGCACAAAATCTTTTGCCATTTACTTTTTTTTCACTAAGCATAATGCCCTTGAGGTCCATCAGGAATGACATTTTTACTCCTTTTTCATCTTTCCTAGCATCTTTGATCCCTGTAAGATGCCATTTTTTAAATTTCCTTCTTTTTACAGAATGAGAAAATAAGACACAGGGAAGATAAATTATCAAAAATCATGAACAGAAGAAATGAAAGATTTCTTGACACTCCAGTTCAGAGTTACTTCCAACAGACTTTGCTTCCTCTAAGACCACTTCTTTCTTCCTGACCAGTTTGGAACAGATCAGCTAAAGGTCATGGTAGATAAACACAGCCACAGAATAGTTAATCGAAAGTTGGTTCTATGAAAATCAAATACTTGACTTTGCCTGAAGCAAAGTAGTGCATTATTTTCCATTAGTCAGAACTATCGGGCTGGTAATTTGGAAATCAGACGCATACTCTTAAAAGAATGTCTAAATCTGAATGGAATTTCTAAGCTCTTAGCTCAAGAGATGATTAATTGAAAAACAAGAAATGGATGCATTGACTGTGTTTACAAGTGATATGTCCTGGTTTTATTCTTTATCTGTTGTCATCTTTGGGGGTTTCCATTAAGGTCATCAAATTTTGAATAAGCCTGACAAGCATTCAACAGCTTTCAGCAGTGGGAAAGAATGTTTATGGAGGGGGCAAGAATGTTTTCAAGTCCAAGAGCAGACATTAACACTGAGGCCTGCATGAGTACTCTTGAAGAATCTTTTTATTTTATTGTATTTTATTTTTAAAGTACTGGTTACAAAGACGGCTAACATATCTCTGTAGCCAAATTTTCATGAGTGGCCTCCTCCCAAGGCTGTCCAGTTTGGACTGAGGGAGCCATTGACCCCAGTCTTTACCTGCTGCAGACTTTTCTTTCATGAAGCCCAGGAGAACATCCAAGGACTGGTGGGCCCTTACTACCTTTATCTAAGTGCTGATCACACTGTTCCAAAGGCACTTGGAATTGGTAGAATTTAGGGACAGGAAGGAAGTAGACATAATTGCACAGTATCTTACACGATTGGGATCCCCGACCAAACATCTCACTGGAGTCATGCTGTTTTCGGAGAGTATGAAACTCTATTCTTGGCACAGCAAATGTAGCCATGCAATTTTAGCCTAAGAAACCACAACTTGGTTCTTAAAAACATTAATATCTCAAGCACATTCTCTCCCAAACCACGTTAATATTCATCTTCAGAGATGTGCTGAATTTTATTGCTGGGGTCATGGTTCAATTAGTTATCTCCCCTATAGATATGAGAGTTGATCTTGTATTTGGGAAATTAGTTGACACAATTTATTCACCTCCTTACACGTGTTATAACAGGTGAACTACTCTCTCTTTAGAGGGTTTGAAAGTTCATTTAGTCTTTTTCCTTTAATATTTTTCATCATAACTGGATTTCTATTTATTTCGGTTCATTGGGTATTTACCTCGGAAAGTATTTCTTTCCATTTTAAACATGGTGAGCATTATAGTGGCTTAGAATAGATTTGAAAGCTAGAAAGTGTTTATCTAAAATGAGTCAGATTTTGAAGATTTTGCTGTTCTCCCATTAATGCTTAATGATTGCTTTTTCCATCAAATGAGGGAGACTGTGTAAAGTTTCCTAAGCAAGGAATGTCAGCTACTAGGAAGGAAGATCTTTTCTAATTCTCCCAATCTACAGTTCACAGACCTGAGACAATTTAAGATGTGGAAAATTCAAGTTGCGGAAAAAAGGCTAAAAATGCCAGTTTTTGAAGATAATATGCCCTTGGCAGAAAGGCAACATCTTTTTCCTAGGAAAAGAGCTTAAATAAGTCTTGTAAAAAAAAAAAATCACTCGGTATGTTGGACATCAAATACCTCTTAAACAAATAACATTTGGGTGAGCTAACTGCAAAGGTACCAATTGTGTATTAAATTTTCCTCTAAATAAGAAACCCATGGACATAAAAAATAAGGGGGAAAATTCACAGCTTTTTCTCACACCATAGGGTGGAGGCCACCCACTTAGTTTGGGGACCCTGCACTCTTCACATTCAAAGTAGATCAAAGCACTTAAAAACTAAAAGTTGACAATCAAGGGATATTTTTATAACACAAGGAAAAAAAGTATTTTGCAGTTTCCATCACACATGGGAAGGTGATTAATTGTATTGGAAGCGGGGAGGCTTATAATATTCAAAGAAATCATCTTAAGTGCATATCTTCTTCCTCATTTATACATACAAAGAGCTGTATGGCAATGCATAGGAAGGAAATGGCACAGGAAATGAACATTTTCAAGAACTTATTATTGAAGTTTATAATTTATATACATTTATTGTCTTCTCAATGATTACAAAGTCTCTAAAGGTAAATGAACAGTTATCATTTGCACCAAATGACCATCCATGCACTTCAGAAATACCATAAGATAAAATATAAAGTGCTGCTTTAAAAGACCATCAACGGATTCTACCTTGCAAAACCCCACCCATCTAACAATGCGATCATTTTATCAGCTTTTCTCCTGGAATGTGTTTTCCAAAGATGAGGCTGTCCTGACTTGTAGGAACAATAAACAATCTTGGGAGATTAAAATAAATGACTGCAGGCTTCTTTTAATTTTCAGCAAACCCTTTGTGAGAATAAAAGAATCACTATCCTTAAATAATTGTAGAATTACATCATTGATCAACTATGTCCCCAGCGGATAAGAACTCAAGGTGAGACATAGCGTGTGAAAAGAATTGCTTCTTTGGTAAAACCCCTCAGTAATGAAAAGTTCCAGACAAAGGACCTTCTCTCTCCATCCCCTGCACCACCCCTCCTCTCCCAACCCTAACGGGGGAAATGACCAGAAAGTTCGGTTGAGGGAGTGTGACATAGTTCTGCATATATTTGCCCTCTCTCTCTATGATTAATCATAAAAATATTATTTGTGGGTTGAAAGTGGCTTTGGAGAAAGTGTTTACAGGTATTACACACTTTGAATATTTGGGGAAAAACTTACTTTATTAACAGAAAGTTGATTCCAGTGGCATTTTTTCCTCCAGGTATGTTACAGTGGGTTTTAGTTTGTTCTGAAGACATCTCTGGGGTTGCATTTGTGCTAAGGTTTCTGAAGATCACTCCATAGTCACCATTATGATGGGAAAGGGAGAAAGATATTAAGGATGGGTTCTACTGAGTGGACAGTAGTCCTCAAGGGAGTCTAAACAGATTTTCTCTGAATACTGGAAAATGTGAAACAACAAATCAATAGGGTTCTTTAAGATTTTCTCTGGGCAAAAAGTGTCTAAAATGGTGCTTCTGAAATAGTGTATTAACTGTGTTACTTTGGAGGATGATATGACTATTTTATGTTTGTAGGTCAAAATGTTTTTACCCTTCTGTTAACTAGCCTGGGAGGAAGAGAATGATGACGATGACACTGACCATGAATAAAAGTGGGAAGTTAGTATATTCCGGATTCCTTCATAAGCATTTTTTGTGACTTTACTAGTTTATATTTGTCAACAATTATCTCAGATAAATACAAGTATTATTCCCATGAAGAAACCGTTTTCAAAATCTTATAATGCCCATGGTCCCAGAACAAGAAAGCGATACAGCCGAGCTAGAAGTCCCTCTGTGTCTCTGAGCCCTCACTCACTTTTTGACGGTCTTACACAGCAGTGACAATTTACAATTGTTATATGAAGGTTTTGTACAAATCCTTGCCATCTGAGAAGTGAGTGACATTCAGATTCTACCAGTTTTCCCTAACCAGATAGATGATTTTTCTTTACTTAATCAGTTGCTTTACAAAAAAAAAGGGGGGTGCTGGCGAGAAAGAAAAACAAGAACATAATTTTTTAAAATGCACATAAACACACAAACTGTTAGAAGAGTGACCCTGACATCCTTTGTCTCCTGTTATCCAGCTAGTGGCAGAACCAAGCCCTTAACTGAGGTCAGGGTTTGATCAATTTTAATATTTTAGTTTGAAGGGGAGTGAAAGGTTGGTTCATCTTTATAACTTTTTGACACAGTTATATTTTGACAAACTAGTTTGGTATAGTAAAGTAAGTTCAAAGCTTTCAATATATACATAGGCACTCTATTCCCAAACCATTATCATTGTATAGCAATGTTTAAGGGAGAGACATTTGCATTCACACATAATTTTTTAGAGCATCCAGAGAAACTACACACAGTGCTTTTAATTGTCTGTATCTGGAATTGCAATTTGTATTTTCATCTTTCTGGGCGGAAAGTGCCTTTTAGACAGGAAAGGTCTAGACTTGCACCTTAGCCGTCCCATAGTTGCGTTTCCAGCAGCCCAGCCTGGGCTCTAACTCTGCAGCAGTCTGGGCACCCTGCCAGCATGGAGGGACTCTAAATGTGTGGAGGAAAATTTTGCAAACATTTTCTACTTTCCTAAGATTTATTTGGGGACATGAAATTAAATAAGAAAAATATACTGCTTAGTAGTATCACTAAATTGAAATATTCATGTGGAAACTTGTCAGCAATTGTAGCATGTGAATCAAACCATGGACTCACTCTCATCAGACTTTCTTATCAAAAACAACACATGATGCTTTGAGATCCAGGTGTAATTTCCAGACACAGAAGGAAGCAAAGTGCCTTTCAAAGGCAGAACTGTTGACCATTTCAGCACTGTCTGCCTTTTCCTGACTTGGAGAACAGAGCACAAAGAAAGAAGTTAGGGAGGAAATTTCAAAAGTTGTAGCAGTAAAAAATGTATCCGGCGTTGAGGTGAATTGTTCAGGGGGCTGGCCTGGATTCTGCTGGAGGGATGGTGGCCAGGACCCTGCAGGGCAAAGCCTGTAGATTGTCTTGCCTTTTGAAGACACCTCCAATTTCTGTAGCTGCTACAGGACAAGTGAAAAATTGGCAGTGACACCTGTTCTACAAGAAGTCAGGACTTTGAATGCGTTAGGGGCATCAGAATTAGCCTTGCATTGCAAGCCTCCCAAAATGTGCAATTCTGACATTTCTAAGAAGAGTATGTTTTATTCCTAGTCACTTTTGGGGCCATGGTTGATATCATAGAACATATGGCAAATTTTTGCCTATTGTCATCTATAATCAAACCATGCAAATTTTAGGCTCAACACAAATCTAAGCCTTTGCCAGAAACCTTCCTCCAGAGAGCCCTCTAGACTGAGTAAAACCTTTGTCTGTCAGACTCTTCCCTTTGTAAACTAATTCCGTCATCATAAGGCTCTCTGAAAGGCAGCTATCACTATTTAACCTAAAGAGCAATGCAAAAGTGATCAATAGAGAAACTTTCAAGGTTGGCGTTTTCAAACAAAATTTACTCACTTGGAAAATGTGTTCATAATTTGTTGCATCCTTCTTAACTTTGGGTACAAATAAACCATTTTAGATTTAAATCTAATCTGCATTGAATCTATATATGAGGATTGTTGTAATTTCTGCAAAACAGGAGAGTAAATTTCTGTTCATTTATTTGTCATTTTTCACATAAGATATTGTGGCAGTTTGAGGGGAAAATTGTCCCTGGTGCCTTTTGTTCTTGCAAGAATCTCTAGGTTTCCACTCGTATGCTGTAGTAAATATTTGTGGTTGACATCCTATGGAAACACTTTTTATAGTCCTTACCATAATCTTAGTACTGAAAATAGAACTCAATTGACCCATAGGAGTATTTTTAATAGAGATGACTTTATTGTTTTTTATATTATGAAAATTATGAGTACACCTTCTAAAAAAATATTTAAAAATAAATTTTATAATGCCCCAAATCCCAACACCCAATGGAAACATTGTTAATATAAGAGTGGGGGCCAATTTTCCAGCCACAGCCATTTCAAATTCATTATTTTAGGAAAGTGCTGTATTTCACAAACAGATGAAAAGCCTTGTCCAAAGTCACACTGCTAGTGACTCAGTGGCAAGATCAGGGCAATCAACCATCCCAGTTTTCTCAGGATTGTCTCAGGATTGTCTCAGGGATATTAAGTCCCACATCCCAGAAAACCCCCCAGTCCTGGGAAAACCCAGATAATTAGTTGGTCACCATAGGCAAAACCAGTAGAGGACCCCAAGCCTAGGTTTTTGTTGTCAATGTAAACCTAGCCACTCATACATGAAAAATGAACTTCTGTGATATATAGTTTGGTAACTTTCTCTAATCACTTCTATATATGGAACATATTTCCATGTCAACAAGTGTAAATCTGCAATACAATTTTTAATAGTTGCATGTTATTCCACCATGTGGATCAATAAAAATTTATTTCACTAAACATTTACGGATGGAGGATTGGATTATTTCCAAAGGTTTGATATGATAGATAATCCTATGATGAATAATTTTCTTACGTATACATCTGAACACACTTTTCTCTTAAGACAATTTGTTTGAGATACAATTACCAAGTTAAACAGTATACACATATTTTGGGCCGAATGTGGTGGCTCACGCCTGTAATCCCAGCACTTTGGGAGGCCAAGGTGAGTGGATCACCTGACTTCAGGAGTTCGAGACCAGCCTAGCCAACATGGCAAAACTCTGCCTCAACTAAAAATACAAAATAGCCGGGTGTGGTGGTGCAGGCCTGTAATCCCAGCTACTCCAGAGGCTGAGGCAGGAGAATCACTCGAACCTGGGAGGTGGAGGTTGCAGTGAGCTGAGATCGCGCCATTGCACTCCAGCCTGGGTGACAGAGTGAGACTCCATCTCAAAAAAAGTAAAAATAAAAATAAAAAATATACACATATTTTAAGGCTTTGGTATATATTGCCGAATGGCTCTCCAGAAATCTTATGCCAGCTTGCTTCTCACCAGTAGTTGCTTTCACTACCCAAATGGATTTTATCAATCTTTCAATAATTCATAATTTGATGAATGAGTATCAATGTGTCACTAATATTTTAATTTACATTTCTTTAATTATTAAGAATAATAATTAAAGAAGAATAAAAAACTAATTTTATGTTTTCATTGGCCCTTTAAAATTTTTTGTGTGTCTATTTTCTATTCATTAGTTTTGATCAGTCTTGTATTGAATTAGTCATCTTCTTATTGGTTTCTAAAGGTTCTCATATAACCCTTTATAATTTATGTTGCAAGTATTTTTCCAAGTTTATGTTTCTTTCAACTACCTTTGTGCTATCGGTAGTGGTGATGGGGGCCACACAGAAAATTTTGATTTCTAAATGCTTCATTTAATTCCCAATTTAAATTTTTTTAATATTTTTTTTTTACCCAATATAATTTAAATTTTTTCTGCATATTAAAAAGAAAACTCTTACACTCAGGCATTATGGGAGTCCACATAATGTAGTGGACAGAGTGGGAGGTAGAGTCAGAAGGGGGGCATCCAGCTCTGCCTTGCCCCCCAAGTCAGCAGTGGCTCTGCCCATGGTTTCTCATGGGTGAGATTAGCTTCATCAAGCCCATTCATTTCATCAGCATCACAAGAGAGCTTGATCTAGGTCTGTGGTTTTCAGCCTTGGCTGCCCTTAGAATCCCCAGGACGATTTTAAAATCTCCAGATACCCAGGACATACCTGCGACCATCTAAATCAAAATATCCAAAGTGGGATCCTGGCATCTCCATTTTTCAAAGCTCCCTGGTGATTCCAGTGTGCAGCCCAGCTTGAGACCACTGATTTGGACTATGTGCTTTCCAGACTTGATGATTTCATTAATTGTTCCTCAGGCCTCTGGCCTATAAATTTGGATAGACAGACTGGGTTGGGTTCCAAGAACCTGTGTCATGAGCAAGCATTCAACAATTCTGGTATTTAGGCATTTTAAGCCACACGGAGCCATCCAAGGGTCCTTCCAACTCCAGGAGTCAGTTATTGTCTCCATCTTTCTGGATGGCCTTCTTGCAGAAATGTTATTCTGAAGCTGAAGTCATGAGTGAAGACTTGAATTATGTCCCAGGAATTAGCACTGTGACACTTACCCATTTTCCCTGACACCATCACAGATCCTTCAAACTGTATGAGACATTGGGAATCATCTATTCCAAATTCCTAATAAGAACCCAGAGGGACACACCCAAAGTCACACAGTTATTGAATGGCAAAGCCAGACCTAGGATCCAGGCACCTCAGCCCCTGATCCAACACTACTCTCCTAGCCCCTGTTACCTCCTCATGCCTCAGTCTTTGCATCTGTGAAGTGGGGGCAAGAGTCTCTTCTTACCTTCCTTTGAGGAGTCTTCTGAAAATGGATGAGGCAATGTCTGCAGGGCTTATGAGCAACTCAGATGAAAGGCACCATAATAAGTACAAAGTACTTATTTTTCACATCATACTTTAAAGCTCTGTAAATGTTGAAAGGATCTTTTTATATAAACAAGCAGAAACAACAGTAAAAAAAAAATAAGTAGCCCCTTTATCTCACTTTTTATATCCCCAGACTCCCTTTCCCCATTAATTTTGGTTGGCGTTGCATGAACAGCATGTTCGCCTGGTTGGGAACAGGAGGAATCGGGGCTCGTGTGGATGACAAAGCACAGTTCTACCTCACCTCCTCCTGCATTACTTTCCCATACCACTCTGTACTTTGCCTTCATAACACTAATTTCAGCTTGTGCTAAAATCCTTATCTTCACAAGCATTTGCTTAATGCCCATCTACCCTGCTAGACCATAAGCAGCATGAGGCCAGGCACAATACATTTCATGTCCCCAGATCCTAAGACAGTATATTCCCCAGGGATTTTTTAATAAATGAAGGCATGACTCTGTGAATTATTGGGGCCAGTCAAAGTCCAAGGCTCATCCCTGAGTGAGGCCATCAGGGATGAGCCTCCTGTGGCCAGGAGCGGTGGCTGACGCCTGTAATCCCAGCACTTTGGGAGGCCGAGGCTGGCAGATCACTTGAGGTCAGGAGTTCAAGACCAGCCTGGCCAACATGGTGAAACCCCGTCTCTACTAAAAATACAAAAATTAGATGGGTGTGGCAGCAGGCACCTGTAATCCTAGCTACTCAGAAGGCTGAGGCAGGAGAATTGCTGGAACCCAGGAGGCGGAGGTTGCGGTGAGCCAAGATCGCGCCAGTGCACTCCAGCCTGGGCAACAGAGTGAGATTCCGTCAAAAAAAAAAAAAAAAATTGGTGTGTGTGATGCTGGCTTTGACTTCAGTCACTGGGGTGTATGGGAGGTAGGTATGGGACTGGAGCAGTCAGCATTTTAGTTGACTTGACTAAATTATAAGTGTAGATAAGACAGTTCCCTTTGCAGCTGAGAGCCCGTTATGGGATAGTATGCATTACCTCATTCATTATGGCCAAAACTCTGAGAAGCAGGTGTGCTTGGCCCCATTTTGCATAATCCCAGCCTCAGCGAGGTTGAGTAACTAGTACAAGATCACACAGCTAAGGTTTTAACCAGGTGGTTATGTTTCTTTCTGTAACGTCACACAATCTTCCTGTAATATGAACTTGGGTCTATTTCCCTATACCGTTCTCCTTGATCATAAATAAGTCGGCTGCATGAAAGACAAAATGGTCCAGTGTTTGCAGAAGGATACGGTCAAAATACTTAACAGCTCACATGCCACAGCCTCAGCAGTAGGGACAAATGCTGATTATAAAACCCCTAGTTCATTCCACTGAGATTCCAGATAACATACAGGACCTCCATGCACTTTGAATTTCAGATGAACAACAAATAATTATTTTAGTATAAGCAATACAAAGAACATACTTATACCAAAAGAAAGTTTATGCGTTGGGTTGGAAGGCCTGAGCTTCTGATCTGACATCAGACACGTCAGAACAGCACCACTGGGAACAGGTCACTCAAACTTGCTAAGTCTCGGGGGTTGATTTCTGGTGAAAATGTAAGAGCTTAACCGGGCAATGCTGACTTAGAATCAGTGCTTAAAAATGATTTGTTTTCTGCCTGGCGCGGTGGCTCACGCCTGGAATCCCAGCACTTTGGGAGGCCAAGGCAGGCAGATCATGAGGTCAGGAGATCAAAACCATCCTGGCTAATATGGTGAAACCCCATCTCTACTAAAAAATACAAAAAAATTAGTTGGGTGTGGTGGTGGGCGCTGTAGTCCCAGCTACTTGGGAGGCTGAGGCAGGAGAATGGCGTGAACCTGGTAGGCGGAGTTTGCAGTGAGCCGAGATCGCACCACTGCACTCCAGCCTGGGTGACAGAGTGAGACTCCATTTCAAAAAAAAAAAAAAAAAAAAAGATTTGTTTTCTTTTCAAAGCCTGAACAGTTGTGGTTGGGGCAAGAATCTCAACTCTAGTCTAATCTATGTCCTGCATCCTATTGTGATTTCTGTGCAGGCTGTTATGACATAATTTTTATGATTAATGAATTTATATCCCTAGCAAATTCCCTACCCTTTTAGCTGAAGGGCAAAACAATGCAAGTTTGAAAAACTGTTAAGATAAAACAGCAGCATTACTAACATATACATTTATGTTAAAACACATCAGCACTGATCCATCATCATAATATATTAGTATACTATGTATAATATCATATTCATCATTTAATAGTGAATGCATATTAAAGCCATCCAAATGCCCAAAATGAGTTTTCCCTAGATTGTGGGCCTAATGGCTAATTTTTCTTTTCTTCACACATATCTACATTCTAACTTTTCTGTAGTGAGCATGTGTGGCTTTAATAATTTTAAAAAAGAGAGAAAGAAATTACTTTTATACTTTAGTCACCAACTAAGAACTTGACAGTCTATGAGGTCAGAAAGGCAGACGTGAAGGGCAATAAGGCTAAGCAACAAAGCTTCTTCCAGAGGAGCAGATATATTTATGGAAAAATGCAGCAATTCAACTCAGAGTGAAAATGCAACGACCATCACTAGAGAGTGGAAATAATCAGTCAACGAACCCAGGTTTTGTCTACATGACATAAATAACTCTTGGGGGTGGGTTGCTTTTTTTTTTTTTTTCCGTTCCATTGGCCAATTTAGGCATACTGTGAACAGAGAATTTGATTAAGCTCCAATGTAGTGTAAGGTATGGCTTAAAATTTGTTGTTAATATCCTTGAACCCTCACCTGTCCATAGCACCCACAGGAGCAAAAAGCACCACCTTCATTACTGCCCACATCCTTCCCAACTGCACTCTGTGTTCGTGGATCTGACCTAATGGGTGAAACACTGGGGTGTTTTCTCTATTAGAGCAATGTCATGAGGCAAGGGTGTGCTGTCTGCCCCTTGAGAACATTTGTTTGTAAAGGGGTTAGAGTTTTTAATATATATGCAAAGAATGATAATGAAATGTGTCTGGCCTGAACATAATCAAGCAAGATTCCATCGAGTTTCAACAATCCAGCGCGCCAGGGTTGAAGACATTTTTACCGTAACTCGTATTTTCAGCCCTGTGAAGTTGCCGCCCACACAGGAAATGACTTGGAACAGGTGGTCCTCAGAGCTTGCTGGTCTTGTCTGGCTCCGTGGGTAATGCTTGTGGGCTCCTGAGTCACTGAATAATTATGAGCCTGAACAAAAGGCTCTCAGATAAGCCCTCAGTCAAGACACAGGGAAAGGCAAGGTGCAGAAGATGACTGTCTGAGCGTGCTAACTGTTCAGAGCGAGTTGATGAATGAGGCTCTGGAGGAAACAATGCCTCCTTGGTTTTGCTCTTCTTGGCTCCCCTGGCACCTGGTGGCAGAAGGACGAGAAAGCACAGGTGAGGGGAGTGTCGTTGCACACCTTGGCTTTTAATGAACTTAAATGCATTAGAAAACACCCTACTTAGAAACAGTCCTCCCAGAGACAATGAGCTCTTATTTCTGCACTGTGTGCCCAGTGCTGTGCATGTAGAGGCTGTATCTCTTCTCATCCTTTCCCAGGATGGGAAGTGGTGATATAATCTTTCCCATTTCACAGAGGAAGGAACTGAGGCGCAGGAGCTCACATACTTAGCTTTATCTTTCATGAGGGGAAATGGATGGGGTTATGGGCTCAATTATGTCCTCCTATACACACACACACACACACACACACACACACACATCTGTGTATGTGTATAGAAGTCCTAACCCCCAGTTTCATGGAAAGTATCCTTATTTGGAAATAGGGCCATTGCAGGTGTAATGAGTTAAGATGAAGTCACATTGGAGTAAGGTGGGTCTCTAATCCAATGTGATAGTTGTCCTTATTTAAAAAAACAAAATGCCTTGTGCAGACAGGGAGAGGGCCATGTGCAGACAGAGAATTCGAATAATACATCTACAAGTCAAGGAGTGCCCAGTACTGCTACTGGCAACCACCAGAAGCTATGAGAGAGATGAGGAAGAAGCCTCTTTTACAGTTTTCAGAGGGAGCATGGCCCTCCGACACCTTGATTTCTGACTTCTAGCCTCCAGAACTGTGAGACAATAAATTTCTGTTATTTTAAGTCACCCAATTTGTGGTACTTTGTTATGGCAGCTCCAGAAAACTAATAGAGATGAGAACTCACATGTATTGGGGGCCTGGTATGTCAATGTTAATAGAACCTAAAATAAATAAATAAATAAATAAATAAATAAACAAACAAACTTCATCAGCTACAAGTAAGAAGGAATTACTAACGTGAGTATGTGATTCAAATGAAAATAATGTGAGTGGATAATGTATGGCCGAGAGGGTATAAGAGTTAGTGGTTCTGTTAAAAAGCACAGAAATGAGAAAGAAAGGGGTCCGTGTGCAAATTCTAGAATACACCTCTTGATGGGGGTGAATTAGACCCTACTTTAGGGGAAAAAAAAATACAGGTGAACTCCTGCCACCTCTATCCAACTGCAAAGTTAGAGCCACAGTGTCTACAAAACCACCTTCACTTCTGACATCAATTTCAAGTTCAGGGGGCTCTCAAAAACACACTCAGTGTCAATAAGTCACTAGAAGGAGCACAGGACTCACTAAAGCTATTCACTGGTGATTGCAGTTTATTACCGGGAAGAATGCAGCTAACATCAGCTAAGGAAAGAAGCACATAGAGCGGAACCCAGAGAGTACCAAAGGCAGGGCTTCCATCGTCCTCTCCCTGTGAATAACAACAGCATCACTTTTCCAGCATGCTGTGCAACAACACACCACGCAGGGAAACCCACCCGAGCCTTTGCATCCAGGGGCTCCGCTGGGGTCTTATCACCACCTAGGCATGGCTGGCTGCCCAGGTAACTGGGCTCAGTTCCCAGCCCCTCAGACCAAGCTGAGACCACATGACCTAAAGCCCCCATCTTCACTAAGGCTTGTTGATGTGACCCAAGGCCCCACCCAAAATCACCTTGTCACTATCTGGCTGGTCCAAGGCCTGCAGGCAAACAAAGCCACTCCTATCAGACATGACATTCCAAAGGCACAGATCACTTCCCAGAAGCTGAGAGCAAAAGGCCAGGCCTTTCTCTGAGCATATTTAGATTCTTTACTTCACCTTAGGTTACATACAGTCCTCTGTTTTTCCATCTGACCCAACCCTGATAAACAGCTCCACAACCCCAACTCTGGGAGCAACCTTTCCTCCCGGTAGAGGCTTGGAATGAGAAGGGATATCTCTCTCACCTTCCCACAGGCTCCCTTGTGTGTCTAGAGCAAAGTCTTCTCCAAGCCTCTCACAGGAAGGAGTCTTTGTGCAGCTGGGTCTTCCAATGTCCAGTTTGCCTGTGCTCACCAGGCTGGCTGTGTCTAGGAACAATAAGAGGCTCAGCCCAGGAAAAGCAAGAAAAACCTAGTTTTGCTTTGGTCAGCAGGGATGGATATGGGACAGTAGAGATGAGGGTCTTTGAAAAGGTGAGAAGACAGCACCCTGGCAGCAGCAGGACCCCAGGATGAAGGCCAGAGCCACTGAGCCAGCAGCTATCCCTGTACCAGAGACGCTGATGGATGAGGGTCCTCCCACAGCCCAAGTGGGGGTGGGGGAGGTACTTCTCTTCCTTGTGATTCTGTTTTTTATGCCAAAATACGGTGCGTGTGACCCTTTTCAGAAGCTGCCTTCCATAACCAAATTAACCAAAAGGAGCAGCAGATAACATTTATGTATTCTTCCTCCTGATTCTAGAATCAGTGACTGTTCCCTTTTCTGAAAGTTCAGAGTGTTTTTGGAAAGCAGCTGCTTCTCTTCTGCCCATAAGAGCATTCATGCATCTGTCTAATTTCTTACATTTTACCACCAAACAGTATAAGTTATTTCCACATTTTCATGCAGCATGCAAAACCATTTAAAATATTTTTACAATGCAGACAAAAATTAGTGTGAGGGAACAAGTTGCCTGAGCAATACTCTGTCCCAGCTGCTGCGTGAAAAGGGTCTTCCATCCTCCATACATTTTTTGATGCAAAATATGCTGCAGGCAAGAGGGGCAATTTTAAAAGGAAAACCAGAAAAGAAATGGAAAGAAAACAGAAAATTAGTGTAATCATTTATAGCCAATTTGAACTTTTTTCCACGACTTTACAGGATTTAAAAGACTCATTGAATGGTAAATGACTGAAATAAAAATATTGTTTAATGGAACTCTATGGACAACATACCTGCAACTGGAAATGGAGTTAAAGTTATCAAAATTATTTCCATGGATCCATGAGACCTACAGGATGGAAGAAATGTGTTTCAAATCTTGAGTTTTGACCCATCATTTGAAATTCATTTTCTCTGACTTTTCCATAAGCCATGCCAATGAAAACAAAGGAACCAGCCCTTGCCCCAGACCACAGCTCCCCCCGGCCCACCAGGCTCACCAGCTTTCTGACGCTGCCATGTGGATTCAGATGAATGCAAGCAAGTCGTCCTGGCGTCTGTTTTTCATTGACAAGAGCAGAAAATTAGCATCACCTTCGGCCAAATTCTGCGTTGTATTCCATAATGCATTAGGGGTCCCCTTCTGATTTTATTTCACGTTTGGCTTGATAGCACAGTTTCCCTTAACTTCAAAGGTTGTTCTCTGCCTGAATAGCTTATCCAGCTCAGAGGATAAGAAATAGGCCTTTATTCTAAATGGGGATTTACCCACCAAACCTATAAGAGAACCAAAAGGCAAAAAGTTCTTGATAGTAAAGTAAAGTAAAACCTTAATAGGACTTTTGATGTACAAATGCTTCCCTTAGTTTAGAAAAATCCAGATGCAGCCATATTTCTACATGATGACAAATTGTCATAGACTTCCTGACATAAGCCACTGCAAACCCTAGCAGGCAGAACTAACTGAATTTTTGCTTCTAATCCTGATGGGGCATTAGCAGGACTCAGGCTTTGCATGGTATGTTTGGGCTTTTCCAGTTTTACATGGATTTTTTATAGTATATTAATATCATGCGTAATGTCAACATTTGGAAAAGGTTCGTGACTGACGGGGCTGAAAAGGCATATTTCTCCAACAGCCTGTTTCTATAATTGAAGTCATTCTTCTTCAAGACTCAGACCACCATATGCTTCCACTTTTTTCCCCCCTGTTTTATCGAGAGACCTTGGCACACTGGATTTCAGCATAAATTTCAAATATATTAAGACAGTTCCAAAAACGCAAGCCAGCTCACCCTCAGCTCCTTGTGGTCCCCTCTCAGGAGAGTTTACTGAGGCCTGGACTCCTCTCAGCTGTGGTTGGGGTCAGCCCTAATAACAGTAATCACTGAGGTTTATTGAGTGTTTACTATATGCCAGGTTCTGTGCTAAGTGTTTTATGTGTGTTAGGATATTTAGTCCTCCCAAAAACTCTATAAAGAAAGATGAGAAAACTGTGGCATGGAGACAAGGAGTTTGTTCAAGGTCCTAGGACTAGTGCATTCATACAAGCCTTCAATGCCCAATCCCATGTTCTTCATTTTCACTATATTGACCCAGATCAGCAGACTAATGCCTCCTCACCACCCCTACACACAAATACACACCCACACACATCCCAACACACACACTCATTCTTGAATATCTCCCTTTAGGGACTCTCACTTCTGCTACTGAGGGTGCAATACCTTCTTCCACTCCCTGGCTCACTCTAAGCCCTCGTAGGGGGAGGAAGATTGTTCTTTTCCTGGCTGGGGTCCATCATTGTAAAATGCATTTGACCCACAACTAATTTCTTCCTAAAGCCACCCACCCGGGTGACAGAGAGATAACCCAAGACAGTACATATTTGTTAAGCACCAATTATTTATGAAACATGTGTTATTATGATGCAGCAAACTGTTTACAGACCCCTGCCCTTCAGCTACACACACACACACACACACACACACACACACAAACACACACACACACACGTTTGACCTGCTGGACTCCTGAGCCTTTGTGGAGTATTCTGCAATCCTGATTGGAAAGGATTGGAAAAAGGAAATTGGAAAAATCCAAAGGAGGATGAGTTGCCTGTCTTAGAAAGGACCCTGAGTCATTCCCAAGAGAAAAGAATCAGGAGTGATGAAGGAGAGACTGAAAAAGAGAACAGGGGACTTTGAGAAGAATCTTTTCTAAGGAGAAGTCTTACAGCCCTTAACTCTGTCTTTCCAAGGATGTAATCCTCCCCGTTTTGCCTCTTCAAGAGGCTTCAGTAAGAACTTACTTGACTCCCTGATGCTCTTGCAATCAGAACTGTATCTCTTTGAGATGTGTGACTTTGCCGAGCCAGGACTGATGGTGCAAGTTGAGCATCGGGAGGGGGTTAGACTAGGTCCTACCAAATACAGAAGGATGACCTCTGACCTTAGGGAGCTCACACCCTAATATGCTGTTTAAAGAAAATAGCACACAACTTTAGAGCAGCATAAACACATCACCAGCATGAGGTTACAAGAACAATGAAAAGAGACGTAGTGTTAGGAATCCAACCGGAGATGGCTTCTGTGTGTTTCCTGGAGAGATAGGTTTGGGACACGAGTGGAATTTGGAGGGGAGCTGTCTATGCATGAGGACCCTTTTATCCTGTCGCGCTTCCCACCTAGGGTAACCACT
The DNA here is from genome assembly GCF_000001405.40 of Homo sapiens. NCBI lineage: Eukaryota > Metazoa > Chordata > Mammalia > Primates > Hominidae > Homo > Homo sapiens. The sequence goes on along the minus strand of NC_000021.9, from coordinate 35,133,473 downwards.
TTGTCCCGTGTCCTGGGAAGCCCACCAGCCCTGGGCAAACCAAGATGGTTGGTCACCAGACTCCTATCATCAGCCAAGAGCAGAAGGGCCTAACACTGTACATGTGTCCCACTTCATGTGTGCTCTTTATGCCTCATTTTTAGACAAGGAAACTGAAGATCAGAGAAATAAGAAGATTTGCTCAAGGTGACAAAATTAGCAATGGCTTGGGTTGGGATTTGAGTCTAGACACGATTCTAACATGAAGATACCTCATTGTCTTCCACTATTTGTATTTGAAGCCCTCAAAATTTTTCTCATTATTTTTAAAATTTTACTTCCTATTATTTCCTACTTATTCTTTGCACTTAGGCACGAGGCCAGCTAAAATGCTGTTAGTAGTAGAGTTGCCCTGTTAAATAGAGTGAAGGCTGTTCATGTGGATTTTGATTCTACTGCTTTACAGATACTTATAAGGTAGACTTAAAATGTACTGGAAGGAAAGAGGATGGCATTGGGGTTTGAAAAAGGCTTAGGGAGCATGAATAATAATGGATGATGAGAAAATTATTTTTAAGATACTGTATATAATTCTTTTTTTTTTTTTTTTTTTTTTGTGAGATTGAGTCTCACTCTGTCACCCAGGCTGGAGTGCGGTGGCGTGATCTTGGCTCACTGCTACACCCCGCTCCCGGGTTCAAGCAGTTCTCCTGCCTCAGTAATCTTGAGTAGCTGGGATTACAGACAATGTGTAATTATTTTACCAAATCATTACACTAAATATGTATACTCCAGAACCCTGCTACTCACCTTTTTTAGAACTGAAGCTATTTATGAAATCTGGAAAATAAGCTCTAAACAAGTTTATGAAATTAATAAAGATGCCAGCCCTACTTTGCTGATGGATAGGTGCCTATGGAAACCAAATAAGACAATGAATGTGAAAGTGCTTTGAAAAGTCACAAAGCATTAATTTCTGTAATGTGCCATTTTTATCTCAATGTTATTATTTTATGTGACGCATCAATGTTTTCTCTCTTTTTTTTTTGAGACAGAGTCTCACTCTGTCACCCAGGCTGGAGTGCAGTGGTGCGATCTCGGCTCACTGCAAACTCTGCCTCCTGGCTTCAAGCAATTTTTCTGGCCTCAGCCTCCCAAGTAGCTGGGATTATAGGCTCCCGCCACCACACTTGGCTAATTTTTTGTATTTTTAGTAGAGATGGGGTTTCACCGTGTTGACCAGGCTGGTCTCAAACTCCTGACCTTAGGTGATCCACCCACCTCAGCCTCCCAAAGTGCTGGGATTACAGGCGTGAGCCACCGCACCCAGCCAATGTTTTCTCTTAATGACCTAGAATTATATTGCTCAAAGTTATTGTTCAGGTTTAAAAGCGGGGGGAGAGGAGGTGTTGCAATATAAGGGTTTGTGGGATTTGCATCTTGTTCCAGCAGTACAGATGTGTTAAATATGAATGAAACGTGATCCTGGAGATAAACTCCCTGTCTCCTACATTTTTCCACAAAATCACATATTAAACGCCCTGACTTCAGGAATACTATAGAAAAATAAATGGGTAGATGGAGGGGTGGGATGGGGGTAGGGAATAGGCTGAATGGGAAGACGGATGGATAGGTGGGAAATGGAGAGATGAATGATGATGGAACCCATCTCTTGGGTGAGTGAGATACTGTTCTGACCCTGGGCCATGATGCATTGAGCTAATTCTGGTCAGGTTAATTGTGTCAGTCCACAGTGTGCTGATACACATGCGTGTGTGCACACACACACATACGCATGCACACACCCATCTGCTCTCAGGGAAGCCTGCTTTGGCCTCGTGCTTATTAGCATGTATCACCTTGAAAGAAAACAACCTTTGGCATATCTGAATATATGCCTCCAATCCCTTTGCCCCTCAACTCCTTCTTATAATAACACAAGTAAGCAGGCTTACTGTGGAGCTGGAAGGGTGTCTGTGGCACTGAGAGTTCCAGGAACTGCAGCTACACAGGGTGGTCCACCTCACCTTCTCTCTGCTTAGTGTCAGCCCTAGGTATGCACCAGATGTTTACATGATTATTATTATTCTTAGTGGGAACCAAGGGACCCATGGTATAGTAGAGGCTGGCCTGTCCTCTACGTCTGAGGCCAATGCCACTGATTTCATGGCTCCCCAAGGAGGCCCAGCCAGCAGAGCCCTTAAGTTCTTCTTGGAAAGGATTGTACCTGTCTCCTTGTTGGGTGGAGCATGGAGTGGCTTCCCAGTGGCCAGCCCTGGTGGACATAGGCCAAAGCTCTTTTGCAAGTTGAAGTTACCCAATGCTCCTGTGGTTGACAGGGGCTGCCAGTGTATGCTCCAGAGAGGTCTGGGTGGCCAGGTCTGTCTCTCTCAGACCCCAAACCAGAGTCTGACCTACCCTCCCCCAGCCTCCAGCTTGTCCCTGTTCAAGAGACTCCCAACATCCAGACCAGAATGAGTGCTGGAAAATACACAGCTACAGGTGTGCTAAGGAAAACAAAGAAGATGAACGGGACTCGGTCCTCCAAGGGAGAGGCCCCAAGGCCACACCTACCAGTGGTGATTCCAATTGAAGAAGAAGAAGAGAAAAACTGAAAAGGGATGAGACTCTTCAGGGATATGCAATTACAGCACCAAAAGTAACTTTGGAGAACTAAGAAGCATGCTTTTGATATTGAAAACAAATAAACTGAAAAAATGTGAATTTGTGTTTCAGAAAACCAAAAAGAAATATCTTACAGTTTGAATAAATCTCAAAGCAATGAAAACCATAAAAAAAGAAAACATAAGAGACTTGGAAGATATAACACAAATAGTAGGGATTTCAGAAGGAGAAAACAGTGCCTGGGGAGGGAAAATTTAAAAGCAATGAAAAAGCAAGAGAATTAAGGTATCTCTGTGACGCTAAATAAATGAGTTAGCCTTGACTATCGGGTACACATTGATTGTATGGGTTTTTGGTCATGGTATGGAGGTATGATTTTTTAATCCATCCTTGCAAAGGCAAGCTTGCATTCCTTTGGGTAGAAAGTGGAACTTTGCCTGGGCAGAAAGGCCATTTCTGGTTTTAATTTCTGGGTAATGAATGGAAGTAGACAGAAGGCAGATCCTAAGAAGGTGGGAAAGATGATTCTTTCTCTCTTTCTTGGTCTGAATGTTTAGGCAACTCATATGGAGCAAATTGCTCCCCAATGTTGCAGTGTAAAGACAAAGTAGGTAAAATACAGGAGAGGTGGAAAAAATACCAGGTGAGCTTGAGTTTTGCTGGTTCCATGGAAAGGGTTGAGCCTGCAGTATCCCCAGCCTTCTCATTCGTGTTTCCTTAATTTGTGATGTTCACTTTTCTTGTCTCACAAATTTTAGTAAAGCCATTTTGAATATTTCAAAATATTTAATGAGTACCAGTAGCCCCCTGGGTCCACACAGGCATGGCAAAAATTATCAGGACTATTCCCATCACCAACCCCAAGCCAAGCAATTGGGAAATTGCAAGAGCTTAATCTCTCTAGAAGAGGATTCTGTTTAGAGTCTAACTGGGTAGTTCTGGGTTTATTTTCTTGTTTTCTTTTATGCTTTACCACCTTCGACCCAGTTTCTGTATATCATATCTTTGGATAGATATTTCATCTGTGATGGATGTTTGGCAAATTAGCTGACTTTAAGTCACTGTATTTCAAATAGGATCTGTGAAGGCTACTCTCCAAAGCAGATGTGGGTGACCTATATATAGCTTATCTACTTCCTATGGGAGGAAGGACAACATCCTTTGGTACTCTGACCTACTGATACCCTCACTTCTTAGAGTTAGGCTTCTGATCTTGGCCAGAGCCACCAACAATGCACCTACTTGAGTGATAGTAACATGTGAATGGATAATGTATGTGCTCTTCCAGGATATTAAACTCAGTGGACTGTACAGTTTGTATGATATGATGGATTAAATATTTCTACCCCCCATTCATATGTTAAAATTCTAACCCCCAAGATGATGGTATTAGATGATGGGGCCTTTTTAAGACAATTAGGTCATGAAAGAGTAGGCCTCATGAATGGGATTGGTGCCCTTATAAATGGGATCCTAGAGAGCTCTCCAGCCCTCTTTCCACCATGTGAGGACCCAGCAAGAAGTCGGCCATCTATGAACCAGGAAGTGGGCCTTCACCAGACACAGAATTGTCTAGCACGTTTGTTCTTGGACTTCCCAGCCTCCAGAGCTGTGGGAAATGAAATAAATGCTTATTATTTAAGCCACCCAGTCTGTGGTATTCCCATATAGCAGCCCAAACTGAGACACAAAGCCTCTACCACACTGAGGCCTCCCCTGCTTTATCACATGAACCTCTATTAAGACACCAGTATTTACAAAGCAGACATGGTTCCTACTTCTTTCACATACACATCTGAAAACCTAGCCTCAAAGAAGAGCATAGTAGTATATTTTGTGTCTTGCACCTATGGAACCACAGAATGTTCTAGGACAATATGTCTGGAATTCCTGGTAGAACCAAGAACTGCTACCTTACACAGCAGAACCTAAAATGCTCCAAACTCCCCAAGTCTTTCTTTGCTTGACTTGTTAAGGGACCCTAGCTGGGAACTTGACCTGAGTTATTAAGACTAGTTTAAAAATCCTTGGCCTACATGCCAAGGCTGTTGCCCTGTGTTCTTTGGGCTCATTGCAGCTCTGAGTCGCTCGCTCCTGCTGGTGCAAGTAGGCCAAGGAGACTTCCTCCTGCCTGGCTCAGTAGGTCTCAGAGAGGTGAACAATAGGGATGCTTCTCTCAGTGAAATAGTCTTAATCATCATGTCCTAAATTGGGACACAATCTTTGGCTGCAGGGATTCTTGGAGAATGCCATTCTGTGTGTAACAGGGCTCTTGTGCAGTTTAGGATTTCCACAAATATCAAGACGGAACTTGAAAGACACCAGAAGGATTTGAGTTAAACATTAGGCCAGGGAACAAATTGCTTCCCAAAGACCTGTTCAACTCCTTGACTGGAAGTTTGATAAGTCTCTAGGAGAAAAACATGTGAAAAGATTAAGCTTGGTTTAATTAGACAAAAAAAGTAGGATATATGTCAATAGAGATAAATCTGCCTAAAGTTTCAGAAATCAGACTTCAGCATCTGCAGCTGCTCACTTTCATGGCCCTTGTAAGATTTATATGCACAATTTTATTGTAATCATTAATCTAGATGATCTAAGATTATGTTATTGCATTAAAGGCTAAAGTGATGAAAAGATCAAGGCGTTTAATGAAGTGCAAAATTCATCCCACTTAAAAAGAGCAATGTTTCCTTCCCAAGGGAAACCCCAACAGAAAATGAGGCTTTTTCATTTAAGTTGTTTTTGTTTAAAATCCTGGATGGCAGGATAAATTTCTGTCATTTTCACACATAAATAGCAACAAGTGGCAATGAGGCAATTGAATTCCTTGGCAGTGAGTCTCACATGCCTTCCTCAGTTTAATGAGACAGATCAATAGAAGGTAGCTTATGTAACTGAAGGGCAGAGATAAATAATTTTAACGCTCTCCCAATGTTGGTTTAGGAGGTAAAACACCTACTGAGATCTTAGAAGCTCAGGCCCATCACAATTCTGGCTCATCTATCTTTCATCTTCTTAAGTTTGCTATTTAGCTGCAGCTAAAATTTTGTTAGTTTGAATATGTATATTTAAATACATATTTGGGCTCATTGCAGGTCTGAGTATTTGAATATATATATATATATTCAAAATAGTCTGTTCTGAAACTATAATAGATAGTTCTGAAAATATCTATAACTATATATTAATTAGTTTATTCTATCTGAAATTATTTCTTCCTAACAAAGATATAGATAAGACTTAAGAGAGGAAATTAAGAAAGTAAGAAAGAAAATAGGTATAGTATGAATGCCATAGGAAAATCTGGCCATCTCCATTTAAATGGGAAGGAATTGTGACAAAATAACTGATTCCTGTTTGCCTTTGGTCATTAAAAATGTTAAGAGAAACACAAAGGAAAGCACACCACATGGAGAAACTGTAAATAACGCACATATGAATAATTCTAAATAAAGAAGTAGATGACGACTGGGGTGGATTCAGAATCTTTCCAACGTAGGAATTTTGAAACATTTATTCACTTTTCTCTTTTCGTATGCAAACAGAAGCAGATTGCAGCACAGCAAACCTTGCGCTGAAGCGTGGCTCACAGAGATGCTGCTCACAGATGAGTACTGACGGGGTGATGGTCAGCAGATGGGGAGACAGTCATTGGCACAGGAGTGTTCAGAAACAGTTGTTCATTTAAACCACAGCCAGTCAAAATATTGAATGAACTCTTTCCCAGGTCCTGAAATTCTACATTTTCATGAACAAGCACCAGATGCCAATCACTCTTTCCAAAAATGAGTGCACACACTATTTTCACCACTCTCTGTTGCATGACTGGCACCATTCTGCTCATTCTTATGCTTTTTCAGATGTGCCAGTATTGTTTCATCTTTCTCATCTAATAGCTCACAGAGGGGAGGCTTTATGCTGTGTTACACACATGGTGAGTGTCAAAATGTGGAGCTAACTAACCAATTCCTCAAACTTTGGGGTCTTGTAAAAACCACAATGGTGTGTTTCTTTTTTCTTTTTTAAATTTTTTAAACTGTTATATTTCAATAGGTTTTTGAGAAACAGGTGTGTTTGGTTACATGAATAAGTTCTTTAGGGGTCATTTCTGAGATAGATTTTGATGCACCCATCACCTGAGTAGTGTACACTGTACCCAGTGTCTAGTCCTTTATTCCTCACCACCTCGTACTCTTTTCTCTCAGTCCCCAAAGTCCAACGCATCATTCTTATGTCTTTGTGCCCTAATAGCTTAGCTCCCACATATGAGTGAGAATGTACAATATTTGATTTTCCATTTCTGAGTTACTTTACTTAGAATACTAGCCTCCAATTCCATCCAGGTGGCTGTGAATGCCAATATTTTGTTCCTTTTTATGGCTGAGTAGTATTCCATGGTGTGTATGTATGTGTATATATATATATACCATATTTTCTTTATCCACTCGTTGATTGATGGGCATTTGTGCTGTTTCCATATTTTTGCAACTGCAAATTGTGCTACTACAAACATGCATGTGCAAGTATCTTTTTTGTGTAATGACTTATTTTCCTCTGGGTAGATACCTGGTAGTGGAATTGCTGGATCAAACAGTAGATCTATTTTTAGTTTTTTAAGGAATCTCCACACTGTTTTCCATAGTGGTTATACTAGTTTCCACCCCCACTACAGTGTAAAAGTGTTCCCTTTTTACTGCATCCCCACCAACATCTATTATTTTTTGATTGTTTTGATTATGGCCATTCTTGCAGGAGTTAGGTGGTATCAGATAATGGTTTTGATTTGCATTTCCCTGATAATTAGTGATGTTGAGCATTTTTCCATATCTTGTGGACCAGTTGTATATCTTCTTTTGAGAGTTGTCTATTCATGTCCTTAGCACACTTTTTGATGGGTTGTTTTTTGTTTTTTTGTTTGTTTTTTCTTGCTGATTTGTTTGAGTTCTTTGTAGATTCTGGATATTAGTCCTTTGTCAAATGTATAGATTGTGAAGATTTTCTCCCATTCTGTGGGTTATCTATTAATTCTGCTGAATATTTCTTTTGTTGTGCAGATTTTCAAAAGTCCCATCTATTTATCTTTGTTTTTGTTGCATTTGTTTTTGTGCTCTTAGTCATAAAGTCTTTGCCTAAGCCAATGTCTAGAAGGATTTTTCCAATGTTATCTTCTAAAATTTTTATGGTTTCAGGTCTTAGATTTAAGTGTTTGATCCGTCTTGAGTTGATATTTGTATAAGGTAAGAGATGAAGATCCAGTTTAATTCTTCTACATGTGACTTGCCAATTATCCCAGCACCATTTGTTGAATAGGGTGTCCTTTCCCCAATTTATGTTTTTGTTTGCTTTGTCAAAGAACAGTTGGCTGTAAGTATTTGGCTTTATTTCTGGGTTCTCTATTCTGTATCATGCTGTTTTGGTGATTATGGCTTTATAGTATAGTTTGAAGTTGTGCAATGTGATGCCTCCAGTTTTGTTGTTTTTGCTAAGTCTTGTTTTGGCTATGCAGGCTCTTTTTTGATTCTATATTCTTAGGATTGTTTTTTCTAGTTCTGCGAAGAATGATGGTGGTGTTTTGCTGGGAACTGCATTGAATTTCTAGATGGCTTTTGGCAGTATGGTCATTTTCACAATATTGATTCTACCCATCCATGAGCATGGGATGTGTTTCCACTTTTTTTGCATTGTCTCTGATTTCTTTCAGCAGTGTTTTGTAGTTTTCCTTGTAGAAGTCTTTCATGTCCTTGGTTAGGTAAATTCCTAAGTATATTTTTTTTTTTTTGCAGCTGTTGTGAAGGGGGTTGAGTTCATGATTTGATTCTCAGCTTGGTCACTGTTGGTGTATAGCAGAGCTACTGATTTGTGTACGTTAATTTTTGATATGGCCTTTCTGTCCCCACCCAAATCTCATCTTGAATTGTTATCTGAATTTTAATGCCCACATTTGGGGAGGGACCTAGTGGGAAGTGATTGGATCACAGGGGCTGTCACCCCATGCTGTTCTCATGATAGTGAGTGAATTCTCACAAGATCTGATGGTTTTATAAAGGTCTCTCCCCCTTTGTTCAGCACTTCTTCCTGCCACCATGTGAAAAAAAGATGTTTTTGCTTCCCCTTCCACCATGATCGTAAGTTTCCTGAGGCCTCCCCAGCCATGCTGAACTGTTAAATAATTAATCCTCTTTCCTTTATAAATTAACCAGTCTCAGGTATGTCTTTATTAGCAGTGTGAGAATGGACTAACACAATTTTGTTTCCTGAAATTTTGCTGAATTTATTTACCAGTTTTGGGAGCTTTCGGGATGAGTCTTTAGGGTTTTCTACATATATGATCATATCATCAGCAAACAGCAACAGTTTGACTTCCTTTTTACCAATTTGGATGCCCTTTATTTCTTTCTCTTGTCGGATTGCTCTGGCTAGGACTTCCAGTACTATGTTGAATGTTGAATAGAAGTGGTGAAAGTGGGAATCCTTGTCTTGTTCCAGTTCTCAAGGGGAATGTTCTCAACTTTTCCCCATTCAGTATAATGCTGGCTGTGGGCTTGTCATAGATGGCTTTTATTACCTTAAGGTATGTTCATTTTATGCCGATTTACTGACGGTTTTAATCATAAAGGGATGCAGGATTTTGTCAAATGCCTTTTCTGCATCTATTGAGATGATTATGTAATTTTTGTTTTTAATTCTATTTATGTGGTGTATCACATTTATTGACTTACATATGTTAAGCCATCCCTGCATCCCTGGTATAAAACCCACTTGACCGTGGTGGGTTATCTTTTCTGTATGCTGTTGGATTCATTTCACTAGTATTTTGTTGAGAACTTTTGCATCTATGCTCATCAGGGATATTGTTTTCTTTTTTTTTTTTTTAATGTCCTTCCTTGGTTTTGGTATTAGGGTGATACTGGCTTCATAGAATGATTTAGGGAGGATTCCCTCTTTATCTTTTGGAATAGTGTCAATGGGATTGGTACCAATTCTTTGAATGTCTGATTGAATTCAGCTGTGAATCCATCTGGTTTTGGACTTTTTTGGCAATTTTTTTATTACCATTTCAATCTCAGTACTTGTCATTGATCTGTTCAGAAATTCTATCTCTTCCTGGTTTAATCTAGGAGTGTTGTATATTTCCAGGAATTTATCCATATCCTCTAGCATGTCCTCTAGGTTATCTAGTTTATGCTCATAAAGATGTTCATAGTAGCCTTATATAATCTGTTGTATTTCTGTGGTATCAGTTGCAATATCTTCCATTTTGTTTGTAAATGAGCTTATTTGGACTTTCTTCTTCCCTTGGTTAATCTTGCTAATGGTCTATCAATTTTATTTATCATTTCAAATAACCTGCCTTTTGTTTTATTTATCTTTTGTATTTCTTTTGTTTCAGTCTCATTTAGTCCTGCTTTGATCTTGGTTATTTCTTTTCTTCTCCTGGGTTTGGGTTTGGATTGTTTCTGTTTTCCAGTTCCATGAGGTGCGACTTTACATTGTCTATTTGTGCTCTTTCAGACTTTTTGATGTAGGCATTTAATGCTATGAACCTTTCTCTTAGCACCACCTTTGCTGTATTGCAGAGGTTTTTATAGATTGTGTCACTATTATTGTTCAGTTCAAAGAAATTTTCAGTTCCCATCTTGATGTCATTGTTGACCCAATGATCATTCAGGAGCAGGTTATTTAATTTTCATGTATTTGCATGGTTTTGAGGGTTCCTTTTGGAGTTGATTTCCACTTTTATTCCACTGTATTCTGAGAGAGTACCTAATATAAATTCGATTTTCTTAAATTTCCTGAGATTTGTTTTGTGGCCTATCATATGGTCTATCTTGGGGAAAGTTCCACGTGCTGATGAATAGAATGTATATTCTGCAGTTGTTGGGTAGAATGTTCTGTAAATATCTGTTAAGTCCATTTGTTGTAGGGTGTAGTTTAAGTCCATTGTTTCTTTGTTGATTTTCTGTCTTGATGACTGGTCTAGTGCTGTCAATGGAGTACTAAAGTCCCCCACTATTATGTATTGCCATCGATCTCATTTCTTAGGTCTAGTAGTAATTGTTTTATAAATTTGGGAACTCCAGTATTAAGTGTGTATATATTTAGAATCATATTATCCTGTTGGACTAGTCCTTTTATCATTATATAATGTCCCTCTTTGTCTTTTTTTTAACTGCTTTTGCTTTAAAGTTTGTTTTGTCTGATATAAGAATAGCTACTCCTGCTCACTTTGGGTGTCCATTTGCATGGAGTATCTTTTTCCACCCCTTTACCTTAAGTTTATGTGAGTCCTTATGTGTTAGGTTAGTCTCCTGAAGACAGCAGAAACTTGGTCAGTGAGTTCTTATCCATTCTGCCATTCTGTAACTTTTAAGTGGAGCATTTAGGCTATTTATATTCAATGTTAGTATTGAGATGTGAGGTACTATTCTATTCATCATGGTATTTGTTGCCTGGATACCTTTTTTTCATTGTGTTATTGTTATACACGTCCTGTGAGATTTCTGCTTTAAGGGGGTTCTATTTTGGTGTATTTGAGAATTTTCTTTTCAAGATTTAGAGCTCCTTTTTAGCAGTTCTTATAGTGCTGGCTTGGTAGTGGTGAATTATCTCAGCATTTGTTTGTCTGGAAAAGACTGTATCTTTCCTTCATTCATGAAGCTTAGTTTCACTGGATTCAAAACCCTTGGCTGATAATTGTTTTGTTCAAAGAGACTAAAAATAGAACCCCAACCCTTTCTAGAATTTAGAGTTTCTGCTGAGAAATCTGCTGTTAATCTGATAGGTTTTCCTTTATAGGTTACCTGATGCTTTTGCCTCATAGCTCTTAAGATTCTTTCCTTTGTCTTGACTTTAGATAACCTGATGACTATGTGCCTAGGCGATGATCTTTTTGTGATGAATTTCCCAGGTATTCTTTGAGATTCTTTTATTTGGATGTCTAGATCTCTAGCAAGGCCAGGGAAGTTTACCTTGATTATTCCCTCAAATATGTTTCCCAAACTTTTAGATTTATTTTCTTCCTCAGGAATGCCAATTATTCTTAGTTTTAGATGTTTAACATAGTCTCAAACTTCTTGGAAGCTTTGTTTATTTTTTAAATTCTTTTTTCTTGGTCTTTGATGGATGGGGTTAATTCAAAAGCCTTGTCTTCGAGCTCTGAAGTTCTCTCTTCTTCTTGTTCTGTCCTGTTGCTGAGACTTCTAGTGTATTTTGCATTTTGTTTAAGTGTGTCCTTAATTTCCAGAAGTTGTGATTGTTTTTATTCATGCTATCTATTTCACTGAAGAATTTTCCTTTCATACCCTATATCATGTTTTTTATTTCTTTAAGTTGGACTTTACCTGTCTCTTGTGCCTCCTTGATTAGCTTAATAATCTACCTTCTGAATTCTTTTTCTGGCAATTCAGAGATTTCCTCTTGGTTTGGATCGCTTGCTTGTGAGCTGGATGATCTTTTGGGGATGTTAAAGAATCTTGTTTGTCATATTACCAGAACTGTTTTTCTGATTCCTTCTCATTTGGGTAGACTATGTCAGGGATGATCTGGGACTCCAGGGCTGCTGTTCAGATTCTTTTATCCCATGGGGTGCTCCCTGAATGTGGCGTTCTCCCCCTTCTCCTAGCAGTGGGGCTTCCTGAGAGCTGAACTGTAGTGATTGTTTTTGCTCTCCTGGGTCTAGCCACACAGCAGAGCTTCAGGGCTCCGGGCTGATAGTGGGGAGTGTCTGCAAAGAGTCCTGTGATGTGATCTGTCTTCAGGTCTTTTAGCCATGGATACCAGCACCTGCTCTGGTGGAGGTAGCAGGGGAATGAAGTGGACTATGTCAGGGTCCTTGGTTATGTTTTTGTTTAGTGTGCTGGTTTTATGTTGCTTGGCTTCCAGCCAAGGGGTGGCACTTTCAAGAGTACATTAGCTGCAGTCCTATAGGGAGGATACAATCTTGTCTGAGGGACACCTGGTTAAGTGTTCAGGTTTCTCAGGCTGTGGGCAGGGCCACAGAGCTCCCAAAAGATTATGACCTTTGTTTTCAGCTACCAGGGCAGGCAGAGAAAGACCACCAGGTGGGGTTAGGGATAGGTTTGTCTGAGCTCAGCCTCTCCTTTGGCGGGGCTTGCTATGGCTGCTGTGGGGGATGAGGGTGCGGTTCCCAATCCAATGGAGTATTGTATTCCCAGGGGGATTATAGCTACTTCTGCTGAGTCGTGCAGGTCACCAGGGAAGTGGGGGAAAGCCAGCAATCACAGGCCTCACCCTACTCCCACACAGCCCGCAGTCCTAAAGGCTGGTCTCACTCCCACCATCCCCCTCCAACAGCACCCAGTCTATTTCCAAGCAGCTGGTGACCTGGGTGGAGAACTTGCCCCACACCACAAGCCTCCCTTCTGAGAAAGCAAGCAGACTTGCTTTTCAGCATCTCAGGGAGCCCACAGTAGTGAACCCAGTTCCTTTGAAGGGTCTATGGATTCTCTCGGCTTTCCTGGCATGTTTCTGTGGTCATTCTTGGAGCAAAAGTTTGGGATGTGAGTCTCCACACACTGCTCTGTCTGTCCCATGGGAGCTGTAAGCTAGTCCTGACTCCTATCCACTGTCTTATATAGGATCCCCACAATAGTGTGTTTCTTGCACTGAATTGTATAGAGAGTTTGACAGCAAAGCTGGCGTTGGGAGAGATGGTCACAAAGAAGGTTAATTGTGTGAGTACCACTTGCATCTCCAGTTTCAAACATGGACTGGGAGAAGAGGAACCTGAGAATTAATTTTTATCCTTTTCCCAAGAGCAGACTGGGAATTAAAATCTCCCATTGGAACTTGCTGGTGTTGAAGATCAGAGTGGATTGAGACAGACATTTGGAAGTATCACACAAGGTTTGAGTTAAAGCAAAGTGGGAAATAAAGACTCATTGGCACAAAGTGCAGCATCTTAACATCACAATGGATTCCAGTTTTCAGGCCGTAATAGGTGCTGAAAAATGTCATGTCACTCTTTAGGCATGAATGCTCCAGAGCAGATGTCTCTGCCAGAAGGGACCCACCCAGGGTGAGGGAAGGAGCCCAGAAGTGAGAACCAAGAGCCGCATGATCAAGGCTTGCCTCTGATGCTAATTGGTTTTGGAAGCTCAAACAAGGACATAAATTCAGTGGCTCTCAACTCCCCTGTAAAATAAGGCCATGTGGATGTCGAAGGTCATTGCTCGCTCCTTAGAACATTGCAGTGTAAATCACAAAGGAAAAAACAAGGGCTACGACTCTACTCATTCATGTTATTTGTAGCCTAAAAACCTTCCAACTGAAGATTTCCTTCCCAAGGCCACAGGGATGAAAGATGTGTGTGAGGTCATCCTTTTCTTCATACCCAGAGCTATCACTTTTCAACAAAAACCCAGTAGCCATGAGTGTTCTGAGCATTATTTGAATCTTGATAGGCAATAAGAAATCATTTGCAATTCTCTTAGATTGGCTGTTTAACTCTAAGCCTAATTCTTAATACTATATTCACTTTCTAGATTACCAGTTTTAATCAAGCTAGAATTATTAGTGAAGTCATCACACACAGTCAAGTGTCCAGTGTCCAACTTGCTCAACCACATTTGCCTTATCTTTTTCTAAGAAGCACAATCTCAACAGAAAAATTTGTTGGGGGAAAAATCCCAGCAGGAAAAGAAAAATTCTGGCATGCATTAGTGAGTGAAATATGTGAAGATCTCTATGCATATTAATGACTATTAATAGACACCTTCCCCGGTGCATGTTTAAACTTTAGCAAAATTTTAAAACAAAGTCATGCTGATTTATTATACATCTCAGCATGATTGCTTTTCCCTTTATTTTATTCATATGCTGGATATAGGATTTAGGGGCCTTCCCACATTTGAGGTACAGAGTTGTGTTTGGTGAGTGTGCACGTTTGTAACTGATTAGCTGCACTCAATACAGATGCCAGGATGGCGGTTCACACTACCTTGGTTGTAAATCCCTGCTCTAACCTGCGCATTTTGGAATGTTTTGTGAGCAAAATGTTTTTGTGACAAGCAACTAAAGTTGATATGGGGAGGCAGACTGGACATAGGAAGTCTGACCTAAACTCTTTGAGCTGAGTGTTGTTTCAGTGCTGGAGTCGGGGAGGAGGGAGGAATATGTCCTCGGGATTACTCCAAGGCAGTTTTGACCAACACCCCTGACCACAGCCCACTCATTGTGCTATCCCTACAGGAAAGGTGTGACTGACCCCAATTCTCATAGCCCTGGGAACCTGGGAGTGTTGAGAAAAGGACAGCAGAAGCAAAAAACTTTTCTTTTTTCTTGTTTCAATTTCACAAGATGTTTAATTTTAAGAGGTGGAAAATAAACTAGTATCTATTTTGAGAAACTAAGAAACACAGTTATCACATCTCATCTTTACAAATATGAAAATATATATTCACAAATATTACATTCATGGGTGGGTGTGCAATATATATATATATATTTATAAATATCATAGTTGTTACCCTTATCTTTGCAAATAAAGGTATACTGAGGGGATTGGTTCCAGTACCCCCAATATACCAAAATCTGCTCATATTCAAGTTCCACAGTCAAGCTTTCAGAACCTGCTGTATGAAGACAGTCCTCAGCACACACAGGTATTTTCAATTTGTGTTTAGTTGAAAACAATTTGCCTATAAGTGGACCCACACAGTTAAAACCAGTGCTATTCAAGGGTCAGCTGTATTAACTCATTTAACTCTCATTATCTCTATGAGATGCTATTTTAATATTCTTTTTTATTTTCATATATTTATTTTTATTTGAGATGGAGTCGTGCTCTGTTGGCCAGGCTAGAGTGCAATGGCATGGTCTCGGCTCACCGCAACCTCTTCCTCCCAGGTTCAAGAGATTCTCCTGCCTCAGCCTCCCGAGTAGCTAGAAATACAGGTGCCCACCACTGCGCCTGGCTAATTTTTGTATTTTTAGTAGAGACGGGGTTTCACCATGTTGGTCAGGCTGGTCTCGAACTGTTGACCCCGTAATCCACCCACCTCAGCCTCCCAAAGTGCTGGGATTACAGGCATGAGCCACCACACCAGGCCTATTGTTCTCATTTAACAGATGAGGAAATAGAGGCATGAACAATTTAAATAGCTTATGAGAAGTCACATAGCCAGCAAAGAACAGAGACAGGATCCTAGTCCCAGCAGGCCAGCTGCAGAGCACATGCTCTTTATCACCACAGTCCATTCCTTTCCCAGATAACCTATGCAAGGGGAGGCTGTCTGGAAGGAAAAGGAAAAGTTCTTCCAATGTCCCTCATGGGAAGTCTTTGCATGCTCCTTTCTGGGACTTCAGGCCTCATTGCCATTGCCCATGTCTTCTCTTATGTCCCCTCAATGGGCCTCCCAGTGATGCGCCACCATTCACCTTGACCCCAACCTGAGTCATCCCTGCCTGAGGCAAGAGGCATGTCTTAAGGTTCATTTTCCTTCTTCATGTCTTGTGGGTCTTCACAAGAAACAACCCCAAGCTCAGCCCATGATCATGACCCCATTTTCAGCACTGGGCTCCTGCCACTTGGTGCTCATTCTTGCAAATCAGACCACATGTGGGGCTGCCAGTGGTGGCTTTCAGGGTGCTGATCTGCTCCCAGACCCAGCTCTCCTTCCTGCCCTTCCATATTTGCCTGCCCAGGTCTTTGCTGTCCCAACCTAGAAGGTTACCAGAGTTTTTCCACCTCGGTACTGTTGAAATGTGAGGACAGATCCTTCTTTACTGTAGGATACTATCTTGTGCATTGTAGGATGACACCCATTAGATGCCAATCATCCCAGTTGTAATGCCCCAAGATGTCTCCAGACATTGCCCAATAGTCCCTAATTGAGAACCACTAGGCTGGATTTAGACCTGAATCCCTGCCATACTACAGTTGAGCCCTTCCCTGGACAGCTGCCTTACATTTCTCTGTCCCAGCCTTCACCTTGGATCCTACTATCCATGCACAGCTATTCCTGGTGACCACAGCCTCACACTCCAGTCCTCAGCCCACTGGATTTTCTACATCGGTGATCTACCTTCAGGTTGGAAACCCAGAACTGGCTGTTTCCAGAGTTGGCAAGATTATAAGATGGCTTGGACACTGGGTTAGATCTCTCTACTGGCATGTCCTCTTCTTTAGCCAAGTCACTTCTCCTAGCCCCCATGTGTGGATGTTATTCCTGGTTCCAATTCTGCCTTGAGAGAGCCACCATCCTTCAAACTTGAGACTTGAGCTAGGACAGAATCTTGAATTCAGGACCAAACAACCAACTCTGTACCTTAGCATTTATTTCTTAATGCCAAAGTGTCTAGGGTGGAACACCCAGGGGGAAAGCAGGTAAATAGCTCCACCCCTCAGCTTTTGGGAATTTGAATCTGAGCAGAATATATATATATACACACACACACACGTATATGTATATATGTGTGTATATATGTATATATATGTATATATGTATATATGTGTATGTATGTGTATATGTATATATGTATATATGTATATATATGTATATATGTGTGTGTATATATATATGTATATACACACACACACATATATATAAAATAGCCAATTTAATGGTGGCAAGAGCTTGCATTTGTGCACACACCCAACGAAATCACCTGGTAGCCAAAGAGTGAGAAGTATTTTATAAAAGTCAGTGGAGAATTTAAAGCATTCATTTTATAATTTTTATCTGATAGAGTCCATTTGCTGTATATAATTTAATTCAGAGCAGATATACAGAAGTGCATTTCAATAACTAAGTCCTGGTCTTCCATATTATCAAGGGTCTCTTATGGACCTACCCCGTGAAGTGGCCACAGAAGAGTAAGTCAGCCCATGGGGTCTTCCAGCTTAACAGGACAAGTGGTAATAGCCCCTAAGGAGGTTTGGGTTCAACAGTTTATGCCCATTGAGACACATTTGTATGTTGGACAATATGATGGTTAATTTTATGTGTCAACTTGACTGGGCCACAGAGTGCTCAGACATTTGGTCAAACATTATTCTGGATGTGTTTTTGAGAAGTTTCTAGATAAGATTAACATTTGAATCTGTAGGCTGAGTAGAGCAGGTTGCCCTCCATAATGTGGGTGTGCTCATCCAATCAATTGAAGACCTAAACAGAATAAAAAAGGCTGAGCAAAAGAAAATCCCTCCTACTTGACCATTTGAACTGGGACATTGGTCTTTTCCTGTCTTTGGACTGAAAACGAAAAATTGGCTTTTCAGGGGTTTCAAGCCTACCAGCTTTTCAACTGCAACCTACACCATCAGCTCTCCTGGTTCTATAGCCTTCAGGCTAGGACTGGAAATATACCATCAGCTCTCCTGGGTCTCCAGCTTACCAACTGCAGATTTTCGGACTTTTCATCCTTCATAATTATGTGAACCAATTCCTTATAATAAATCTCTTTATACACAAACATCTCACACATACAAACACACATCCTATTAGTTCTATTTCTCTGGAAAACTCTTACTAATACAGACAAGATACATAGTATCAGTACTCAATGAATATTCCATCAGAGGTGACCTTACGGTTCAGTAAAACTACTAACCATTAGCTATCCCTGGACATGTAGAATGTGAGTAATACAATTGTCCAAGCTTCCAAGAACATAATACAAATGACTTTTCATGTCATCTGAACTTGGGTTAAGGCAAACTGCATCAAAGAAAGAAAGAATGACTGACAGCCCAGGTTAAATAAGAGAGTGCTTCATGTTCTTAGCAAATATTGGTATTAGCTCTAAGAATCCAACAGTTTGGAAGACCTGGATGATACGTTAAATTAAAAATAATGACCATGACAATATTATAGACATTAACAGGTCAAATCTTTATTAAAAACATTTCTCTTTACTAGATTGATAAATATATGTTGTAGGAAGTTTAGAAATTACTATATGGCCGGGCACTGTGGCTCACACCTGTAATCCCAGCACTTTGGGAGGCTGAGGCAGGTGGATCATGAGGTCAGGAGATCGAGACCATCTTGGCTAACACGATGAAACCCCGTCTCTACTAAAAATACAAAAAATTAGCCAAGCGTGGTGGCACGCACCTGTAGTCCCAGCTACTCAGGAGGCTGAGGCAGGAGAATGGCATGAACCCAGGAGGCAGAGCTTGCAGTGAGCCGAGATAACACCACTGCACTGGGCGACAGAGTGAGATTGTGTCTCAAAAAAAAAAAAAAAGAAAGAAAGAAAGAAATTACTATATAAGCAAAGAAAATGGAAAAAATAAACCTATCTTTCATGGTTTTATGATACAAGGACAACCATAGTCAGCATTTGGTGTGTGTCATTTGAGTCCTGCTACCCCTTATGTGTGTACAAACACATGTAAACATGTCTGTGCATATATGTACATGGATGCACATGTGTGTACATGTACATAGATACACATATCCATGTCATACGACATACACTATTTTTACTATGTTTTCTGTTAGTATTTAACATATGTCATGAACACCATCACGTGTTATTAGACATACATGTGCCCATGTCAACATTCACCATGATTGCTTGACAGTCAGTCCTGAGTCTGGGTGCCCAGTGCTGGCACCCTCAAGTCCTAGCTCTCTTCTTCCACCTCATGCTCCTCTTCTGACCACTGAGGTAGATACCTGAGCTGCTCAGGACATTCTCATACACATATTTTCCCCACTTTGGACTGCATTGTTTTGGTAGGATAAGCCCCTAAAAGTAGAACTCTGGATCAAAGGGTATGGAGGCTTTGGGGACATGCTGCCAAATTGCCTTCCAGAACATTCTGCCAACCTGCAGCCCTTCCTGCAGCATGTGTGCCCCGTCTCCTCATTGTGAGGACAATAAATCCTTTCTTGATGTATTAAAGGGTGCTCCTTGGAGCTGCACATTTAACAGTTTGCGAACAGGAATATTTCACTCAGAATATTTTTTTTTTCTCTGAAAGATCGTGTCTTCCTTTGTCTTGTGGATTTTGGCCTCAACGATTATCTTTCCAGCCAAATTGGGCTAAATAAGCAAGCAAATGAGATATATTGAGGAGAAAAGAGTTCCCATTGTATTTCTCCATTCATGGATGATACCCGCAACTTCTTCGGTTTAGACAGTGTTTCTCTAAGTTCTCAGGAGAGCTGCCTTAACTTTCCCTATTTCTGTTTTTTAAGCATGTATTTTCTGATTATAACAATTACACAAGCTCTTATGATCCTTCAAAAAGCAACATGAAATAGAAGACACAGCATGAATTTTGGAAAGAGCCCTCTTATTTGTGACCCAGATCTGCCCCCAGAACATTGAGTTTGGTCAAATTACATGAGAGCCTGCCTTTACTTATCTTTAAACTGTAATGGAGTGTCTAATCCCTGTGAAATTAGGACAATAATTCCTGCCTCACACAATGTCAGGGTTCAGTAAGATAATGCATACATATAAACATTTACAAAAATGCTACTAACTAGTACTAAATGTGTAATGACACAATTAAACAGAGTAGAATGAGAGAACTCTGTATTAGTTTGCTAAGGAAGCTATAACAAAGTGCCACAGCGTGGGTGTCTTGAACAAAATGAATGTATTGTCTCATAGTGCTTGAGGCTAAAAACCCAAGATCAAGATGTCAGCAGCAGTCATTTCCTGTGAGGCCTCTCTCCTGGATTTGCAGATGATGATCTTTTCCCTGTGTCATCACATGGTTACATGTCCAAATTACCCCTTCTTTTTATAAAGACATGAGTCGTGTTGGATTAGAGGCCACTCTAATGACCTCATATTAACTTTATTACCTCTGTAAAGGGCCTATCTCCAAATAAGACCACATTCTGAAGTACCGGGAGTTATGACTTTAACGTATGAATTTGGGAGAGACACAATCCAAAGCATAACAAACTCTGTAGCTGAAAGGAAATTTAGACCTCCTGTATCATAATAACCTCAACCACTGGAAAGGCAGGTTCAGAGCAGGTGATGTGATCCACCAGAGACCTCCAGAAAAGCAGTGGCAGATCCAGGAATCAATCTTCCTAGATGATGAACTCAATTGTTAACTCAGTTCCTCATATTTCAATTCACTTTTATTCCCTCACACACTCAAGTATACATGGACCATTTTAAAACACAGATTCTAAATTGTCTCAATAAACGAGCAGACGAGGACTGTTCTTCCCTTCTTCTACAGAAGACGAAGGTTGCTCAGCTGCTCAGCTGGAAGGAGAGATAATTTCTGGTTTAGGTCAAAAAATCACTCTGTGATATTACTGTGTTCAAACTCAAGTATATTAAAGTACCCAACCTAAATGTTAATATAAAAATGCACACTCAGGTAAAGATTGGGAAAACAGAAGTTAAATTTTATAGATTATGTTCTACATGGTAGATACAATGTGTTCAGCATTTGCACATAGCTTATGTCAATTCAATATATGTGCATTTTAGGATCATTTAGTGTTTTTAACTATCTTCCTCAATGTTTGTGCCCAACCACAGGAAAACTAGAGGCTGCCTTTTCATCTTAGGGGATGGGAAAGTCAATTTTTTCCCCAGACTTGGCACTAGCTATTGGGCAACCACATTAAGTCTTCAAACTCCTTTGTACCTCAGTCTTTTCATCCAGAAAATGAGGATAATTGGCTCTGTGTTCTTTAATCTCCTACTAAATAAGAGATAAGATTGCTAAAGGCACTGAATTTACTAGATGATCCTGACAGAAACACAGCCAGTAAAAGTACTGGGATTACTATGTATTATTTCCTACAGGCCCAGCCTCAAGGAAAACATTTTTGAAAGTTTACCTTGGATGAAAAGTGGGGGAAGACACTTAGAAGTCAAACAATGTGAAGAAAATGGACATAAATCTTTTGCTCAATGTTACTATAAAAGCTAACATTTATTTTAAATGGAGAGGCTTGAGAAGTTTTTCCTTGAACGTCATGTAAGCTGCCATGATGGGGATTTATGAATGAAATCGATTAGGCACTAATTTTCCAGGCTTCACTTTCTGGAAATGGATGTACTGTGTTTTCAGAGTGCAGCATCTCCAACAAGGTTACCAGAATCAAAGCGGTGACTTTGGCTTCCAACGTTGTCCTTTCCTCCTTCCAGCTGGAGGCCTACCAAGGAAGTGACTAATAGAAAAAACCACAGGTGTGTGTCTGCACCCCAGAGGCTCAGGTACGTGGAGATGGGACCTCAGGAATGGTTAAAACATTCTATGTACATCCAAATACAGACATGGTGAGAGGGAAGCAGTTCCACTGTCACTTCTCAAGCACTCCTGATGTTCATCCTCCAAACAAAAGCAACTGTCATCCCAATGCCTTCTAATTTCCATGGCAGGTGCTGAGTATTTTGCCAGAGAGCTGCTGTTCTTGCCAGAGATTTATTAGGCTGGAAATATCCTTCCCACTTTAGGTCAGTTGAGTGGATGGGTGAGTGTGTGGAGCTAGAAATGGAAATTACTAATAAAAAAGCAATAGAACTGTATCTTTAACCATGCATATGTTTCTCTACAGCTCAATTATTTCTCACCTTTTCCAAATTGCCCTCTATTCACTCTTTTAATATCAAGGTCACAGAGATCCGTAGCTCCCAGATTCTAGATTGGTCTCATCCCCGCACATAGACCCTTGTGCTCATAATTGTAGTTTCCAAGGTATATTGAGTCTATCTCCACAAATATTGTTGACATATTATGCCTTTTGTTTTAGTTCAGTCCCTATGTCTTGTCCAACTATATATATACCATTAAAAACAATGGCAAAACTGCACTTTGCACCAACCTTCGAAATATATATATTCCATGTATATATATTCCAAACATATATATGTAATATTATGTAATATATGTAATATTCCATATATAAACATATATATGGAATATATGTTTCTAAGTTGTCCCTCTATGTGGCAGATCCTGTAGCCCATTTAGCAAACATTCTCTACTCCTCCTTTTTTCTCCCTTGTTTGAATTCTGACTTTTGTCAAGTATCAACTAGAGAGCTCGTAATATCCATAGAAAGTGGGTACACCCCAGGCCTAGGGATGAGTAGTGACTCAGAACTGGCCATGAGCTATGAAGGAGCACCTACCAGGAAATTGTGAGAACAATTTTTGGTCCCCAATTGTAGTGGATTGAATTTTGACCCCCCCAATGGTATGTTCAAGTCCTAATCCATGGCACCTAGGAGTGTGGCCTTATTTGGAAATATATATAGTCTTGGCAGATCTAATCAAGTTAAGATGAAGTCATACTAGATTACCATGGACCCTAATTCCAATGGTTAGCATCTTTGTAAGGGTAAGAAGATGTAGATTTGAACATACAGAGACACAGAGGAAACACACAGGGAAGAAGACCATGTGAAGACAGAGGCGGAAATTGGAGTGATGCAGCTACAAGCCAAGGGATGCCAAGGATTGCAGCAATCGCCTGAAGCTAGGAGAGATGTAGGAAAGCATCCTTCCCTAGAGCCTTCAGAGGAGCGTGGCCCTGCCAAAACCTTGCTTTTCGACTTCTAGCCTCGGGAACACACTTCTGCTGTTTTAAGCCACCAGTTTGTGGTACTTTGTTATGGCAACCCTGGCAAACTAAGGTACTGATTAAAGATGAGAGGGACACAAGCAGGTTTTTCTCTGCCATAACAACACCCCTGATTCTGGCTCTTATTTGAGGCCATGATGCCTGAAGCTACACCAGTCATCCTGTGGCCAGGAAGCACAAAGCCAATAATGTGCTCTAAGCATCACAGAGCATAGCATCAGGAAGACCCGGCGCCTTCTGTAGATATCACTGAACATCTGAACCCAATCAGCCACCGCTGGCTGTCACCATTTGGGTTATATGAAAAATATAAACACTCTTTATTAGCCACTTTTTTGAAGTGTTTACTATTACTTGCAGCAGAAAGCATTTTTAACTGACATACACTGTCTATTGCTTTTAATTACATACAACTTTCTCAACTGCACATCTGATCATCAACTTCCCAGTTACTTTCCTAATCATGTCCAAACACATCATTCATTCAGAACCCATCACGATGGGCTCTAGTTTCATCTACTATTCCCCTATCTAGTTTCTACACATTCGTGTACACAAACTTTTCATTTCGGTGAAACTGGAAAGAACCAATGTTCTTGAGCACACTCTACCTCTATTTGTCTTGATTTCTATGCCTGAGACATCCTATCATGATTGTTCATTTTTCTTCTATTCTTAGTATGTAAAACTGCAAAGTGCATGTCAGTACCGTGGCAAAAGTAAACGATTAGGAACAAAATTAGTGTCTGATCATCCAGGATTGGTTCACTACGCTATGACACATCCATACAATTGAACCCTCTAGAGCTTTAAAAATTTTATAAAAGCATAACATTTGATGATGTTATATGCAACATTCACTGTTAAGGTATTTCATAGAAACAGAGAATCAGAGTTTGAAAAGTCTGATGAGATGCCTAGTAGCCTGTTGTCTGTGATTATTTCTGGATAATAGGATTTGGAAGTAATTTCATTCTTTTTTATACTATTTTAATTTTTCAGATTTCCTACAGGTATATATTACCATTAAAATAAGAACTATGTATTTTTAAATCCTAAAGAATCTTCAGGGCCCCATTTGACATTTTCAGAAAATCTTCCCCGGATTTCACTGCAGGATCATCTCCTCTTCCTTTGCTTTTCAAAACAACGTTTGCTCTTCCCTGATGGCATGTGGATCACACTCTGGCTTGAAATAGACTTAGTAGTGTATGTATTTCTTTTACCACATTTTAAGCTTATTCAGCACTTAGATCATGTTCAGGTCATCTTTGTCTCACCCATGGGGAACAAACAAAACACTCTCTCAATATTGTGGAAGTAATAATTGCTGGCACATATTGAACACTTAATATAGCAGAATAAAAATAATTCTATGTCATTTCGTGCAGTCCATTCACTATTCTAATATGGAACCTGAGGTCTTGAGAAGTTAATTTGCCCAAGAAAAGAACTTTGAGCATCCCTGAATCCTCCCTCTTCTTTACCTTCATCTCCAGTTCCCAGGTTTTATTAATACTTGCTCTAACATGCTTTCTAATGTCCTTTCTTCGTTGTCCATCCTGTAGTACAGGCCATCTTCCTCTCACCTAAACTATTACCATTATTTAATTAGTTAGGTTTTTAGTTCCACAATGTTTTCTATTCTATAATTTGTTATTAATGTGACTATTGGTTTATTCAGTCAAAGTATGTTTGGATTTATCCACGTGGCTACCAATTTTTCTTTGCTCACACTCTTGATCATATCTGAGGTTTGAGATATTTCTTCTGTATTTATGTCCTTTTTCCCCGAAGTATGTCCTTTAGAAGTTCCTTTCATGAGGATTTTTTTTCAAGGTGAGAGTCCTTACATCTTATTATATGAAAATGTGTTCAACCTTGTTTTTGAAAGGTAGAGTGGCTTGGCAAAGTTATTTTCTCTTAGAATTTTATCGTCTTTGCGGATCCATTATTGTCAAAACTTCTGTTGATCTGATTATTATTCCTTTTGATGTCTGTCATTTCTCTAGGGCTGCTTTTAAGTTATTTTTATCATCTCTGGCATTTTGTAATGTCACTATAATACAAATATCTCCAGATCCAGAGGGGACAAATGTCCCCTCTGGACCTAAGGCCTTTGTCTTTCCTAATATCTGAAAAATCATCAACCTTTTATCCTCAAACATTTCTTCTCTCTCTAGTCTCTCGTTTTGAAATTTTAACTAGTCCTTATCATTCTTATTCACCCTTTCATATTTTCTGTCTTGTTGTGTCTGTGTGCATCATTCCACATTTCTTCAAACCTATATTCTAATTTGATACTTTCATGTTCAGTTGCTCCACAAAAGTAGGGCCTGTGTCTCTCTTGCTCACTCTCTTCCACACCTGAAACCTAGGAGGTGCTTAAAAGCATCTCTTGACTGAATGAATTAGTTTTACATTTGGTGGGATATTGAGGCTTAGAGATACCAGAGACTTGCCCAATGGCCCACCATAGCTGCACAGTAGGATGGTACAGCCCTAGGTCTGACTCCAAAGCCTGTGGATCAGTAAATGAGTGAATGAACAAATGAAAGTAAAAAATAATAAGAAAACAACTTCGTCCAGAGAGTAAAAATGCAAGTCATGATACTTTACGCATCTTCTCCTGATCACCGAAATGAAGAAGTTTTCTCAGAGCTTTTCTCTCTTTCCATTCCCAATATTTAGAATTAATCCCTCAAAATATCTCTTTATATGACTCCAGGACAGCTGTGGGAAATCACCGTAAGATTTCTCTCAAACATACATCAGTAGATGACAATCGGCGGTGGCATTTAGCATCTTCCGTTCACTTTAACTCTTGTTTATTGAGCATTACTGTGCCGGATGCACTGGTCACCTGGGGAGTTACAGAAAAATTATGATGGGGCTGGGCGTGGTGGTTCACGCCTGTGAATAATCCCAGCACTTTGGAGGGCGAGGCGGGCGGACTCCTTGAGATCAGGAGTTTGTGACCAGCCTGGCCAACATGGGTAAACCCCGTGTCGACTAAAAATACAAAAAATAGCCGGGCATCATTGCACGTGCCTGTAATCCCAGCTACTCAGGAGGCTGAGGCAGGAGAATCACTTGAGCCCGGGAGGTGGAGGTTGCAGTGAGCTGAGATCATGCCACTGCATCCCAGCCTGGGCGACAGAGCGAGACTCCATCTCAAAAAAAAAAAAAAAAAAAAAAAAAAAATATGGTGGGACCTGACTTTGCAAAGCTCAAACTACATGGTGGAATTTTCAATATGGTTCAGATTAAGAACCCAATATACTAAGATCAGAATATCTCGTAGAACTTTCAGGGACTTTCTCCATGGCTGAGTGGCCTCTTGTATACTGGCTGTTTAAAGCGAGTAGGCAGAAAATGAAGTTGGGAATCACACGTCGGATACATTCTTAATTTCTCCCCAGTAACACTGCGTTAGTCCTGGCACATCTCTGAAAAGCTGAAAACCTTGTCATAGGTTTTTCCAAAAGCCTTGGCTGATGGCGCTCGCGTGACCTACTGGGCAGGGCTGTGCTGTGCTGTGCTGGGCTGGGCTGGGCTGGGCTGGGCTGGCTCTGGCAGGACCTACCCAGGCACAGGCTCCTAAATCACCCTTTATCCTTGCCCCTTCCTGCTGTGTTGACAACAGCCGGAAACTCCTTTGAGAGCCTCAACCCAATCTCACAACTGTTGACGGACTTTAGAAAGAGTTTCTTCCCTGGCAGATAATTCAGACTGAAAGGAACAAACATGTTGAAAACCCCATTCAAGGAAAGTTGTTACTAAGTGTGAACAATGCTGATGATAACAGGGCTTTCTCGGAAGACCACTTAGAAGAGCATTGTTGTTGCCATTTATTTCAGGCCGCCAGGCTCTTATAGGCTCTTATCTCGCACGTGCCATGTGCTCCCACTTATCTGTCAGCAGTTGGACTCCACTGAAGCTGACAGTGACGTCCAGCTCCACACGACTGACCACCAAGTGAAGGTCAGGTGGCAGGAAAGAGGTTGCTCTCTCCTACATTTATTCTCTGCAGAATTGTGTAAGTGGCTCAACAGCAGTAAGCCAAGAATCTCTCTAAAACTGTCATAGTTATAGTTGTACTTAGATTTTGACTTTACTCAGGTGCCTAAAACAGCATCAGGATCTTATTTGCAGCAGCACTTGGAGATATCAGATGAGTTTCCAAATGTCCTTTGAATACTGGGGGCACGTATAGTTGAATAGCCATGGGGAGAACTAGCTATACATTGGATCAAATGGTGTCCACAGTCCGTGTAGATGTCCAAGGAGCTGATGCCGTACAGTGAAGCAAGGTTAAATTTGCAGTATTAAATTGAAGGACTACCAGGCACGGTGGCTCACGCCTGTAATCCTAGCACTTTGGGAGGCTGAGGCGGGTGGCTTGCCTGAGCTCAGGAGTTTGAGACTAGGCTGAGCAACATGGTGAAGACCCATCTCTATTAAAATACAAAAAAAAAAAAAAAAAAAAATGGCCAGGCGTGGTGGTGCCTGGTTGTAGTCCCAGATACTCAGGACACTGAAGCACAAGAATTTGCTTGAACCCTGGAGGCAGAGGTTGCAGTGAGTCGAGATAGCACCACTGCACTCCAGCCTGGGAGACAGAGCAAGACCCTGTCTCCAAAAATAAATAAATAAATTAATTAATTGAAGGACTGGTGTGACCTCTGTACACATACACACAGTCTGCAGGTTTGTGTTTACACATATAGGTTGTATGTACACACACACATATGATATTGAAAAATCTATGCCTATACATAGACACAGGGAGCATTGACTCTGAAGCTAGACTGGCTGGATTTGTACTCTAGCTACTTCCCTTAAGAGGTGTGTGACTTTAGGCCAGGCGCAGTGGCTCACGCCTATAATCCCAGCACTTTGGGAGGCTGAGACAGGCAGATCACTTGAGGTCAGGAGTTCGAGACCAGCCTGGTCATCATGGTGAAACCTCTTCTCTACTAAAAATACAAAAATTAGCCAGGCATGGTGGGGCGCACCTGTAGTCCCAGCTACTCGGGAGGCTGATGCTGGAGAATTTCTTGAACCCAGGAGATGGAGGTGACGGTGAGCCAAGATTATGCCAGTGCACTCCAGCCTGGGCAACAGAGTGAGACTTCATCTCTAAGAAAAAGAGATGTGTGACTTAAAATATTCAACCTCTCTGTTCCTTTGTTTCCTCATCTGTCTACCTCAAAGTGTTCTCAAGAAGATAAGACGAGCTAGTATGCTTAAAGGACTTAGGACAGTGGCTAGCGGTCAGGGAGTGCAGTAGAAGTGCTTATTAAATAGAATGCTCCCTCTCAGTTAAGAGGGAGATATGGCCTCTGTCTCTGGCTGAGCAGCCATGAGTCCAGCTACCTCAGAGGTTCTACCCCTAAAAATCTACAGATGGATTGGGTTAGTGGGGGGTGACCAGTAGCCTCTGCCATGCCTGTACCATAGGTCTAACTTTTATTTTTATTCATGTGAATATGTGAGCCCCTCAGGAGACAGCAGACTCCACTGGGTCAGGGACAGTTTGAATGTATTCCACTGTTTTCTCCCCTACATATAACAGGGTGCTTGGCCCATAATAGGTGCTTAATAAATATGTATTGGATATTTAATAGAATAACTACTACTATTGCTAGTGCTGTTGCCACTAATACTACTATTACTATTATCCTCAGGACGGGATTTAATTTTCTGCATCATAAATTATTGTACTGAAATAGGGGTTCCTGAAAATCATGTATAAATCGTGAAGATAACCTCCCAAAATGGTCAAATAATAATAGTAATAAAAAATAATGTTCTCCCTTTAGGTATTTACCCAGTAATGGGATTGCTGGGTTGAATGGTATTTCCGTTTTTAAGTCTTTGAGGAAATGTCACACTGTCTTCCACAATGGCTGAACTAAGTTATTCAACACTATTCACAATAGCAAAGACATGGAATCAACCTAAATGTCCATAAATAATAGTCTGGATAAAGAAAATATGGTACATATACATGATGGAATACTACGCAGCCATAAAAGAGAACAAGATCATGTCCTTTGCAGGGACATGGATAGAGCTGGAGGCCATTATCCTTAGCAAACTAACACAGGAATGGAAAACCAAATACCACAAGTTCTCACTTATAAGTGGGAGTTAAGTGATGAGGACACATGGACACACAGAAAGAAACAACACACAATGGGGCCTTTTGGAGTTTGGAAGGTAGGAGGAGGGAGACAATCAGGAAAAATAACTGTTGGGTAGTAGGCTTAATACCTGGGTGATAAGATAATCTGTACAACAAACCCCTATGACACAAGTTGACCTGTGTAACAAACCTGCACTTGTACCCTTGAACTTAAAAGTTTTTTTTTAAAAAAGTTAACAGTAATAATTAACTTTGTTGTATAGAACAATAGAATAATAAATAGAAAATAAGGAACTTTAAAAGTCAAAATTAAAAAATAAAGAATAAAAATAATCGAGGCTTTGTTCTGCAAAATGTGTAGTATCAAATAAATATTGGGAAAGTTTACAGAGAAAAATAATACTAGTGGTGTCAAGTAATTCACAGTCAGGAATAACTTGAAGAGGCACAGAATGAGTGATTATGTTCATGTACCAAATGAGTAGGGATAAAATATAGTTAACAAATAAAATGCATGTTGGATATTAATGCAGGAAGGTAAACACCATTATTTGCCCTCACCAGGATATAAGGAAGCAGGTTTTTAATTGGCCTAGAACACCAAGGTCTAGGAAATGCCATGTTCAAAAGAAATAGGATCAATAGCTAAGCCAGTCAAAGCCATATACACCTGGAGTGAAATGTGTGACCATGATGGAAGAATGTGCACAGAGAGTTTGGTTGAAGATTAAAGGAGGGAGGGAGAGTGGGACGATGCTGGAGACCACCCATCCAGATGGAGGAAGCACTGATGTTTTCCAGGCATGGATCAAACAGCACAGATGCTGCCAGAGAGGTTGGGTGACTGCAGAGGGAGGGGCCCGGGTGCAGGGAGCCCACAGGGACAGCTGCTAGAAATCGACTTCAGTCCAAAGAGGAAGCGAGGCAGAGCTGCTTCTCTGGATCTATTCTAACCAAGGAGGAAGTGACGGGGGCCCTGGAGATAAAAGGAGCAGGTTACTCTAGAGCCTCCCACAGCCAACCATGGGTGAGCTGGGTATTGTCAGGTGGGTGACCGCCTTTTGAGGAGGCAGAACTCTAAAAGCTTAGAGCAAAGATTGGTGGAATTCTAAGACGTGAGCATGAAACAAGTCTGGAGAGGGAAGGGTCCTTGTTCATAGCACAATCCCGACTGGGAAGAAAATGGGGAAGTATCTCAAGAGGTAGCCAAACAGGAAATTCTCTGGTAAAGTCAGACGTAAGAACACTTGTACAAAAAAAAAAAAAAAAAGGAAAGAAGATGAACATAAATGCAAGTAAGAAATAGTGTTGAGAATCTTTGTGCTTCAAAGAAGTTTGCAAAATTTGCTAAGACCTAAAATGAGAGTCAAGTAAAAGAACAAAGGCAGGACAGATCTTCTGTAAGGGCAGCTAATATATAATGTAAACAGACAACAGAGAGAAAGGATAACAGCTCAACTGGGTTACATTAAACAAGTACTGACTGGCTGTCTTCTCTGTAAGCCACAACCAGACATAGGGCCATGACCCTGCTCATGAGGAACTCATGGGCCAGATAAGGAAAGTATACAAAGAACAAATGATGATCAGGATGGTAAATTTCCATAGTATTGGGTATCTCTAAATGAGAGAGTTCAATTGGTTAAGGGATTCATTTAGGAAACACTTCATCAAGGAGAACTCAGTGGTAGGTTTTGCAGGATTCCGATAGGGCTCTTGGATTGAGAAACACTTTAAAGAAAAGCAGAGGAAGAGAAACCTGTTGAAGATCATGAGAAGAAATGGTGGGAGGAGGAAAGAGTTAACCTGGAGTAAACTATCATAGAAATCTAGGAGATAATTTCTCCCAACAAAGCACCTGTAGAAGTTGAAGAACATGAAACAAATGTGCATGAGAATAGGAAAGTCCCAGTAATTTAAAGATAGTTTGAGTGGCATGCTGGAACAGAAACAAGGTCCCCAGAAGGTTTATGAGATGAGGGAGAGCATTAATTAATTCCAAAAATTTGCCTGTGATGGAAGCAAAAGAGAAAGTGGACAGTATAGAAAGATATAAGATCAAGGATGAATTTTGTGCTTTGTTCTTATTTTTAATTTGGTTTGTGGATGGAGATTTAAACATAGTTATTATATGTGCTTAGAGGGAAGAGGCAATAGAACGAAAGTTACTAGAAATGAAAGATAATGAGATGATTAATAAGGCATGACCCTGAAGGATGCAAGTAGGGGATAGGAACTGGAGTCCATGTGGGAACATTAGCTGTGAGAAGTGGGTATCACTTTTTCCATGGAAATTTCAGGGCTCTGAGAGTAGGTCCATCTGTAACCAGTGCTTGAGACAGAGCACTGAAGGTGTCACTTTGAGTCAGTTTTCATTAATTGGAGTATTAAGAAGACCTGTCACCCCCTAAAAGAAAGAGAAGAGATAGTTCCAAGGGGGATTTGAAGACTGTAGAGAAACAATGATTTAGGGGAATGGAAGAGGAAGGTATTATGGGACCTGTGGAAGGAGAGTGGGATATAGCTGAGCTTCCAGTTCAAGCTGGAGGCTATAGCTGCATAGGGCACCAACCCTCATGGTATGTGAGCTTCACCAGTAGTCCAGGTGTAGGAAGGGTGGATGGTTGTATTAATCCAGGGATGGAGTTTACCAGTGAGTGTGGTGGAAAAATGAGAATGGGAAAGAAGATGTAGACAGACAGAGGCTGAAGCCATGAGCTTCATGGCTTCAAGGCAAGAGCCATGAGATCCAGGCCACTAAGCAATAGGAATGAAGGCAACAAGGAAATGGAGCAATCGGAGCCCCTAAGAGATCAAAGAACAGGTGTAGTAGGCACACAGAATGATGACAAAAGATAACACAATATTATGGGCAGTGAGAGGGATCCTGGCAGAGAAGGAAGAATTCCAGGTAATATGCAGGGTGTGGCCCTAGGAGAGTGTGCCTGGAGTTGGGGGAATTGGAAATCAATGAAATTGAGAACGTCAAGAAAAGCGTGTTGAACGGAACATTTTCTAAAACTCATTGCTATGTTTATTTGTACACAGAGGAAACATGTAAGTGTGCTTCTATGCTAAGGGGAAGGCCTAGTAGAGAGGGAGATGAGGATACTGCAGAGAGGGAAGAGGGTTGAGGGAACAAGGTCTGGAGGAAGCAGGAGAGAAAGCAGGTCAGAGCATGGCTGATGGGATTGGCAGGAGAGAGAGGAAATAAGGAGCAGGAATTAAAAACGGGTCTGGGTACAGATGCATTCATCTGGGCATTTGAGGCAGGAAGCTGAGGCCGGACAATCTGCTGTGAGACAGGAGGACAGTGAAGCAGAGCATGGGAGAGAGGCAAGAGCTTGGAACAGCCGCGGGAGCTTCCTGGTGGGACTGGTTGAAGGATCTTAGTGATTTTCTCCAGCTGGGCTCAGCCCCCAGGCTTGAGAGTGGAGAAGGCCAATGATGTATGGGTTCCCAGGTGGAATTTTGCCAGCTCTGAATGACAAGTAGACAAGGAGGGAGAGAGATTACCAGTGAGAACTGACAAACCCTGGCAACCAAGGAGGCCGGGCTGGATAAAGAGGGAAGTAAAGCCAGGTGGATCCAGATGGACTGAAAGCAAATGGAGGAACCGAAGTTCTGGGAGGACCGCGGGAAATTAAGAGTGGGTGGAATGAGAATAAACCTCTGAGGGGGTGTAGAGTAAGATGAGGGAGCTGTGGCTTAACGGAATTTGTGAGGATGATTTGGGCGTTGGACTTAACTGGAAGCGTTCTGAATCAACACTGAGATGAAACGGCAGTGATAGGAGTTGACCTCATTACAGTTGAGCTGAGGCATCACAAGCATCTTTCTCTTGTTTAACAGAGCTGGAGAGCTGGGAGACCTGTCTGTTCCACTTCAACTCTAAGAGTCCATGAGCAACTCCACCTAACACACATTGAAATACATACCAGTCAATAATCGTATTTTCCATAAACTCTTACCTAAACCAACTACAGCTCAGGGAGATGCATTTTCATTTCCTGTCTTCCCTGCACACTCTACATGCATGTGATGCTCCTTTACAGTACAGCGCATGCATGTACAGTGCATGTTGCATTTCAGGGAAAGGAGGAGCTAATCTATGGCATCACTAGTTTTATGCTTTGAGACATGGAGATTAAAAGGCCTAAATATACATTTTCCCCAGGTGAGTCCTGTGAGAATGAAGTTTCATCCCTGGAATTAAGCTCTTTGACAGCCCTAGGATAGGAGTCTATAAAAATAAGGTATTATTTGTGATAGGGGATTTCTTACTTTATAATAAAACCACAAAAAAAAAAATAGTAAAAGTGTAATAAGCACACTTGTTTATTTAATCTAACCCAAACATATTGGCTACAGTTTTTTCTTTATATCATATTATTGGGTTAAGTTTTTATATTCCTCTATATAGGAAGAGAGGTTTATTTGCAAACAGAGCAAAACACCCCAGTGGTAACTTGATTTTTCTTTAAACCTCCATATATTGTAGTTTAAACTGCAACTAAATGAACAATGCAAATTATTTATAAAAGCCCAGTTGAGTCCATGGGACCGCAGTACACACTGTGACATGCCAGGAGTCACAAGATGGAGTGCCATGAAGATAAAGTGCATTTACACCCCCTCTATCCCTCCCTGTCTCCACAGCTGCATGGCCACCCTCAGCACCAGCATAAACCACAGTTCCCAAAGACCAAAGGTCACCCTGAGGGATCCAGAATTAAAACACACCAGAAGGTTTACTTTTTCTACAGCTATGTTAAGAATGACCTAAAATGAGATAAATAATAGATGGGAGGGGTGAGAGGAAGAGAGAGAGAGAGGGAGATGGAGGGTAGGGAGCTATAGATGGACAAATAAATATAGTCTATAAAACACCCCAAACATCCAGTTCTTACCCCAAAGATGCAGAGCCATCTGAAAATTATGAGTTTCCATTTGCTTCCTACCTCCAGAAATGGCCAATCCTTGTTGCCTTTATTCCTAGGCCCAAAACTCTCTGGCAATAGGCAGGCCTGCCAGAGGCATTAAGTATAACTCTGGAGTTGATTATTTTAGGTTGGAGTCAGGTATTGTCCAATGTGCAGATGGCCAGGGAGGAGAAAGTCTCAGTGTTAGCTTTTATTTAAGTGATGATCTTATCTCCTCCACACACAGCATATTACTATCTCAAGGTGTTAGAAAATAAATTTCCTTAGGTCTAGAGATGGGTTTTAGGTCAGCAAGAAAAAAGCATTGCAAGCCAAGACTGTAGCAATGAAGAAAGTACCATTATAGTCTATCCTGCAGAATAAAGCTCACTACAGAAGGCTCTATACATGCCTGAACAAATGAACACATGAATGCACACAGCCAATTTCATTACCTAATTCCCAGGCACATTATATCAAAAATACCATTCAAATAAGATTAAACCACATCTGCTTGCAGAAATAATAGGCTTTTCTGGAAAAGTCTCAGTAACAGGATGGATTCTACCATCTTGTTTGTGTAGACAAACAATCTGTGTGATTCTGCCATGTTTGTGTATCCTTGTTATGGCCTCAGTGATGTAATTCATGCCACTTATTGACTTGGACAAATTATTTCAAGAGGTAATTAAAATATTTTTATTTTGATGTACCTGATGGATATAAACTTAGATAAAAATTGATGGATATAAACTTGGATAAAATATAACTTGTATAATTACAAAGCATCAAAGAAAAGGATAAAATCTCACACATTTCTATTTTGGATTAAAGACTGTTAGGCAACCTCTTTAAGTGACAGATGCTATCACTCTTACACCATGCAAATGAAACACAGATAGATTTGAATATTGAGGATGTTTATGTTAATATGTAACATAACGTTTGTGATCATATGTAAAGTTACAAACCCAATGACACAAATATTAACAGTAGGCAAACTATCTCCCTGACACTGTAAGCTTCAATTCTGTCTTGGCTTCTTTGTGTATGAAACACTTGTCAATATGCTGCTTAAAAATATTAAACTCCCATCACAGTGACTCAAATTGTTAAAATGATCTTTGAGGCAAAAAGTCAAAATGTTGAGGTGTATTTTACTAATGTTATAAAACTAATCTCTACAGAGTTCTCAAATAAGACAATAAATGGACTATTCTACTCATCAGTTGTTCCAATGAGACCATACGTGGTGAAATTTAAAGCTGACCTTGACATTGTTCTCCATGGACAGTGGGGAGAAGGGAAGCCCAGTGAGCAGTCTAAACTCTTTGGTCTTTTCAGATAATCAGAATAAAGAATCCCCATGGCCCGCAGCTTGCCTTGCTCCTCCACTGCATTCTACAAGGTTTAAGGATGGAAGAACAGAGATGTGTGAACTAGGCTCTGTAGACGTCCTCCCTGGGTTGGAGTCCCAGCTCCACTTCTGACAGCTGTGTGATCATGGACAAATCACTCAACATCTCTGAACCTAAGTGTCCTTATCAGTTGAATGGAGCCTGTAACGGTGCATATCTCATAGGGGTATGCCAAGGATTAACCAAGAAAATATAAACTGTGGCCAGAAATTAAGCACTCCAGAAGTACTCGCTATTATTGTAAACATTTATGAAACATTGTGAACCAGGGCTGTTTTACCTTTAAAATGGTTCATAGATTTTCTAGGAGATTATTGGGATCCATATGATTCCAAGACATTCTCAACAATATTTGTAGGGTACTGACCACATGCTCACACTCTGCTACGTATGGGATTCAAAGATAAAGAAAAAAATCACTAAAATTCAAGGTGATAACATCTAGTTTCTTTCCTCCTGTCTTTTTTTCATTTTAAATAATGGTGTAAATAAAGGTCATTGGGGGCAGATGTATGAGAATGACTAACTGTGTCTAGGGAGTCATTTCAGAGAACATTTAGCAGAAGTGGGTCACATATGGTTAGGAGCTTCACAAGGAAATATGAGTTGAAAAAGAGAGAGAGTGAAAATGGCAGAGGAGGAAACTTTATAAGTAGGAAAGCCTTTGAGGTAAGACATATGAGCAATGTGTTTCCAGATAGGGTTGAGACATTAGATGTAACTGATGCTTAAGATGAGGGGGGAGGGTGAATAAACCCAGAAAGCCTCCTGGACCTGTGGCTGTGGATGCTCTTGAATGCTGTGCTAAATTTGTTTTTTACCTGATATGGATGTGGGCAAAGGGTTAACCAACTAAACCTTCTCACCTTCTGTGTCAGAATTCATCCTTTGATTAGCTGTGTTCTCCTGGTACCTGATATGATGTTAGCTGTACTCCTGGGTGACATTCATTAGCATAAAAATAACCCTGATGGGTAGCTCACATCTGCACTGGGGAAGACTACAAATGAACCCAATTAGGGTACCCTGTTTTGAGATTTCCCTAAAGAAGAATTATAAGAGTGTGGTGACTCTTATAATCCTTAAGTGGATCGTAGAAGGAGTTATACCTCTGGAGATCTTGCAAGATATGCTGGTATAGAGCTTGGAAGCCAGGGTAAATTTCATGGGAGCCAATGTGGATTCATCTCCCTGCTGTGTAGACGACTGTTGCAAGAACTTCAACTAACAGGAATGCTGAATGCCACTAGGCTAGCAAACTGTGTCTCCTGTTCTGTATCCTCTAAGAGTTGAATATCAAGTGATAATTTATGAGCATGAAGATTTAGTTGAACATCAAGAAACTTTGGTAGGCATTGCAATGGGTAACAGAGAACTCAAGGAAGCAGTGAAGTAGGACTGTAGAAAGATAAGTCTGAAAATGTTATTCAAATTTATATTTATTTTAGCTATGGGGAGGAGTTTTCTAGAATGCAGAATTTCTTTATTTTTATTTTTTTACTGCTCCTTGCAGAGCATGGCTACTAGGCAGTGTGCCCAGTGTAGCCAGAATTTCTAAATTAAAGGATTTTATATGATTGCATAAAGCTCTAAAAATAAGACATTTGCTCAAAATAAAATTTGGAGGGCAGCTATCTTGACATGCTTATGTTGAAGGGTGAGGGAAGGTTTGTATGACTAATGGAAACAATAGAACAAGCTGCAAATGGTTGGGAAATTGTTTCCCTTGTCCAAAAGATACATTGAAATGGGCTGTTATGACCTGGTTCACCTCACATTTCTACAGAAATTAGATAATAATCAGTACAGAACCAAGTTCAGGTTTTACACATTTTTTTCCACCACATCTCTGCATGAAAATACATCAGACTGAAAGGGATTGCATTCACTCAGCAAATATGTGCTAAGATCCTTCTGTGCCAGCTCTGAAGATGAAAAGGTATGCGACGTGGTGGTCTCACCCCTAAAAAACCAAACTGTCTGTCTAGTGAGGGAGACAGACACACAGCTAATTACATTCAGTGTGCTAAGTGCCTGTAAGGAATATGCCCACATTCTCATAGGAACCCAGAAGGAACTATTAATTATGCTTAGCGGAACCTTCTCAGAGGGAATAACATAGTAGTCTGAATTTTCAGGAGTAACATCTTAGTCCAGGATGCTATAGCAAAAGACCACAAACTGGGTAAATTTTAAACCCCAGAAATTTATTTATCATGGTTCTGGAGCCTGGAAAGTCCAAGATCAAGGCACCAGGATGTTTGTCTGGTGAGGGTTTATGTCCTGGTTCATAAATGGTGCCTTCTTGCTGTGTCTTCACATGGTCGAAGAAGCAAGGCTCTCTCTGGGATCTCTTTTAAGAGCACTAACTTCAGAGCTCTTCCTTCATGTCTTGGTGATATAGTTTGGATATTTGTTTCCTCCAAATCTCATGTTGAAATGTGATCCCTGATGTTGGAAGTGGGGCCTGGTAGGAGGTGTTTGCATCATGGGAGTGGATCCTTATAAATGGCTTAGCCCATCCCTTTGGTGATGACAGAGTTCACACAATATCTGGTTGTTCAAAAGTGTGTGGCATCTCCCTCCTCTCTCTTTTGCTCCTGCTCTCATGAGGTGACATGCTGCTCCCGCTTCATCTTCCACCATGAATAAAAGCTCTTTGAGGCCTCACCAGAAGCTGAGCCGATGCCAGCACCATGCTTCTGTACAGCCTGCAAAACCATAAGCCAATTAAACCTCTTTTCTTTATGAATTACCCAGCCTCAGGTATTTTTTATACCAACACAAGAACAGCCTAATACACCGAGTGTCTTCCCAAAGGCCCTGCCTCCTAATACCATCACCTTGAGACTTAGGATTTCAACACATGAATTTTGCAGGTACACAAGCATTCAGACCCTAGCAAGTAAATAGCAATTTCTAGGTAGAGAAGAGAAAAACTGTGTGTATGCGTGCATGTGTGTGTTTATGTGTGAATATGTGTAGGGGTCAGGTGGGCAGAGGGTGGGGGAAGAAGGTAGATGAAGCAAGAATAGCAAAGAAGCTTCACATGGTGTTGACATCACATGCCACACTTTGCTCTGAGCATACACTCCCTGCAGATATTTCTGCCCACAGCAGCAACCTGTGCTCTGACAATAGAAGGACTGTCTTAAACTCCTCCTGGTGGATAAGCCACTGGCCAACAAGATTGAGTCTACAAATGGCCTTTTCTTCACTTGGACATACCTTGACATTTCTTACACTGTTATCACTAAACATTCCCTTCTGGTGAGCAGTAGGCTCCTGTTGTATGATGCAAATCATAGATGTATGGAACTGCTATCTGGAGATAGAAAAACAGGAGTTGCAGATGACTCCTGCCATCGTGGAACTAAACCACAGTCTAGAAGAGGAGAGCAAGTTTATGTGGGTTATGCATTACACTAAAGGTAAGAGTATTTCATGGTAGGAGAAGGTGTGCAAAAGAACAATATAGTGGTTTATCTAGAGTTAGATTACTAAGGGCCTTTAGGGGCTTATAAAAAAATTAGACATGATGAATATTGCAAAAGAGAGACGCTAACAGGGGTTTTAAGATGTTATATCTGGCAGCAGTATTATGTCACTCAGAACTGCAGAATTGCTGAAAGAAGTGGACATTCAAGGGAAAGACCAGACTGCCCAGAGATGAGCATAAAGGAGTCACTCCAGCCTGAGATTGGAGGAGAAAAGGGAAACAATCTAGTTTATAGAGCCCATGGATTGGAACCACGGGGTAGAAGCAGCCCTGGCTAGAGCTGCCACTCAAGTGGAGAGAGAGGAAGAAATACCCAGCCAGTACCTTCTCTTCCCATCAAAACTTTAAACTTTTCTTTTTCAAAAGGCAACACAAGGAAATAGAAGGGGCCTGAACAATGGTTCATGCCTGTAATCTCAGAGCTTTGGGAGACAACGCAGGAGGATCACTTGAGGCCAGGAGTTCAAGACCAGCCTGATTAACATAGTGAGATCTCATCTCTACAAGAAGTTGAAAAATTAATCAAGTATCAAATGCCCATCGATGATAGACTGCATAAAGAAAATGTGGTACATATACACCATGGAATACTATGCAGCCATAAAAAGGAACAATGCATTAGCTATTTATCCTGTAGGGACATGGATGTCCCCAGATGGAGCAGGGACACGGATGGAGCTGGAAGCCATTATCCTCAACAAACTAACACAAGAACAGAAACTAAACACTGCATGTTCTCACTTATAAGTGCGAACTGAACAATGAGAACACATGGACACGGGGAGGGGAACAGCACACAGTGGGGCCTGTTGTGGGGGCAGAGGGAGGAAGAACATCAGGATAAATAGCTAATGCATGTGGGGCTTAATACTTAGGTGATGGGTTGATAGGTGCAGCAAACTACCATGGCACATGTTTACCTATGTAACAAACCTACCTGTCCTGCACAGGTATCCTGGAACTTTATTAAATTAAATTAAGTTAAATTAAATTAAATTAAAAAGAAACTACCTACATTAAAGTCATCTAGTTTTAGGGAAAAGGAGTTGAAAATGCAACCAACTCTTGGTGAAATGTACAAATAAATCTTTGTTATACTTTATTTCAAATAAATTCTTTTCAAATTAAAAAATTTTCACTGGGTATGGTAGTGCCTGCTTATAGTCCTACGTACTCAGGAAGCTGAGGCAGGAGGATCATGTTAACCCAGGAGGTTGAGGCTACAGTGAGCTCTGATCGTACCACTGCACTCCAGCCTGGAAAACAGAGCAAGACCCTATCTCTGAAGAGAAAGAGAGAGAGAGAGAGAGAGAGAGAGAGAGAGAGAGAAAAGAATATAGAAGGACATGCCACAGATTGAAAGAACATATTTTTAAATCACATCTTTGATACAAGAATTGTGTTCAGAATGTATAAGTAATTCTTACAGCTCATAATTAGAAGACAAATAGCCCAATTTAAAAATAGGCAAGAGATTTGAACAGACGTTTCACCAAAGAGGATGTGCAGGAACATAAAAAGATGATCAGGATCATTAGGAAAACACAAAATAAAACTACAGTGAAATACTACATCATATCCAGTAAGACAGCTGAAATAAAAAAGACAGACAAATACAAGTGTTGAAAAGAATGTAGAAAAACTGGAACCCCCAAATTTTCTGATGGAAATAGAAAATGGAATATCCAGTTTGCAAACAGCTTGGCCTTTTCCTAAAAAGACAAATGTAGACTTACCACATGACCCAGCTATTCCACTCTTAGATGGGTACCCAAGAGAAATAAAAATATGTCAACACAAAGACTTGTTGGTAAATGTTTATAGCACCATTATGTATAATAGTCAAAAACTAGAAATGATACAGATGTCCATCAGCTGGTAAATCAATAAACAAGTTGTGGTATATCCATACAATGGAATACTCAATAATTAAAAAGAAACAATTACTGATACATGTTACAACATCGATGAGTCTCACTGCATTATGCTAGGTGAAAGAAGGTAGATTTGAAAGGCTCCTTACTATGTTATGGACATTATGGAAAAGGCAAAGATATGGGAACAGATATCAGATTAGTGGTCCTCAAGTGCCAGTGGCAGTAGGAGAGGATTGACTACCAAGAAGCTGGAGGGAGCAAAGGGAGACTTTGGTGGTGGTGAAGATGATCTGTATCAAGTTTGCAGTGATAATTTCACAGCTGTTTGTCAAAGCTCATCCAACTCTACACTTAAATAAGTGTATTTTAACATACTTAAGTTACACTTTAATAAACATGACTTTTAAAAATAAGCGTTAAACTAGTGGCAGGCAGACCAGCTAGGAGAACACTGCTGAGGGGGAGGAGCAGTGAAGAAAGGGAAGGGACTTGATGAGGAGTAGCCTGCCTCAGAAAAAGGAACACGAGAGAGACAGGCTTTCTGGAAGTGCAAGAGTTTACAATTATAAATAAAGAAGGCAGAATGATAAAATACATGAGCAGATGTGACAATAAAACTCA
This sequence comes from Homo sapiens, assembly GCF_000001405.40. Taxonomy (NCBI): domain Eukaryota; kingdom Metazoa; phylum Chordata; class Mammalia; order Primates; family Hominidae; genus Homo; species Homo sapiens. The sequence goes on along the minus strand of NC_000021.9, from coordinate 35,091,836 downwards.
AAGTAGCCCCTCCACAGAGGGGAATAAACAGGAAGGTTCTGGTAAGTCTGACAAAAGCAAGGGAGAAAAGCATTCATGCAATCACTCATACATCCATGCGTTGACTCACTCGTGTCCACTCGTTCATGCATGATGCATGCATGCATTCAGTGTTTATTTTGTACTTAACAGTGGGAAGTAGCCAAGGGCAAATAAGCATATGGAGAGTTGAACCTACCTTCTAGGAGCAGAGTTCCTGAGTGCAAAGCCCAACTTTAGATTGGTTTAATGGTTCCATGTTTACCTCATAGCAGTTACCTCCCAATTTTGTATTCCAAATGTTAAAGAGAAGTCCTTTCATCCCCAGGAACTAGGCCCATGCTGAAGTCAGGATAGATCCTGCTTGGCCAGAACCAGCCATGGAAATCCTAATCTCCTTCACCAGTGATTAACAAGAGATGAGAACATGTCTTAGTTCTCCACAATGAAACAAAAAGGGCTTCACTTTTTGAATCAAAAGCCAGCTTAGGAAAATGCCTTTTGTGTCAGTTTCTTCCTTCCTGCTTGGATAGCTGGAATAAGAATCCGTCATCTGGAGCTACATCAGGCATCTTATGACTGTGAGGTGACAAGTATGAAGAGAAAAAGCCAACTGGTCGAAGATCACAGAGAAAAAAGAATAGAAACAGCCTGGGTCCTTCACGACACAAACCATCTGTTGCACCAAAGGTAAAACCATCTACCCCCAAACTTTATGGAAGATAACAAAATTATATCAGGATTCTGGCAGAGGATTTCAATGGGAGTCATCTCTGGGTCCACTTATGAGGTCAGAACCTAGCAAGAGCTTACATGATTGTGCATGCAGTCCCCACCCCTGAGGCTCTTCAAAAAGGTGGAAAGAGGACAGAAGTTAGAAAGAATATGTAGGAGGGAAAGATCCTGGGTTCCGGACAAAAATGCCAATCCCTGAGATGGAAACTAGTGGGAAAATAACAGGTATTAGAGACAGGATAATAGATTAGTTCCAGTCTCTGGAGCAAATGGGTGACAATAAGAACTAAAAATCAGAAAAAAAAAAAAAAAAAAAAAAAGACCCTTTGGGTCAGGAAAAAGGGGAAGGGAGTCCTAACTGGTCAAAGTATTTTTTGCACCCATGCAGAATGAACCCAAAGTATCCCAAGAATGAACCCAAAACATCCCAACCAGTTTATCTTGTGGTCACCAAGTCATTGAATGCAAATGAGAATGTGATTTACAATCACGTGATTTTCCATCCGTTTTAAAGGGTAGGCAGGGAGCTCTGAAATGGACAGATGGGGAATTAGGAGTTTGGATCTGTGCAAAGACAGTAAGTCAAGGCTTTTTGAGAATAGTCACGGGGTCATGCAGTTGAGCATCTGAGAGATCTTTGATAGCCGGCTTGAGTTTCTGTTCAGAGTTGAGGTTTCCTTCATATAATCTTTCTCCTTCTTGTGCTCCTCATAAAACCAACATTTTCACAAGGCAGCACTGCTAGGAATAACTCAGAAAAACTGGATTTTAGGAGAGAAGTAGAGACATAGTAGGAGATTTTAAGTTTTGGTTTTATGAAACAATGGAACCTTTTAAGAAATCGATGTGCCATCTTGAGACTACATTGTCAGTATCTTGTTCTACCTATTTCTCATTTTCTGTGTTTTAAAAAGTCAATAAAACTTTGGTGGGGTGACTATCCTTTTTCTATTTCTTGCCTTATAGTTTGGTTGTAGACCCAACCCTGCCTGAATACAGATCTCCAGCCATTTCAACCCAGCTTTGTCCTATCACACAAGTTTCCTTTTTGCAGTGTTCTAGCTCTGCCAGAGTTGACTAGAAATTGACGATCCTAAGTTTTCTTAACCAAAATCAAGGTAGCGGAGGCGAAGGTGAACTTGGTAGAAAAAACAGACCTTAATCAATGTTACAAAATGTGCATCTGGCCCTTGGTCTGCACTGCACTAGAAGTGTAATTTTGGAATAGTAGGTTAATGTCCCCTGCATCACAGTTTTTTCACCTTTCAAAAGGAGTCATTCATTCCAATTCCACTTTACACGGTTATTGTGGGGATGAAACAACAGTGAATAGCATCAATGTTTCTGAATAAAAAGGAGAAAAATTAAAATGAGACTGCGTGCTTTCAGCACTGATATGTTATAAAATTATGAAGAATTAATTTCCTTATTATTATTTTATTATATAATAAAATACAGAAACATAATGAAAACAATTTTAACAAATTGATCCCCTTGTTCCAACTTCCCTTTAAAGCCCAGAAATTTATCTTATCTAGTTTCTGTATTTATATGTAACAAAGAGCTAAATCAAAATGTAAATGCAAAATAATCATAAGTATTGTTTTATTAGGCATGTTTTTCTGACATGTTATTAGTTACATCATAGAAGACAGCTCAGTCAGCATCTTATGCTCTTTATCTTGCAAAAAGATGTTACCACACTAAAATTGAATTCTCACTCAAGATCCAGCATGGTAAAAATTATTTGACAAGAATAATGCTTTTCAATTGTTAGACAAATTTGTCCTATAGAATTTTTAGTGTTTTTAAGTGAGCATTTTTACTGAAGTTTAACACTTCTGATTCTAACTCTCAGGATTGGTTCATTTTCAGAAAATGAACAGACTTACATAACCACCCTACAAATAAGGAAATGAAATATTATCAGCACCCCAAAACTCCCCTTGTGTCCCTCCCATCTACCTCCCTCTACTCCCCAAAGATAACAGCCAACCTGACTATTTTCACTACAGATTAACTTTGCCTCCAGTTGAACTTCATATGAATGGAATCACAGAGTCCGTGCTTTTTATTGCAACTGCCTTTTTCTCTCAATACTTGATTTGTGATATTCATTCACTTTGTGTGTAGTAAGAATTCATTTATCCATTTTCATTGCTATGTGGCATCCCATTGTATAAATACACAATTCATTCTATTTTTCATGGAGATTTGGGGCTGTTCAGAATAGTACTGCTATGAATATTTTACACATGACATTTACTGCACATATCTGCGATTCAGTAATGTATAAACTGAGAGTGCAATTTCTAGTCAAAGTTTATGTGTATGTGTAACTTCAGTAAATACTCCCACTCATTTTGTCAAAAATGATAGTACTAATTTACACTCCCACCACACTGTAGGAAAGTGAGCATTCCTCAGTAACACTGACTAGTGCTGTAAGTTTTGTTTGTCTTAGTCATTCTGGCAGATGAGTGATGCAGTTCCACTATTAATTTTAATTTGCATTTGCCTTACTCAGTTGATGTTGAGCATCTTTGCACCTGCTTATCGGCCAATTAAATAGCTTCTTTTTCTGACTGCCTGTTTAACGTTTTTGCCCATTTTCCTATTTGGATGTCTGTCTTTTTCTTAGTGATTTGTCATGAGTCCCTTGTCACTCTCACTCTGTGACATGCACTTTCACCCACTTAATGGTGTCAGTGTGATAAACAGAAATTCTTCATTTTAATGTGATTCAATTCATCAAATTTTCTTAATGACTAATGCTTCTTGTGTCCTAGTTAAGGACCTTTGCCTAGCTCATGAAGGCAATGAACATTATCTTGTGTATCCTCTAGAAGCTTTTTAATTTAACCTTTCACATGTAGATCTACAACCCATCTACATTTAATTTTTGTGTATGGAGTGAGCTAGGGTTGAAATTCATTTTTTTTCAATGTGGCTGTCCTTATGAATATTTAAAAATCATTCTTTTCCCACTGGATGTTTTTGTTTCTCTTTTTTTCTCTTATCTTTTTTTTCTTTCTTGCCATTGATCTATTTTCCCAAAAGCAGTTATACTAACTTACCCAGTACCTTTGTACTGATATCACAGCTTCAAATCTGGTCATTTAAATCCTCCGACTTTGTTCTTGGAGATAAACAAGGCTCTTATTGATCCTCTGCATTTCTGCCTACATTTTTAAATATCAGCTACTCAATTTCCACACACAAAAATACAAACTTGTAGTGATTCTCATTTAGACTTCATTGAATCAAAAGTTCAATTTAGGGAAAGTTACTATTTTTGTAATATTCTAATTCATGGAAATTATTTATTTATTTTCTTGTGTTTATTTTTCTTTTTTATGTTCTTTTTACTTTCCCACAAAAGCATTTCATAGTTTGTTGCATAGAAGTCTTTCCTCTCTGCCTCAGCTTGAAAATTTTTTACTGGCCTACATTCTAAACAACAAATCTGCTCTCCAGCTGTGTGATCCCCTAGTAATCACATATGTGACACGGTTAAATCAGATATTGTAATTTTCATTTTTTTTCTTCTTTCTTGGTTTTGTTTGTTGATATGCCTGGTACTGTTTATTAAATCCTAAACACTATGAAAAATCATGTAAAATTTCTGAATTATTTTATGTAATTTCAAAAAGGATTTTCTTTGTCTTCTTGAGGCAGATCCCTTAATCCAATCAGAAATTGAGCTGGTTTCAAATTGGATTTTAGTCTTACAAGGCTTTATCTAATTTCTGGCTTGCCCTTATTCCTGAAATATAGTACAATCAGCCCTTAGTAACCACGGAGAATTGGTTCTAGGGCCCCAAGCAAATACCAAAATCCACAGATGCTCAGGTCCCTTTTGTAAAATGGTATAGTGTTTTCATATAACCCACACATATCCTCTTATATATATAATCATCTCTAGATTACTTATAAATTCTAATGCAATGTAAATGCTATGTAGTTAGTTGTTATAGCCTATTGTTTAGGAAATAATGACAAGAAAAAAAGGTCAGTACATATGCAATACAAACAACCACCTTTTTTTCTCCCCTGAGTATTTTCAGTCCTAAATTGGTTTAATCCATAGACGCAGAACCCACCATTAGGGAGGTCTGACTGTACTTCACGGGTTTCAGCTGGGTTAATAACTAGGCTCTTCTCCTTTGGCAGGCTTTGAACCACATTTTTTTCACTGCAGTATCATGAGATATCCAAGAATTCTGCATCAAGTTTTTGGCCTCTTAGCAACTGATTTCTACTCAGTTTATCTACCTTTCAGCAGGAACAATTTAATAATCAACCAAAAACTTTACGAGAAAAGCAGCTCAGGGTGTTGGTCTCATTTCTCTCTGCTTCCCTTTCCTTTGGAATTTTGGCCCCTCAAGTCCTGGTTGCCTTAGCAGGGCTGAACATCAATTTTTGTCTCCCTGGGGCCACGAGACTCACAAAAGCTCTGCTCAGAGTCTCTTCCTCTTTGCCACTGAGTTATTCCTGACTCACTTGCTCAGCCTCTTTGCCCAGGATATGGACAGGAAAAAGCCTTAGGGGAAAATCAGCATAGAATGGCAGGTTTCTCTTTCCCTCAATGAGCAGGCTTTCTCTTTAAGATACTGAACCCTCAAATCTAGTCCATTTTAGTGAGTCTTTACTCAGATTGTGTGTGTGTGTGTGTGTGTGTGTGTGTGTGTATGTGTGCATACTCTACTCAGCTTTTCGTTTTGTTATTGATAGCAGGTTTTGTCCACCTCTGGCTGGTCCTTCAGAGCTGTTAGCTGAAGCAGTGTCTGATAGATTGAAAAAGCAAAAAATAAAGGACTCATAATAACCTTTCTAGTAAATATCCTTTTTTGCCCCTTTAACATAGCCTGAAAGAAGGAATGTGAAAAAAAATCTCAGAATTATCAAATTTCCCCATAGAATTTCATGCCACTGATAATATTTCAGGCACAAAATGTTTTCTGTTTTTAAAGTTTTTCCATATATTGGACTATAAATTCTTAAATTATCATATATATGGTAGTCCTTAGTGCTGGTTTCCAGATATTCTGGTTCTTCCTTCTTCTGGCACTTCCACCTTCTAGAGGATTCCCCATCCTGGCTCCTCTGTGGTGGGATACAACTTGCTCTGGCCAATGCATTGTGAGTATAAGTAAAGTGCCTGTATTAGCAGTTATCTCATTGCTATAAAGAAATACCTGAGACTTGGTAATTGATAAAGAAAAGAGGTTTAATTGGCTCATGGTTCTGCAAGCTGTACAGGAAGCATAACAGCTTCTGCTTCTGGGGAGGCCTCAGGAAACTTACAATCTTGGTGAAAGGCAGAGGGGCAGCAGGTGTGTCTTACAGCCAGAGCAGGAGAAAGATAGAGGGGGGAGGTACTACACACTTTTAAACAACCCAGAGCTCATGAGAACTCACTCGCAACAATAGTACTGGTACTAAACCACTCATGAGAAACCACCCCCATGACCCAATCACCTCCCACCCAGCCCCCACCTCTAGCATTGGGGATTACATTTCAACATGAGATTTGGGTGGGGACACAAATCCAAACTATATCAGCCCCCCATTGAGACCCCCAGAGTTATTTTCTTCTGCCACTGTGACCATTACTGGTCTAAACTGTCCTGCATTTTAGGGTGAAAATGAGAACAACATGGAACAGAATTCCTTCCTAAGCCTCAGGAGATAAATAGCATGGGCAATAAATTAACCTTGTTTTAAATCATTGAAATCATGAGGTTGCTTGTTACTGCATCATAACACAGCTTATCCTGATTCATACATTAAAGATTGCAAGAAATATATAGAATCCCATTTTATTGATAAAATTAAACAAGGCTCAGATTCTTGCTCAGAAAAGCTCCTTGCGAACATGAACATGTCTTATTTATTTTTATTGGCCCTTCATCTAATATAGCTTAGCTAAACTATGCAATACAGAAGATGACTGAGGAATTTCTGAGACGACTGGATGAATGACCAAATAAATTCCTTTGTGTGAGTCAGTATACATAAGAAGACAGGAAGGCAGGATATTATGATCTCACAAGATAAATCTGGATTCAAATCGTGGTTCTAACTTTATCTATGTGACCCTGAGCAAGTATCTGAATTTCTCTAAGTCTCAGCTTCCCAAACTGTAAAATGAGAAAAATAATATCTGCCTCTAAGGGTTGTTAGGAGAATTGAAAGAGATAACTTTGTGATGACATTAGCCTACATTCTGGCACATACTAATACTAAAAAATGGCAGGCATTATCATTATCCCTCAAAAATTAGCGGGAAGAAAGAAAAGTATAGGAATCAATGTAGGTGGGGGATGTCAATATTTAATAAGTCACTGGTAACTTTTCTCTAGATTTATATCAAAGTCAAAGAAAAGGAATCTGGAGAACAAAACAAAGCTAGTTTCCAGAAAAATTAATGAAAGGCAAAAATAACTGAATCCATTAATCCATTCAAGAAACTATGAAATTAAAATATGAGGTGTGAATATGTACATATGTGTATTTTATATATATATATATATACACACACACACACACATATATATATAGGAGATGTATTTGAAATTTGAGACATGAGATGGATGAATAAGCAGGTAAACAGACAGATACATACTAGTTAGATATTAAGTGTAAGGGTTATATTAAAATATATTGGCAAAGCTCTCTTGAATAGAATCACTTTAGTGCAAATGAGAAGAGTTTCTAAGAAGAGAATGATTGTTACTTGGACATGGAGTCATTAAAAGGAAAAGACTAACAGCCTGGAAAAATGTACGTCATTTATGCATGCCGATGATGACACGAAACTTCCGAAGTTTCATTTTAAGAAATCCAGACTATAAGCAAAATACTTCTGATCACTAATGTTACAAAGATTTTCCAGAAAAGCCATGTTTGAGCTTCAGAGAAGTGGGTAATAAGATGCTAATGCAATCTCTACATCTTAAGGCTTGAATGGGGTGGACATCCAATATGGCGCACTCACAAAGCTGGCAGCTGACGCCGTCATCTGGGAGCATAGATGGGCTTGTTGACTAGGCCTACACATGGCCTCAGCATGACAGCCTGATTCAGAGGCCAAAGCCCAAGCAAAAGGTACCAGTCCTCTTAAAGACTAAGTCCAGAATGGCATAGCATCACGTTCACCAAACTCCATTGGTCAAAGTAGCCCCAGGCCAGCTAAGATTCAAGTGGAAGAGAAATAGTATAGTGTCTTAGTGCATTTTGTGTTGCTATAAAGGTATACCTGAGGCTGGATAATTTATCAAGAAAAAGGGTTTATTTGGGTCACAATTCTGGCTGGCTGGAAAGTTCAAGATCGGGCATCTGCAACTGGTGAGGGCCTCAGGCTTCTTCCAGTCATGGGTCAAGGTGAAGGAGAGCAGTTGTGTGCAGAGATCACATGGCAAGAGAAGAAGAATGGTGGGGAGGCATCAGGTTCTTTTTACAACCAGCTCTTGAGGGAACTAATGAAGTGAGGACTCACTCACCCCTGAAGAAAGAGGGTATTAATCTATTCCTGAAGGATATGCCCTCATGATGCAAACGTCTCCTATTAGACCCCACTGCATCCAACACTGGAGATTGAATTTCAGCATGAGGTTTGAGGGGAAACATTTCCAAACCACAGCAGACAACCATCAAAAGACTGTCAGATAATTTGCATCCATCTTTATTGTGCCACACTCTAGTACGTAGATGTCACTATGCAAATATCTTTCTAATGAGTGGGTGATTAAATACTTGGCCACCTTATGCTGTTCCTGACAAGGATGTTTTCTTTTCCTCTACCTTTGAATATATCAATTTTCTACACGTTCCAAAATTTTTAATTCTTCTCTTCCACTTTCCATTGTTACTTGGAAACATTGTTACTATCTTCCCTCCTTTTCCTCCTTCTTATCAATTTCTTCCTTTTCCTCTCCCTTTCTCTATCCTGCTCTCCCCAACACACACACACTGATATGGTCTGGCTCTGTGTCCCCACCCAAATCTCATCTTGAATTTTTTTTTTTTTTTTTTTTTTTGAGCAGAGTCTCACTCTGTTGCCCAGGCTGGAGCCATCTCGGCATACTGCAACATCCACCTCCCAGGTTCAAGCTACTCTTGTGCCTCAGCCTCCCAGATAGCTGGGACCACAGACATGCACCACCATGCTGAGCTAATTTTTGTATTTTTAGTAGAAACGGGGTTTGGCCATGTTGGCCAGGCTGGTCTCAAACTCCTGACCTCAGGTGATATACCTGCCTCAGCCTCCCAAAGTGCTGGGATTACAGGCATGAGCCCCAATTCCCAGATTCATCTTGAATTTTAATACGAATTGTAGTGCCCACGTGTTGGGGAAGGGACCTTGTGGGAGGCGATTGGATCATGGGGGCAGTTCCCCCATACTGTTCTTGTGATAGTGAGTGAGTCTCACGAGGTCTGATGGTTTTATAAGGGGTTTTCCTCCCCTTTGCTCTGCATTTCTTTCTCCTGCTACCTTGTGAAGAAGGACGTATTTGCTCCCCTTCCACCATTATTGTAAGTCTCCTGAGGCCTCCCCAGCCATGCAGAACTGAGTCAATTAAACCTCGTTCCTTTATAAATTACCCAGTCTTGGTTATTTCTTCATAGCAGAGTGAAAACAAACTAATACACACACACATCTCCCATGACATGGGACAATGGCAGTAATAAGACAGAGCTGGAGACTCAGGCCCACACGGCTGGTGTAGATGCTTCTGGTAAGTCATGTGTTTGCAAGTTGGCAATACCCCCTTTGAAGCTTGGAAGCAAAAAGAAAGAAAACAGCAGATGTATATTTTTCTTCATTGTACAAATTTGTGGTTTCAAGTCTACACTTTACAAAATATGATTTTCCTTTTTCAAATAAAAAAAGACTGAAAGATCTATAAATCACAGAGGCATCACTGAGTAACATCTTGATGATTTAAGTGTAAATGCGTAAGAAACATATGGATTCCATTTCATACAAAGAACACACATTGGGAGTGAGTGGGGGAAGCATCTGGCAAATCATGTTTCTGGTTTGGTAGAATTCACAGAATTGGGAGGTGTAGTTCAGGACATGAGCAGCCCAAATGCCAAGTGTGGGCTGAGCTCATTTCAACCTGATGCCAAGGCAAAGCTGGAGTTTTCATTCACGTTCACATACACCTCACTTAGGTCTTTTTCTTTTTTCTTCACATTATAGACTTGGCAAAATTTAAAGATTCCTTCCATTTTGGATTCATATGAGCTCTAGGTCCTGGCATGAGGAAAGTAATCTAATACAAAATGACATAAAGTTTGGGAAAAACGACAATTTGATCTCATGTTCACTTTAATATGGAAAGGTTGAATAACATTCAATTACAATTCATTCCAATTTTCATCTTCTCAATGAAAGACGAGGGGCTGCTGAAGAGGGGTAAGCAGGGAAGATTCTAGCATCTGTGGGTGGGGTGAGGTGGGGAAGGGGTTCTCCTGGAGCTGTGAGCAGCCCTGCAAAGATTCAAGAATGCAGAACAGTTTGCATTGACATGATCGTCTACCTTTCCTCCCTTTTGGTGACTAACTAATTCACAAGAAGTGCTTAAAAAGAACAGAATTACTTTGCTCTGGATTAGACATCAAGCATTTGAGAAACGATGATCACTAAATCTAACCAGAACTATAGATGGGGAGAAGAGAAGGAAGGCTGGTAGAAAGACAATTAGAGATGCTACGCACGTGTAAGGGTGTCAATTCCATCCCCAGGTAGGATGACAAATTTGAAAGTTTGTTTCTGCCTGTTGATCTACACAGACCCCAGCAGTGATCTGTAAATGGAATGAAGACCATCTGCATTGATTTGCACTCTTAAGTGTATTGTGCTTTCTGCCCCTCTCATTATCCTAACTCTGGCCATTCTCACAGGGATTCTTCAACTGCCCAGGTCCTGACCTCCACCTCCAATAGCAGAGCTGCACAAAATATCAGAGCGCTCTTCTGAAAAGGCAAGTCTGATCATGCCACTCTCCAGCTAAACAGCCTTTGGTGGCTCCCCAGTGCTCTCAAACTAAGGCCTGACTTCTGCAACATCTCAGAGGAGGCACAGGACAGTCAGCACCCAAGCACAGCCCTCTGGCCGCATCTGTTCACGCCCATAACCTTCACCTTCTAACATTCTGTTTTCTACCCATCAGGAATTTATTTCAGCTTCTTAAGCTCATGGGGGTTTGTTGTTGTTGTTGTTGCTGTTGTTGTTGTTTTACTTTAGGCTTCCTCTCTGCCTGGGATGCTCCTCCTTCCCCTGCCTCCCTACTTTCTCTGGCTCTCACCTATCTTTCTCCAGATCTGGGGAATTTAGCCCAGATTCTTTGGGCTGACAATTGAAGTCTTTCTCCACATTCTTTCGACAGCCTTTACTCACTTAGAGATGCTGTGACCTCCCCTGTGATTTGGTCCAACTGAAGACTCCTTGCTAACAGAAGCAAGGCATCCACTCTCACGTCTCCAGCACACATAGCACCATGCTTGGCACTTATTAGGTGCTCAGAAACAAGTCTGAATTTAAACCCCATTATGCACTGCAGTGTGCAGGTGTGACAACTTTATGTGTCAGCTTGGCTAGACTACTGTGCCTAGTTGTTTGGTCAAACACCAGTCTAGATGTTGCTGTGAAGAAGGTATTGTATAGATGTAATTAACATTTACAATCAGTAGACTTTAAGTAAAGTAGATTATCCTCCATAATATGGGTGGGTGCCAATCTCTTCTAAGACGAAGGCCTTAGGAGAGAAGCCTGAGGATCCCGAAGAAGAAGGAATTCTCCTTTAGACTACACCTTAGAAGCCCTGCTTGAGTTTCCATCCTGCTGCATTGTAGAATTGGACTCAAGAACGCAACCTCAACTCCCACCTGAATTTACAGCCTCGGAGCTGGACCTACAGACTTCAGACCTGCCAGGTCCACAAGAGAGAGTGTTAGTTGTGGGTCTGTCAAGTCTATAGATACATGGTCATATACGGCCTAACGAGAGGGATACTTTCCGAGGAATGTGTCATTAGGTGATTTTGTCATCACATTAACACCACAAAGTGTTGTAGATGACATAGCATGCGACACACTCAGGCTAGATGATCTATTGCTCCTGGGGGGGGACAAAACTGTACAGCACGTTACACTACTGAATACTAGAGGCAATTGCAACACAATGGTAAGTATTTAATCCCAGCACTTTTGGAGGCCGAGGCAGGCAGATCACAAGGTCAGGAGATCGAGACCATCCTGGTCTCGATGGCAAAACACCATGGCAAAACATGGTGAAACCCCGTCTTTATTAAAAATACAAAAAAAAAAAAAAATTAGCCGGATGTGGTGGCGGGCGCCTATAGTCCCAGCTACTCAGGAGGCTGAGGCAGGAGAATCACTTGAACCTGGGAGGCAGAGGTTACAGTGAGCCGAGATCACACCAATGCATTCCAGCCTGGGCAACAGAGCAAGATTCTGTTTCAAAAAAAAAAAAAAAAAAAAAAAAAAAGGGCGGGGTGAAAGGGCACACCTGTATAGGGCAATTACCATGAATGGTGCTAGTAGGACTGGCAGTTCCTCTGCATCAATCAGTGAGTGGTGAGTGAAGGGGAAGGCCTAGGACATTACTGTGCAATACTGTAGACTTTACAAATACTGTGCACTTGGGCTATACTACAGTTATTAAACATATTTGTTTACACCAGCATCACCACAAACACGTGAGCAATGCATTCTGCTATGATGCTACAATGGCTATGGTGTCACTAGATGATAGGAATTTTTCAGCTCCACTGTATGTTATGGGGCCACTGTCGTATATGAGATGCATCATTGACCAAACTGTCATTTCAATGTGTATGTGATTTTCTGTGTGTATGTGATTTTCTGATGGTTCTGTGTCTCTGAAGAACTCTAGTATAGTTAGAAAGGTAACATCACCAATTTCTATTTTGACTCTCTATTCTTTCCATGAAACTCAAAACTCATCTCCTCCAGTTTGGCAATGCCCTCTAGCCCAGAGTAGATGCCCAGTCCCAAGGCTATGCCATGCCAAGACATGGGCTGGGAAAGTGAGGCCCAGGTCTTCAGTAACCCTCTATTTCCAGGCAGGAACCTGCTGAGGGGGCATTCACCCCACCTGACCCTACATCTTCTTTGCCACACAGGTGAGTGGTCCCATCTGCCAGGCCCCTTTAGGCCTGGATTTCTCTCCCTCAACTACCTTGATGCCCCTCTGGAACTGACAGATGTCATTCTGCTGTATAAAGAACTAAGAAGCACTCAGAGACCTGTCTACCTTTGTAACCCAAACAGCCCCGAGTGTAAGCCCTTTCTTCCTTTCCAGAGTTTTATCCAGGAAAGAAGGCCCTGCCCAAGGTCTACACCCAGGAGGGCTCAGCAGCGTTTCCCTGGGACACATCAACTTCTAAGTTTCCCGCTCTCTAATGGGTTGAATAGTGGGCACGAAAAAGATATGTTTGTGTCCTAAGCCCCAGAACCTGTGAATGTGACCTTATTTGGGAAAAGGGTCTTTGCAGATATCACTATGTTAAGGACCTCCAGACGAGATCATTGTGGATTATCCAGGAGGCCCCTAAATCCAATGACAAGTGTCCTAATAAGCAAGGTAAGAGGAAAAGACACAGACCCAGAGGAGAAGGTCACATGAAGAGGCAGAGATTGGAGTGATGCAGCCATAAGCCAAGGGACACTTGGAGCCACCGGAGCCTGGAAGAGGGAAGAAGCCTTCTCCCCTTGAGGCTTTTAGGAGAGAACAGCTCTGCCAACACCTTGACTTCAGACGTCTGGCATCCAGGACTGTGAGGGAATAAATATCTGTTGTTGTGAGCAACCAAGTTTGTGTAATTTGTCACAGTACCTACAGGAAATGAAGACACCCCCGATTGCCTTCCCTTTTAAGGGATTCTTTAGTAGTCAAGATGAGGCATGGTAGGCTACCCTTACTCATCATAAAATTCCCCTCATCTAATGCCTATGCCAGGAGTCTTTTCCAGTCCCCCTTTGTACTAGGGTCCCGGTACTCAGGATATCAGTAAGAAACTAGCTGATTAAACAGGAGGGGGATGAATATGGAAGGTGAAAAACATTACATCAGGGAAATCCCTTTCAAGTGATCTTTCCTGAAAACATTAAGAAAAAGACTATTTTCTCTAAAATTGTCCTGAATTCTCACTTGGAGGGTAAGAACACAGTCCAATAGCCACATGACTTGGGACTTCATCACAAACGCTGCTTTTTAAAAGGCGGAAGTCAACCCATCCCCATTCTTGCATTTGCTTTTATAAGCGTACAACCATCTTTGCTAGATTTCCCTAATGTGGGAAGTCAACTCTCTGTGACCAAAAGAATTCCCATTCACTAGGAAATGATTTCCGGAGTGAAACTTCTTTGGCCCAGCAGTGGTTCCTGACTATTACTTGTCATCACTATGCATCTGAGACTCTGACTTCTCTCTCAGTTCCATAGGTTTTCCTGGATGCCTTTTCCCAATAACAGGGAAACTGCCAGGCCTTGAAAATCTCCAAGGCTCTGCATGCTATGCTGACCCCAGAGCCCTTCTGCTGAGTAAAGTTATAAATTACCTGTCACTGTCATCGTACAATGATTCTGTGCTGGCTTTGCCATCATGCAGACCTGGGTTCAAATTCTATCTTTGTTTTAATGGCTGTGTGTCTTGTAGCAAATTATTTAAACTCTTGGAGCCCCAATATCTTTCTCTTTACCTAAAGTAAGAGAGTTATGATATGAAAAGGAATTAGTACTAATTGTGTCATCTTTTCTCTAAGATTTTTTTACTTGTTCCTAAACTGATTCTTTACCAACCATACTAGAATATAAGGTAACTATTAACCATAGTGCTCTATACGAATGCTTAATAATACAGAAAAGGTCTGTGTGGTATTACTACATGAAAAAAGGATATTAAGCAGTATGTGCAATATGATTTAAATTTATATCTAAAAAAAGAAAGAATCTATAGAAATTATTGCATAAAAACTTATAGAGGAATAGAAGACATATACTGAAACAAATAGTGGTCATCCCTAATTGGTGGTATTTTATGTGTTGTAAATGTGTCTTTTTCTTTATATTTTTCAAATTTGCTGTATTATACTTACTTATAATCAGAAAAAAAATCCTGAATCTAAAATAAAAGTTAAAAAAAGAAAGAAAAACATATTTGGTGCAACTTTGGATAAGTCACTTAGCCTGTGTGCTTATTAGAAAATAAGAGCTTTTCACTATCAAAGGACTATATATGTGTGTGTGTGTGTGTGTGTGTGTGTGTGTGTGTGTGTGTGTGTGTCATTGGACTAAAAGGGAAATTTTAGCAACAAGTAGAAGCTCAGTTGCTCTAAGAATGCTGTCTGCTGTGTACCTGTGAGGGAGTGCATATGTGTAGCTGTGACATCTACTAATGCAGTAAGGGCGTGGACTTCATGGGCATGGACCTTGCAAGGGCCTGCGGGTATCTTGCACTCAAAAGGGCCTTGAGCTTGGTCCAATGTGTTTTGGCCACCATCTTGAAATTCTCAATAAGTTTTGGACCAGGAACCCACATCTTTATTCTATACAAAACCTCAAAAATGATATAGCTTGTCCTGAGTGTAGGTGACTGTGTGCATGTGCGAGTGTATGAGGTCTTGTGTATATTTTAAGAAATTGAATACAGTGAGAATGATGGATGCTAGATGAGGGAAGGAAGTGTGTGCAAACATGGCCAAGCCCGGAAGAAGCTAAGGCAGAAATGAAGTCAGAGTCTACTGGGAACTGACCAAGTGGGAATGGTAGTTGATCTCCTTTTGAAATATATCATAAATGTATATACTTAAACATATCTTATATATAATTTTTGAAATATGTAATTTGCTTGCAAACAAAACCAATTAATTCTACAGATTAAACTGAACTCTGTTTAAGGGGCTTTCTCCTCTTTCTCCTTGGTTCATATTAAACATTTGAGAATTTATTCTCACTTTAGATAAGATTCTAACTGAAATGGAAGAAAGCTCTATGAAAATAAAAAGGCTTCTTCTAAATGAATCAGTTGGCTCTGTGAGGGAAAAGTATTAGCTAGAAAGACACAGAGTTAAATTGTCCATAGGATCCGTTTCTGCCACTGAAATCCTTAACATGATCTATTAACCCGGAGATAAAAGATATCTTAGGGATTTGTGTAAGACTTGGCCGGATGCCCCCAGCTTTGCTCATCCTGACACTGAAGGCTAAGGTAATGAGGCGGGATGATAGAGGATGGGTGATCGTGGTTGGCTGCAGGGACTTCATTTCAGTGAATGTGATTGCCTATTTTGAAGTTGTATTTACCATACTGTCTGGGACTTTGGGGTGATGTCATCTTATCTCTGGGAGGAAGCTGGTTGCTGCCTGTTTCTGAATTAATCAGTTCCTTTCTTAGAGAAGTACCAGATTTTACACCAAGTAATTGAAAAGCCAAACGTTTGAAATCAGGGTCACCATCCCAAGAATTACTCAATCTCTCTTGGACCAAAGAATCCTTTTCTTATGTGTTCTTTTATAAGTGCTACAGATTTATTTTTTAATCATAGTAGCTAATTTTTAATTATGGAAAAATAATATGAAACATAGAAAAATTTTTGACACCCCTGTGTTTGTCTTTTTCAAACTGCCTCAGCATTCCAGGAGCTATTTTAAATATTGGATACAATGTGCTCTATTATTTGACATTTACATCCTTTGTTACTTTTAGAAATTGGGCACATTCAAGCTCACAGCTAAAAATGGGAATTTACAAAAATAACGGGTAGGTGTGTTGGTAGCAAGGAGCAATGGTCAACTTTGCTCCTTGCTCCCTACAGAAAAGATGCCCGTGTCTATATTAGGCAGATAAACTTTTAATGTTGTAACTTTTATTCAAATTTCATACTTACAAATGCTAATTTCATGCCCTGGCATGGTGCAGAGGTTAAAAATCTTTTCTCCCTTGTAGGTGAAATGTATCAACCAATTATCCTTCTTATCATGAAGAGTTCAGTAACTCCAAATTCCGAAATTTAAGAACCTTAGGATAGGTCACTAATTTTCTTTAGCTAAAAAGTATAAAATAAGCACAGTGTGTTTATCTAGGACAGTGATTTTTACACTACAAATACAGTTATAATTTTCTTAAAACTAGATATGAGTATGTTCTAAAAGGTTACACTCAAAAATCAAAATGGTTTTTTGATCTGTTGGTAGAGGTGATTTCTTTTATTTTGATTTTCCTTGCTATGTTACCAAGTTCCATATACTCAAAATGGTTGAGACATTGCTCTTATTTTCTGGATTTTTTTTAAAGGCTCAAGCAGTCAGATTCCACAACATTTTGTACTCTTTAAGAAGACTGGAAAATGCAAAGTGCCATTTAGCCAGTTTGCACAGATTCCAAAAAATGAACCAGGTAAATTTCCTGGTGTAGTTCCCAGTGTATTAGACTTTCTATTGCTGCTGTAACAAATAACCACAAACTTAGTGGCTTAAAACAAAACAAATTTATTCTCTTACAGTTCTGCAGATTAGAAATTTGACATGAATCTCATGGGGCTAAAGTCAAGGGGTCAGCAGGGCTGCATTCCTTTCCAGAGACTCTAAGGCAGAATCCATTTTCTTGTTTTATTCAGCTTCTAGAAGCTGCCCACATTATTTGGCTTGTGGACTCCTCCTCCATCTTCAAAGCCAGCAAAGGGTGGTTGAGTCTTTCTCATGTCATGCCACTCTGACACTGATGCTTCTGTCTCTCGAGTCCACTTTTAAGGATGCTTGTGATTACATTGGGCCCATCCAGAGAGTCCAAGCCAATCTCCCCATTTCAAGGTTCTTATCACATCCATGAAGCTCTTTTGCCACGCAAGGCTACTTACTCGCAGAATGGCCACTGGTGGTTACCAACCAGTTTAAGTCTTCCTTCTTCCAATACCTTGTATGAGTTTGACCTCAGTCCATCCAATTCAGAACTTGACTATAAGTTATTAGTTCTAATTTACCATATACCTACTATTTCATTGAGCTTTGGGAATGTTAAGGATGTATCTGATCTCTTCACTGTATCGCTAGTTCACATGAGACAAATGGACTGTCAGTCTTTGCCCATAACTTCAGTGCCCAGCGGGGGAGTCCCAAGGATCCTCTCCAAGCCCTTCTGTGCCATGTTAATGAGGAGCCAAGAAGGGAGGTTCATTCCTTTCTGCTCTGCTTAAAAAGCATCCGTTAGATCTCTGCTTATTTTAATAAGAAAACAAATAAAAGGAAATTCTCTCAATTCACTTTTAAGAGTTCTTGAATCTATTTGAGAAGTGGAAGTCTCTTCTCTCCTCCAATATTCAAACTAATTCCTTGAAAGGTGATGGTTGGAGATCAGGAAAATTGTTTTCTACCCTCTGAGGGCCTTAACCCTCATCTATAAACAGGTCTGCACTGAAAACCACAGAGAGAGAGATGTCCACAAGTGAGCAAAATCATCCCATGGTTTAGGCTAGATAAACCTCACCAAAAAGGTGGCCTTTCAAAAGTGATGCTACATTTGTAAAACAAAGATCTGGGTTCTGTAGCTGTCCAAAGAACCCCATCAAAAGAAGGAATCAGGCATGTATCTACTGTCTATGTTTCTCTCCCAACAGGTCAACCCTTCTTCCCTACCTAATCCCCTTGCTTTTCTCTGCACAACCATTAGAAGCTTATAATAGAAATAGTTTTGTCTGTATGTAGTGGAAAACACCAGTTTAAACAGGATGTTGGAGATCACAACAGCTGACCCAGAACACAGGCCAGAGCAGACATGAAAGCACGAGCGTTTCATTCACAAAGGTTTTCTGGGACCAGCTCTTTCTCAGCCTAAACAGAGTCACGCACAGGCTGGCCCCGACGCTCTCACACTGCCTCCAGAGTGGAGGCGATTGCTTTGAAAGCTCTGCAGAGCTGCAGCCTCCGTGGATGGCAGCCATGAGCAGGACTGGGAGCAATTAGGAGTTGAAGGGCTTGTTCCTCTCCAAAGCGAGCCCTTCTGCCAGCGACTCCCCTTGAAGAGCATGAGGGAGGGAGCACAGGCGTCCCACGCCTACTTGTTTTCTTTGCTTTCAGTGGGACAGTTTCAACTGATTTTGATTACCCTGGCGCCAAATAAATGAAAACATTTCATAGACATATAATCATCCATCACTGTGAAGAAAGGAAAAATGTTTCATGTTCAGTATGTTTATAAATATACTTAATGAAAAAAGGACAGTGCTGTCTTTCCTACCACCACACTGCTGCTGCTGTTGGCCAGATAGTCCTGCTTTCGGATCACCCCAGATCCCCCGCCAACCTGGCCTCAGCCATTCTGCTGATAGCCTGATGGCGCCCAAGTCGGTCAAGAGGAAAGGCCTGCCCCTCCAAGGCCACCTTCTAATCTCTAGCCCCTTTCCTAAGCAAGATGAGACAGTGTGCAGGGCCAGGAAAAAGGTATGTGGCTTGCAAATTAGAAAAGCAAAAGCCAACCATTTTTTCCAGCTGACTTAAGGCAGGGCAAGTGAAACAGCACCATTTCAAAGGATTAACAGTTGCATGTGCAGAATCAGCACAATCCTCACCTGGAGTTTTAGTTTTTATGTTTTTATTCACATATATATATATGTATATATATATGTATATATATATATATGTATATATATATGTATATATATATATATGTATATATATATATACACACACACACACATATATATATACACATATATATATATATACACAGAGAGAGAATTCTAGTCATATATATGAATTTATGAATATATAGGAATTTTATTCATATATATAGAGAGGGGGAGAGAGAGAGAGAGAGAGAGAGTCTCACTGTCTCACCCAGGTAGAGTGCAGCTGATATAATCAGCTCACTGCAGTCTCCACCTCCTGGGCTCAAACAATCCTCCTGCCTTAGCCTCCCAACTACCTAGGACCACAGGTACACACTATCATGCCAAGCTAAATTTTAAATGTTTTTGTAGAGGTGGGGGGCTCACTTTACTGCCCAGATTGGTCTCCAGCTCCTGGCTCAAGCAATTCTCCCTCCTTGATTTCCCAAAGTATTGGGATTACAGGTATGAGTCTGTATCCCAATGTACATGCACCTGGTGAGGGTTTGGTTTTAAATGAATGCCACGCTGAGTTTCATACAGCATGTGGGTTCTTAGCACCAAGAAAGACCTACGTTGTTGGTCTGAGTATCCCATTTGTGTACATACAATGTGCAATGGCATTGAAGGTAATTTTGAGTTTAGGATTTATACTTGCAGTGATAAATCTTTTGAAGAATCAAATCTGAAGCAACAAATTCTCTCTGGTGTCTTTCTTGTCCTGGCTAGGTCTTTTAATTTTAGATCCCACATGTTCGTGGGCATAGTAAATGCCCACAGATCTGTCTCAGAGGCATCAGTTGATGACTAATAGTATACATGGTCAAACAATGTGGGCTGTCTCCTACACATATTTAATTATTTGGGTCTTTTTTTTCCTAAATGTCATTTCTCACAATGTGTTAAATATTGGCATTCACATTTGACTCATAAGCAGAGCCAGACCACTGGGGTTTGCAAGAAACTCTTTACAAGCCATTTATGCAAAAGACATCTCCATTTTAATCACAGAGCACCACAAGAGTGGGAAAATGCATCCATTCTAGTACTCCAAATTGCGCTCTTTTCAATGTCATAGGAGCCTATTTCTCACTTCCACAGGGCAGGGAAAGCAGCCCAGGCAGCAGTAAAGGGGGAAGGCCCCAAAGCACTGTGATGTCACGAAACCTGGAAGGGGAGAACCTGGGACTATATTTACTTTAAGAGCTTGTTAATTCTTCAAGCAGAAATAAATGCAGAAGTCCAGATTTTCAGTGTGCCACCTTCCTCTGGTATGGGAGTCACCTAGAGCAGGAATAAATGTCTGTTCTTGCAGAAGGTGGTGTCACAGCAGCACATTTAAAACCTCTTCATATTTACAACAGGCTCCCGTGATGTCTTGCAGCCCTGCACCACTATGTACAATCTTCTCTGACTCTCAGGATGCAATTTTCAGACCCAATCTCAGAGTGGAGTGAAAGAAATGTTGTTTATTGGGATTTACACATCCTCTGCGGATGCTTTTCAGAATCTGTCAAATTAGTGGAATTGCAGGCAGGCTCCCCAGCCTCAAATGAAATAACAGCAGTGATAGTTCACAGATGCTTTTTTATAATTTACAAA
Source organism: Homo sapiens (assembly GCF_000001405.40). Classification (NCBI taxonomy): domain Eukaryota; kingdom Metazoa; phylum Chordata; class Mammalia; order Primates; family Hominidae; genus Homo; species Homo sapiens. The sequence goes on along the minus strand of NC_000021.9, from coordinate 35,070,822 downwards.
GCAATTCAATGTGCATTGTCCCATTGAATTCTCATGACCATCTTAGGGAGGTGAGAAGTTGTGATTAAGGACATGACATGACTGCCTCATGGTCAGGCAGCCGTGAAAACACTGGGAACTCTAAGCCAACCAATGCCAGCCCCTCCCACTTTCCACTCCACAACGCCACTTCTCGTGCCTACAGTAAGGAAATGAGGGATAATCTAAGGCCACCCGGTGAGGTTTGGTCGTCACTATTTATTTATTCTATTTGTGGCAGGTTGATTCCAAAATTAACCCCAACTCTTCAGCCCTCCTTGTACACACACCCTTTGTAATGTGAGTTTGAATCTCTTCCAGTTAAGAGACAAAGTCTATTTCCCACCCTTTGAATCAGGGCTGGCCTTATGACTTGCTTTGGCCAATAGGATGTAGTTGATATAGCAATGTGCCAGTTCCAAGCTTTAAGACCTGCAGAGGCTGTACACATTTCTGCTTACTTTCTCTGTCACTTCCATGTGAACGTGACTGTGCTAGCATCCTGGAGGATGAGAGACCACATGGAGGTTAGTCCAGGTGTCCCAGCTGAGGCTGTCCTAGGCTAGCTGGCCCCAACATGTGAGAGAGCCCAGCCAATATCAACAGAACTGCTCACCCACCTTCAGCTGACCACAGTTGCGTGAGTGAGCTCTGCTGAGACCAGAAAATTTGCCCAGCTGAGGCATAAGGTGTGAACAATGATAAACATTCATTGTTGAATGCACGTAGGTTTTTGGCATGTTTGTTCTGCAGCATGATTGTAGCAATAGATAACTGATACACCACTTAAACAAAAACGTGATGGGCTCCTACAGCTTTCCAATTTTGAAAGGCACCAGAGCAATGAATTAGATATCCCCTGTAACCTCCAAATTTTACAATCTGTCAGGGAAGATAAGACTATAGCTATATAGTCTAGGGTGGTACACGATATTAATTTAATGAGTGATAAAAAGTGCTCAGAGTATTTTGAGAAAGGAAAGATTTATTGATCATTTTGAATTACGGCACAATCTAGAACTGCTAACTCACACCCTCTCTCATTGAATAAAATCTAAAGTAACCTAACTGTATTCTGACTTTTATAAACAAAAAGTAGGCCTGGACATGGTCAACTTATATTATCCCTCAACGATAATTTTAAATCTCCAAAAGAAATGTATGGCCCCTTTGTAGTATAATTGAACACCTTATAAACAATGTAAATCGTGGAGACAAGAAAGACAAGAAAATTTGGAAGCCACCTCCTACAAACCCTCTGAACTTTAGAGAAAATATTTCTATTAATCTGAAGCAAATGATCCTTGTGTTCATCTACAAAGCATGTGAAATTTGAATTCCTATTGAAACAAATCTCTTCTTTCCTATCTTAACTGAGTCTTGGATTAAGAACAAAAACAAAAAGGAAAGGTAAAGAATAGCTTGGACACTATTAGGCCATGGTGACTTGTGCAAAATTTGGAGCTAGCCTGCCTAAGTTTGAAGCCATGGCTCCCACACTTTCTATCTATGTGGACTTGGAAATTATCTACCTTCTTTTTTTTTTTTTGAGACGGAGTCTCATTCTGTCACCCAGGCTGGAGTGCAGTGGCGCAATCAGCTCACTACAACCTCCGCCTCCCGGGTTCAAGCCAATTCTCCTGTCTCAGCCTCCCGAGTAGCTAGGATTACAGGCGCATGCCAGCACACCTGGCTGATTTTTGTATTTTTAGTAGAAACAGGATTTCACCGTGTTGGCCAGGGTGGTCTCAAACTCCTGACCTCAGGTGATCCACCCACCTTGGCCTCCCAAAGTGCTGGGATTACAGGCGTGAGCCACTGCTCCCGGCCTATCTAGCCTCTTTATGCTATGGTTTTCTCATCTGCAATGAGAATGAAGATGAAAAAGGGGTAATGAAGATGAAAAAGGGATTATGAAGATTAAATCAGGTAATCCATGTAAGGTGCTTAGCGAGAGAGTCAATCTATGGCAGCTAATATATAACTAGCAAACTCTTAATGCATTTCATAGTTGAAGACATCAACATTAAATATTTTTGTCTTTTATTAATTTTTAATTCTCTTTTTTAAAACAGCAGTATTTTATAAGTCATCAACGATGGTTAATTTGATAATTAAAATAAATAAGATTATTACTTTCCTTTTCTGTTCATGTAAAAAAATCTTTCCAAGTGAAAATATGATCACTAGAGGAAGAGAAAACATTTCCTGTTATTATTCTTATTTTATATGTGTTTTAAAGACTATTCTCTTACTTTGGTTGAAATGCAAAACTTCATTTGTCCATGTCTACAAGAAATATTGGGTTTATTTGTTTAAGAGCTTAGATCTACTAAAAGATTTGAGAACTTATTAAAAGAGGAGTCATTTGGCAATTAATAAGATATGTAATATACCCAAGATGCTGGAAAAAGTGACAATGTGCTCAAAGTTAAGTAAATTTTACTCCCTTATCCCAGACCCCAGTGCATATAAAATCCCAAGCATGAGTGAATGACAAGGGGAAAAATAACAGAAGACTGAAGTTATTATCTAGAAAATTCTGGCCAGAAATTGACATAAATCAAAAATATATTTACAGTGTTTATCATCTGGATATTTTTTGAAAAAATAAAAAAATTACAGAGAAAACTCACCAACAAAGTCACAGGGTGTCAAAATCTGGAGAGATTTGCTTAAGCTAGATATCTGCCCCAAAGAGAAAAAAACTACTGAGGTTTAAATAGCCAAATAAGGGGTAACTAACATTATGAAGATAGTGAGGACAGTCAATGAGAGATTAATTTAAATAAACACACATGTTTAGTCTGAAAAGTCAAGGTGCAAAAGATGTGATTTACATTTTAACCCTTGTGAAGACTACAAATTAGAGTAACCACTAAGTCAATGCCAACTCATAAAATATTGGTAGCTAGGGGGAAGGGCTTGAAGTTTAAACAGAGTGGTACAAGTAGGACACAACTCTACTTTGCCCAGCAAATAAGTGTCTAGAACTTTATGTCACCTAAAACAGATTTTTGCACTCTTGATAAGCATGCTGAGGACAGGAACCCTGTTTTACGCATTTCTGAACCACTTACCTGCTTCCCCCAGAACCAAGACCCAAGTCCAATATAAACTAGTTACTAACAGAAGGTCTGTTAAATAAGTGAATAAGTAAAATGATGGTGAACTTAGATGAATGCATGGGTAGCGGATCCATAGTAATTTACTAAGGAAACACAAATTATTTGGGATGTAAGCCTTCCTTTTTTTTTTTTTTTTTTTTTTCTGAGACAGACTCTCATTCTGTCACCCTGGCTGGAGTGCAGTGGTGCTATCTCAGCTCACTGCAACCTCCGCCTCCCGGGTTCAAGCAATCCTCCTGCCTCAGCCTGCTGAGTAGCTAGGATTACAGGCATGCGCCACCACCCCCAGCTAATTTTTGTATTTTTAGTAGAGACAGGGTTTCACCATGTTGGCCAGGCTGATCTTGAACTCCTGAACTCGTGATCCGCCCACCTCGGCCTCCCAAAGTGCTGGGATTACAGGCGTGAGCCACCGCACCTGGCCAAGCTTTACTTTTTAATACATGAACATCTACTCTTCCTGTAAGAGTCAACCAACTAACAAAAAGGCAATCCTGGCATCAAATAAAGATAAAACAATGGGTTAGGTGGTCATTGGTTAGAGTCAATGTGTCAGTCAGGGTGGGCTAGATTAAGGCCACAAACTACACAAACTACCCGATCTCAGTAGTTTACAATCACAGAGATTGATGTCTTCCTCAGCTGATTGATTGATGGCTTCAGGTGAGTGCTGTCAAGACCTTGCTAGTCTCATGACAGGAAGATAAGCAAAAGATACAGAAGGTATGATGGCGAGCCACAGTGGGGCACAGAGAATATTCTGAATAGTAGCTCAGTCCCACTACCTGTTCAAAGAAAAACTTTAGACACGTTCAATTTAACAGAATGTAGGAACAAACAACGACTCATGAATCGGGCACCCCCCCACCCCGCCCCACCCCCAAACCAGAATAGATTCAGAGCAACCCCAGGACTGCTGCATGGATAATATTTACAGACAGAAAAAGAAAAGTGACGTACACAAAATAGAAGTGGGTACAGAAACAGCTGAATTGGTGATAGCTCAGTGTTCGCCTTTTAAGAACACAGGTTGAACAGTTGGTCCCCATGATTGGCTGAAACTCAACTGCTCAGATTGACTGAGACTTGGCTACTTGTTACAATCGTAGGCTACTGTCTGTTTAACCATCAGGTTAGGTTACAGTTTGCTATGCGTGGAGAAGCTGTTAGGCCAACCTTAAAATATGGATGGAGGCAGCTTTGGGCCAAACTTAATTCAATTTAACATACCCAAGATGATAATTCTAATTTTCAGGTAGGTGATTGCAAACATGCTTTCTACATGTTCCTATGGATAGCCCATATCATTGTTGTTCTAACAATTTTTCAAGAATTATTTAAAGAAACCATGTTCTTGATGTTTGGGGACCAAAGTAGAAAGTGACAAAAACAACTTCCTAAGTAATTTACTATCTGCAGGAGGGAGCATGAGTAAAAACCATGTCTACCCAGTCTTTCACTAATAGGTTTGGGGTAATGTTTCTTCCCTTTCATCATCATTTACGCAAAATGTCACATGGCACATTCGTTCATGTTAAACAGCAACACAACATCACCACCAAATAAGAGCTAATATGTACTTGGTAGTTAATATGTACCAAGAATTTTTCTAAGTGCTTCACAGGCATTAACCAATTTAATCCTCACAATGACCCTATGGGGTAAGAAATATTATTATTTCCATTTCACAGAGACCTTATGAAGGACTTAATGGTATTATTTCCATTCAACAAGTGAGAGAAAGGAGGCACAGATAGTTTAAGTAGATGGCTCAAGGACACGTAGCTAGTAGGTGGCTGAACTGGGATTACAAACCCAGGTAGCTCCAAGTTCATGTTCACAACCTCATTCTAAATTGTCTTGCTCAGTAAAACGGTGTCCAATACATAGAATGTGGTCAAGAAATGCTTGTTGAATGACTAAAGAACTCAGCCCCAAAGGTATGAAATGGTGGTGGTGTTTTTGAATGTCTCTCCCTATCTTCACCCTTAATCTCCACTTTCTAATTTTCTTTGGGATTTTTCTGCCAAAGCCATACTTGGGGGGGCGGGGAGGGGGAAAGAGAGGTCTAATTTTCCTTTCAACAATTTTGCAATTAAATGTTCCACAGATGACAACAAAACTAGTTATGTCCCTCCTCTTTCTCTGCATTAGTTTTCCCAGCACTATACATAACCTGTATCAGTTGTTTACTCAAAATAAATCAGGAGAGAACCTTCTTAAGAAAAGTTCCACGTCTTTGGCAGTATTGAAATCAGCTGTCCCAGGACAGAAGTGGGAGGGAGTCCTAGACCCAGATCTGGGACCCCCATCCCCATGAGGAAAGTCAGAAGCCAGCAGCCGCCCATCCTTGGGTGTTTTGTTGTTTGAGCATTTGCTGTCCGCCCATGGTGGTTGGTAATTGCTGGATTCATTGTATGCATTTGGTCTCTCAGGTGTATTTCCTAAACCAACATAAAAAGAAAATGATAAGGGCAAGCGCGTGGAGGTGTTTATGTTTTCAGCTCCAGCCAATTACTTGAGACCTAAAACAACAGTTAGTGCAGATGGAAGGGTGCGGATTATGATGCGGACTACAATGGAAACCCAAACCTTCTCTTGCAGAGCGAGCCCGGCACCCAGCTGTCGTCCACTTGCATTTAGTGTAGCTGCCACCCAGCAATTAACGCGCCTGGGCTCTCCTTTGGAAACCGAGCAGAGAAGAACAATACCACAGCGAGTTCGCCTGGACCCGAAAGCAGGTGAGTCCCGCATGGAGAAAACAAGGTAAATGATCCCTTTTGCCATTGTTTCTTACTGGTGGGCAAACCATTAGCAGGGTGAGCCTGGTATTTAACACTTCTCCAGGTCCTTGAAAAGGATGCAAGAAAAAAGGAAAAAAAAAAAATCCACAGCAGCCTGCAGTGATTGAAGTTCAATGGCGTACTCTATTATCTTCTCCTGTATGTTTAAATAAACCCCCAAAGCTTTCTGTTTCTTAGGTGAAATGTGTCCACATGCATGTCTCACATCTTGGCTGTCAACAGGGATTGCCAGATTAAATGAATTAAAGTAAATGAATTAAATCTGCCCAGTTAAGTTTGAATTACAAACAAGCAATGAATAATTCTTTACCCGTGTCCCATGCTGTATTTGGGACATGCTAAAAACTCATTCATTGTTTCTCAAAACTTCAGAGTTAACAATACATGCTGTTTTTTGTTTGTTTTTCTGTTTTGTTTTGTTTTGTTTTGCTAAGTCTGGCAAGCCTACCCTCAGTACATCAGAGAAATATGTCCTTGGTAGGGATAAACTTGAAATTCAAAGGAAGTGATGGGCCAAAAATATGTTTCTCCATTAAGGTGAGGGTTTGAAGTACGGTGGAATCACCTGATTTATCCAAATGTTTTCAGTCCACTCAAAAAGAGAGGGTAAGCTAAAGCTCCCTAGATTGGATAAGTGATAGGAATAAAAATGGAAGTCTTGGAGTTAAAATGTGTGTATGTTGTATATATTAATAGGTGAAGGGCTCTGAGTCTAAAGGAATTCATGGTTGAGTCTGCTTCTCACTACCTTCAGAAGCAGGTCCTAGGTAGTCCATGATCCACACTGTCCTGAATACAGCAGAACACAGAGACATAGTTGTCATCCCCGAGTCATGACTCCATCTCTTATTTTGAATTTCCTTTAGCTTCTCTGAAAAGGGTGCACTGCGAGGTACGCAATTCCAAGCAGGATGAAACTATTTTATCAGCATGATTTCCTGGTTTCATCTGAATTACCTGGGAGGCAGAAACCTAGAAGGCTGTTGTTGAACACTTGAGTAGATTCAAGGAAAAGATAGGTGGTGTGTGGGATTAAACACGAGTGGCAATATATTTATAACTCAGGCATCAGACAAGATAATCTCTGCATATTAAGATGCTGCAGAAAAAGGATTAATCCTTTAACTTATCATTAAATCAGTTATCTCCTCTAGATCTGCCCTCTGTGTGGTTGACTAACTACAGGAATGGGGAATACCCAAAGGTAATATGTTAGGGCTTGCCCAAACATTCGTGCCAAGTGAGGCCAGAGTTTAAAGTGAAATCAATATCCTGGACTAAAGCGTGTGTGTGTGTGTGTGTGTGTGTGTGTTTGTGTGTGTTTGTGTGTGTGTGTTTGTGTATGTGTGTTTGTGTGTGTGTTTGTGTTTGTGTGTGTATGTATGTGTGTATGTGTTTGTGTGTGTGTCTGAGTTTGTGGGTCTGTAGAGTTTTTGCAGTCAACCCTAATAATAGTAATTTATATTCTAGAAAAAAATGATTTTAAGTTTTATTTTTCTCAATTAAGACACAACTCTACGTTCCTCTGTAAGTAGACAGCAGGTATAGAGTGCCACAGAGAATGCAGCTAAATCAGAAACTTTCTGAAGAATCATTTTGCTGGACAGTCTTCTAATTGCTTCCTCTAATTATCATAAAAATAATAAAGATTTAGTAATGCCAATGAGTTAAGAAGTATTATATTAACTGTGTTGCACACTGAATTAAACAAGCCTTCTTGAGGGTCTCACGACAAAAGATAGACTACACTAACCCAATCACCTAAAGCCAAGAGCCGGGTCTTGGCCATATCTATATCCAAGTGTCCAACCCAGCATTGATAAGGGGAAGGGGATGAGTAATAATTAATAAATAAATCCACTGCTACTCACCCAGAAGATGTACAGACCATTATATAAACCATTATATAAGAGTCTTATCATGGATATAAAGAGTTATTTTAAACACAAAGAATTCTAATCATACAAGCCACTTAATTTTTTTTATTGTGGTAAAATATACATAATATTTATCATTTTAACTATTCATTCGTGTGCAATTCTGTGCCATTAATTACATTCACTTTGTTAAGCGACTATCACTGCTATCCATCTCCAGAATTTTATCTTTCCAATCTGAAATTCTATGCTCATCCAACAATGGTTTGCCTTTCCCTCAACCTGTCAGCCCCTGGTAGCCTCTATTCTACCTTCTGTCTCTATGAATTTGTCTATTTTGGCTACCTTACATAAGTAGAATCGTACAATATTTGTCCTTCTGTGTCTGGATGATTTCACTAAATATAATGCTTTTAATGTCCACCCGTGTTGTAGTGCACATCACAATTTCACTTCTTCTTAGGACAGAATAATATTTCACTTTACATGTACGCCACATTTTTTCTATCCATTCATCCATTCGACTCAATGGACACATTGTATTGTTTCCACTTTTTGAAAACTCACTTGATTTTTGTCTTTCACTATTCTTTTAAATATATTCAATGTGGGCGATCCTTTCTCTGCCTCTCACTTAGATAAGAAAAGTCCTATGGTCACTCTAAATCGCAGAATCTCAAATCATCAAAACTGAAAACTTGATTTGACTCCCATAGCCACAGTTGGAGCCTACTGGGGCGACTGCTTGGTTGGGTTAATGGAATGTGGCCAAGCTCCTTTCTTCCAGCAGCCTAGATTCCTCCATCCACCCTTACTCCTTGCTAACCAAGACATCTCACACTGCCATGCTGGGGAGGGTGAAGGGAGACAGGGAGGAGGATGGGGAGGCTGCTTGTCTGCTGCTAGTATCAGATGGCTCAGCTCTCTCTGGGCCTCATAGATGTTTATTGCCAATTGCTTCTGCCCTGTGTACTCTCATGGGTTCCACATTGATTGGCACTCCCATTAGGGTCCTTCTGCTGAAACTGCCCTTACAGAAGCTGTACCCTCTCTAGGCTATCGGCCCCTCCTCCCTTCCTTCTTGGCTGCTGCTCCCAGTGGTCTGTATCATAACCTCTCTGGGCTAAAATCTCCTTGCCTGAAAAGTCCACCTTCTTAGGCAAAATCCCTTTTAAAACAATGCCTAGCCAACATCTCGTTTAGGGATTCCATATTTGAGGATTCCTAAAGGGGCATGTGGGAAGTTCCTAATGCTATCCCTGTCTATCCTACTTTACAAGAGGACACTTCCACTCTCCCAGGGGATAAGTCAGACCTCGACTGATGGACGCATGCTCCCTGCATGATCCGATTCAAGCCCCTCTTGCTAGATTTCATGTGACAGACAGGCTCCCCTCTATGCTTTGGTCACTAAGGTCGGAGAAGACGAGTGCATCAGTTACATTTCAATCACTCTCTTCAAAGACTTCCTTCTTCAGTGCCCACTCTTGACCTTTTTATATCTTCCCTGAGGATCAGGTGTCCAAATAGTTCTTGAACACTCTTTGGAAATCCCTGGACACCTCACTCTGTTATCCCATATTCATCATATCTTAATAGCACCAGTGGCCACAGCATCCTGCCAAGACTCATCACCTACAGCTGCTGTGAACTGTCCTTCTTTTTGAAGGACCATCCCTATTTACCCCACAACAGCCCATCTCGAACATGCTTTCAAAATCTAGCTGTTGGAAGTCCTAGCCAAAGCAATCAGGCAAAAGAAAGAAGGTATCCAAATAGGAAAAGAAGAAGACAAACTATCTCTCTTCACTGGTGATATGATTTTATATAGAGAAACCCTTAAGACTCTGCCAAAAGACTACTAACTGATAGACAATTTTAGTAAGGTTTCAGGATACAAAACCAGTGTACAAAAATCAGTAACATATCTATACACGAATAATGTCCAGGCTAAGAGTCAAATCAGGAACACAATCCCATGTGCAATAGCCACAAAGGAAATGAAACACCTAGGAATACAGCTAACCAAGGAGGTGAAAGATCTGTACTAGGAGAACTTCAAAATACCACGGAAAAAAATCAGAGGTGACACAAATAAATCGAAAAACATTCCATGCTCATAGGTTGGAAGAGTCAATATTGTTAAAATGGCCATACTGCCCATAGAAATTTACAACACTATTCCTATCGAACTACCAATGTCATTCTTCACAGAATTAGAGAAAACGATTATAAAATTTATATAGAACCAAAAAAGAGCCCAAATAACCAAAGCAATTCTAAGGAAAAAGAAGAAAGCCAAAGACATCACACTACCCAACTTCAAGTTGGGTATAGCCTTCAGTATAAGGCTATAGTAACCAAAACATCATGGTACTGGTACAAAAACAGACATGTAGACCAAGGCAACAGAATAGAAAACTCAGAAATAAAGCTGCACACTTGGAACCATCTGACCTTTGACAAAGCCAACAGAAGTAAGCAATGGGGAAGGACTCCCTATTCAATGACTGATGCTGGGATTTCTGGCTAGCCATATGCAGAAGAATGAAACTGGACCTTTAGCTCTCACCATATACCAAAACTAACTCAAGATGGGGTAAAGATTTAAATGTAAGGTATCAAACTATAAAAATCCTAGAAGAAAACCTAAGAAATACCCTTCTCAGCATTGGTCTTGGCAAATAACTTTTGGCTAAGTCCCCAAAAGCAATTGAAACAAAAAAAAAAATTGACAAGTGGGTCCTAATTAAACTAAAGAGCTTCTGCACAGCAAAAGAAACTATCAATGGATTAAACAGACAACCTGCAGAATGGGAGAAATTATTTGCAAACTATGCATCTGACAAAAGTCTAATACCCAGAATCTATGAGGAACTTAAACAAATCAGCAATCAAAAAACAACCAATTAAAAAGTGGGCAAAGGACATAAACAGACACTACTCAAAAGAAGACATATCTGTGGCCCAAAAACATAAAAAAATTGCTCACTGTAACTAATCATCAGAGAAATGCAAATCAAAACCACAATGAGATACCATCTCACACTAGTCAGAATGGTTATTATTAAAAAGTCAAAAAACAACAGATGTTGGCGAGGCTGTGGGAAAAAGAGAATGCTTATAAACTATTGATAGGAATGCAAGTTAGGTCAGCCACTATGGAAAGCAGTTTGGAGATTTCTCAAAGAACTTGAAACAGAGCTACTATCATTATACCCGAAAAACACATGCACTCATATGTTCATCGCTGCACTTTTCACAACAGCAAAGACATGGAATCAACCTAGGTGCCCGTCAGTGGTAGCCTGGATAAAGAATCTATGGTACACATACACCATGGAATAGCACACAGCCATAAATGAGTGAAATCATGTCCTTTATAGCAACATGGATAGAGCTAGAGGCCATAATGCTAAGTGAATTAATGCAGGAACAGAAAACTAAATACCACATGTTCTTGCTTACAAATGGGAGCTAAATGCTGGGCACACATGGACATAAACTTGGGAATAATAGACACTGCAGACTACTAGAGTGGGAAAGGAGGTGGGCTGTGGATTAAAAAACTGCATATTAGGTACTATGCTCACTACCTGGGTACAACACACCCATGTAACAAATCTGCACATGTACCCTCTATACCTAAAATAAAACTTGAATTAAAAATAAGAATAAAAAATTTTTTAAAAAAAGCAGGAACAAGGAGTACTCAAAATCTTTCTTTACATGTAATTTATCTCTGTTCTATCAAGTACATGCTATATTAATATTTTTGAATTAAATTGAAACAGAAAAGCCATATAATCAACATATATATTCGAACAACATCAAAAGAGTAATCATTAACTTCATATTAACTTTCTATTCAAGCAGAGGAAGAACTGCTCATCTGCATGCCAGCAAAATTGGATGTCACCCTTCTGTTTAGTCTGATGAGGTGTCATGAAGGAACAGACCTCAAGTAACTCTTTCTTATCAAATCTGTTGACCTTTCCATAGTCTTTGTTTTTCATGCCTCTCTGTTTTCAGCATCTAACTCTGTTTCCCTTCCCTCCCTTGACAATTCTTCCTCCCTTGGCTTGCACTGTACTCCCTTTATCTTTGTCCTACTTCACTTGCCAGCCTTCCTCTGGCTCCTTTCTCCTCCTACTCCTTTCTTTTATTCATTCCCCACCTTCAGTTTTATATTCTCTTTTACTTTGCAAATTAACTGACTCAGTCTTGCAGCCACAGCTGCAGCTCCATTCTGATGCTTTCAGAATCTCTACCTCTTCTGCAGGAACTATTGCCACAATAATTCAGTCTTACAAGCCACCCAATAACTCTATGGCTTGAAACAACAATCCTGTATTATTGATCGTGTTTCTATGAGAAAGCAAGGCAGTCTGCTGGTTATGGCTGGGTTTGGCTGGCCAGTTCTTCTACATTGGGCTGGAGCTCAGTTAAGTGGCCAGTGGTCAGCTAGCTATCAGCTGGTCTAGGATAGCCTCAGCTGGGAAGACTGGCTCTTGTCTTCCATGTGTCTCACCTTCCCATACACCAGCCCAGCATATTCTGATGTGGAAGCACTTTTCCATTTTAAGCCTCTGGTTACATCAAGTTTGTGACTGTCCCAAAGCAAGTCATAAGGCCAAGCTCAGGGTCAGAGTGGGATGAGACCACAGTTACAGGGCAAAGGGAAAGATTACAAGGAGGTCCAAAAAACTGAGGCTCTTAATGCAGTCAACTATCACAGTCCCATTGCTTTCCATTCCTGCTACCCACATCCTTAGTTAAGGAGCTCGTTACTCCATAGCTGAATACTACAACCTCTGGTTCCCCAGCCTCTAGTCCTAATAAAGCCTCATCCATCCATTTATCCATTAATTCATTCATCAAAAAGTTTCTGCATATCAAACACAGTGATAGATGCTGGAGATACAGTAATGAGCAAAAATAGCCAAGACCTCTGCTATCAAGAGTCAATAGATTAATCAAATAATCATAGATGCCACTACTGGATCAATTTTCCAAAAGTTCTGATTTCATCCCCTCACTTTCCTGGGTTTTGGTGACTCCCCATTATGCACAGAATAAAAGCAAATTTGTCAGCCTGACCTTCAAGGTCCTCCTTTACTTGGACCAAGTTCTGTATTTCCAGACGGGTCCTTCTCTAGTCTCCTTCATCAGCTCCTCTTTCTCTGCCAGGTTGGGATCCTCACTTTCTTCCAAGCTGGGCTTATTTCTGATCTGCCTTTCACCTCATAGCCCTTCCCCTTCTTTCTCCTCCCCCTGTTCTTTTGTCGGTCAAAACTGTACACGTCTAGTACAGACAAAATGAAACTTGCATATGTTGTCAAGGTCCAGCTCAGGACTCCATTATTTTGTGGCTACAAGTTTTTCAGCCACAAAACCCCTTCCTGACTCAGACACCGCCCTCTGCCCAGCTCATGGTCTCTGCTTAGTTTCATGAGCCATACCCAAGGTCAGGACAATGGCAAGGCAAGAGAGGCACCTAAGGTGCAAAATTTAAGGAAGCCCTCACCCTTCAGGTTGTGCGACACGGGGTCGACACTGAGAGTCGATGCCTCTTTAAATTTTGCATCCTGGGAGCCTCACTCACCTTACCCTAGTTTTAATCCTGGCCATACCTGTGCTTTCAGTATTTGCTATTCATTCATTTCCAATGTGAATGGCTTATAAGACTGTAAACCTTCTTCTAAGTATAACCAACCAGGTTCATCTTGTCCATGGCTAGAAAATAAATACTCAGTGAAATAATTGAGTACTCAATAAATACTCAGTGAAATATATAAGGTTGCAGAGAAAGTGGGGTGTTCCTGATATTTGGTAAGGCCCAGGAAAAAGATCAGAAGAGATAAACAATGCAGGGATAAAGGGGGAACTGAATAATTCTACCTAAGATTAAGACAAGTAAATTTATGTTGCAATAATAAAAGAATTATAGGAGGCCAGGCGCGGTGGCTCATGCCTCTAATCCCAGCAATTTGGAAGGCTGAGGTGGGTGGATAGCTTGAGGTCCGGAGTTCAAGACCAGCCTGGCCAACATGGTGAAACCCTGTCTCCACTAAAAATACAAAAAATTAGCTGGGTGTGGTGGCACATGCCTGTAATCCCAGCTATTCGGGAGGCTGAGGCAGGAGAATCACTTGAACCCAGGAGGTGAAGGTTGCAGTGAGCCAAGATCGCACCACTACACTCCAGATGGGTAACAGAGCAAGACTCCATCTCAAAAAAAAGGAAAAAAAAGAATTATAGGATCACAGGAAAGCAATGTTGCTATGATCCTTGGAGCATGCTACACACTAATTATATAAAAGCATAAAAATCATGAGCCCAAGCAGGGTGTGGGGGGACAGACCCAAATGTAAACTCTAATAGATAAGGAAATGGAGGAAGGGCTCTTAGAGTTAGGTTTTGAGGAGAAGATAAAGCTAAATACACACATACATACATATGTATATGTATACACATATACACGTGTGTGTGTGTGTGTGTGTATGTGTACACACGTAAATAGGTATGGCCATAGCAAATATAGAGGGGTAGATAGAAAAGAGGTCCATCAATCATGGAAATGTGATTTAAAAGTAGCAGAAATTGGCAAGTGAGACCAATCAAAAGGATAATGATGGGATTCTTTGTTTAAACACAAAAGCACCACAGGAATAGGTTGAAGATCACCTGCAAAATTTGACAGTGCACGCTCCATGAACTTCTGTTCATTGATGACAGTACTAATGCAGACATAAGAAATAAAATTTCCAAGTAGCTCAGAATTTCTTTAAGAGCTGCAGGTAATTTCTGAAACCCCCTAATGTCTGTTCAGCATCAACTCTGAGTCTGAGTAAGGTCTGAAGGCTCAGTTCACACACTATGCAGTCCATGTGGGCAAAAGATAATATCCTTGGGACTTCATTTTCAATATAAAGTTAGAGAATTATGAACAATGCTAAAATGTGAAAAAAGCACAGGGAGACCAACTAAAAGTAATATTCCACAATAATCGAAGGCCTTTATAGCTCTGATGTGTCTGGCACACAAATAGCATTGCCCTCTGACTATGGAAACCAGAAGAATACTCTTCCTTTTTACTCCAAATAATGCTTTAGTTCTGCTAATGCTTGCTAATTCTCCAAATTATCTTATCCTGGAAGGATTAGTATCTCAGATACAAGCCTTGTGTGTGAAACAGTATCTTCAATTAGTATATATTTGATTTCATATGTGTGTATATACATACATATATACACACACAAACATTATACACACACACATATTATACTTGTTAGTGGGAATGCAAAATGGTACAACTGCTATGGACAACAATGTGAAGGTTTCTCAAAAATTAAAAATAAAACTACTATATGATCCAGGAATCCCACTTCTGGGTATTTATTCGAAAGAATTGAAATCAGGATCTCAAAGAGATATTTCTTTATACTCCCAAGTTCATTGCAGCACTATTCACAATAGGCAAAATGTGGAAAAAACCTAAATGTCCATTGGCAGATGAGTGAATTAAGAAAATATGGTTATATGCATATAGTGGAATTATTCAGCCTTAAAAAAGGAGGAAGTATAGCAATATGCAACAACATAGATGAACCTGGAGAACATTATGCTAAGTGAAATAAGTCAGCCATGGAAGGATACATACTGCATGATATTACTTAATATGAGGTATCTAAAATAGTCAAACTCATGGAATTAGCAAGTGGAACAGAAGTTACCAGGAGAGGAGGGAGAAATCTGAAATTGCTCGGTTGGCATAGTTTTAATTAGACGTGATGACTACTTTCTAGAGATGTGATGTACAGCATAATGCCTATATATAAGTATTTTTAACAATACTGTACACTTGAAAATTGGTTAAGAGGGTAGATCTCATGTTAAATATTCTTACCAAAATAAATAAATAAATAAATAGTATACATGATATGTAATACATATATGTGTAATATAATATCATATATAATATACAATACATATACATACATCCACATATATTTCAAGAGCCAGTGATGGCTTTATGTGGTGGATCATTCACAATCAGCCCCAAATGCTTGAAAGATCATATCCTGGTAGTTATAGTTACGTTAATGTGGGGTACAAGGTGATTTCTTCCTTCTGCTTTGAATAAACTAAAAACTTGAGAAAGAAATGAAATCAGAACCAGAACATAGACAAGATCATTCTTCCTGCTCTCCTTCCAAAAATCCAGCCAGTTTCTATACTGGCAAGAGGAAGGAAAGGGAATTTAGAGAGGAGGAAATTAAAATACACACCACACAATTTTAAGTACAATATTTTGTTTCTCAGTTGAGTTGATATTTTTATTTGATTTGGACATTTTGAGGATCTGAAAGAATTTTAGCCTGAATCTGTAGAGCTGAGTATTATTATTTCAAAGGAACATTTAATTCAAAAATTAAGTGGTGAATACTAAAGATCTCTGTAGCACCAACTACAGAGGGTATTTTCAGCTCGATCCTACTGGGTCCTCTCAGTTAGGGCCCTAAAGTCATGCCTTTATAATCCCTGGCAAGTGCAGATATTAAAATTCACATACTGGATGTTTCCATATTGAAATGTCAACCACAGATCTCTTTCTTGTTCCATTCAAAACCACTTTGCATAGTCCAGTTACTGACCCTCATAGCACCCCAGTGAAAAAGGCAGTGTTATGCTTTAGTTTCTAAATAGCCATGTGAAAGTTTGGTAATTTGCCTACCCCAGGGAAAAGAAGTAGCATTTCAATAAGAGTGCAAAGTTCCTGAATCCAGGTGCTTTGATCAGACTTGGGACATTAACCATTATTTGCCACATAAACTGAACTATTGAATTGTACACTATCTGACCAACATGAATTCTGGCTTCTCTAACTCCAAGTAATTTTAGTTTCCTCATTTCCCTTTGCTTTCCCTGCCTGGATCTCAGGCTATAATTAGCGTCAGGTTGGAGGAACTGGCTGGAAAGTTCAGTACCAACCCGGAATGTTTTCCATCATTTGACCAAACCTCGAATGCTGAACATTTCTAACATTCAAAGAGGGTTTGTTTAAGTTTTCCAGTTTTACCCTCCTGGTTTCAAATGCCACCAGAAGCAGAAGGGCCAAAACTCTGTAAGGAGAAGCTATTTTAAACAAGCTTTCTGGCCCAGAGCAGCCTGAAAGGACCCAGATGCGTCTGAGAGAAGTAGCCAAACCCCTGGGTGCCTGCACAAATGGAGCCTCTGGAACCTGGGAGGCTTGGCTGTTCCAAGGAAGCACAATTCAAGAGTGGGCCCTTTCTTTTGCAGCAAAGGAGGGCATGACCTCGGCAAGGCAGTGGCTGGAGAGCGGGGCCAGGCAACCCTCTGGGAGGGGGACAGCCCATGGCAGGACTGCAAGGCCACCTGCGACGCTGCCTGCCACGTGGACACGTGCTGTGTGTCTGGAAGAACTCACAGGATTAATGTGTTTCCAAACTGCAGACTAGGTGAAAACTGAGAGTCTGGTGCCCCCAGAGGAAAAAGCCTTCTGTTTATATACACATGGCCACCAGCTAGGCAGATGGAGCACAGGGAGAGCCTCCCTACATTGTGTGTCAAACCTCAGACTGTAAACTTGACCCAAACACGGCACTTGAGATGAGAGGTCCGAGTGACAATCCAAGAAAATGCTACCTTAGAGGACGTGGGCCTTGCCTCTTGTGGGTTTCTGCTGTCTAGAAACATCCAGGGCTTACAAAATTATGTCAGAGCAACAAAGTAGAAAAGTTTCAGAAAGCTCAAAGGAAGAAAAAGACATCTCAAAGAATGCAAACACCATGTTATTATTTCTCTACTAAATTCCAATAGATGCAAGGCTTTCCTCAGCAATGTTTCTCAAACTTTAATGTGTATAGAATCACCCGAGGAACTGTAAAAATACAGATTCTCATTCAGTAGGCCTGGGATACAGCCCGCAATGCAGAGTCTCAACAAGTTCCTGGGTGCCATCGACACTGCTCACCTGCAGTCTGCAAGCAGAGGAGGAAGCAGTTGAAACTCTTTCATTTGAAATAATTCTCCCTAGCTGCTCTTCATATCATTACATAACATTCAAGTGGCAGGTTGGTTTCAATGTCTGCCTTTTTTCTTTCTTTTTTCCTTTTGAAATCATATTTCCCCAACAATACCTCTTCATCTAGGAAAGGTTAAGAAGTAAATACTGAGGCCAGGCGCGGTGGCTCCCGCCTGTAATCCCAGCACTTTGGGAGGCCGAGGTGGGTGGATCACGAGGTCAGAAGATCAAGACCATCCTGGCTAACACGGTGAAACCCCGTCTCTACTAAAGATACAAAAAATTAGCCGGGCGTGGTGACGAGCACCTGTAGTCCCAGCTACTCGGGAGGCTGAGGCAGGAGAATGGCGTGAACCTGGGAGGCGGAGCTTGCAGTGAGCTGAGATCGCACCACTGCACTCCAGCCTGGGCGACAGAGCAAGACTGTGTCTCAAAAAAAATAAAGTCTTGGGTAGCTTAAATTTGAATTGCACCTTTATCTAAAGAAGTGAGAGGCCTGTGCGGAAGAGAGATGTGTCCTGTGTGGGCACCATCATGAGTGTCCAGGAAAGAACATCTTTAATAGCTGGGCTTCTAGGGCTCCCTAGCTGTCTCAAACCATTGGATTTGCCAAAAGCAGGTTATAGTCATCCCATGAAGCTTTGATGTCTACGTCCCAATTTAAAAATCATCCCTGACCTCACTGTCAGCATAGCATGGAAGTTTCTGGATAGGACATCTGTTAGAAAACAGATTTAGAAAATAAGGAAAATCCACGCTACATAGAGAAAATTCAGTAGCATTGTCCTCCTGGGATTTTAGACTCCATCCAATTTGGGTGGTCCATCTCTGCCTCCATTTTCTGGCCAGAGAATCTACTTTATAATAGACATGTGGAGTTCAGAGATAGCATGCGGCAATCATGTAATGAATATCCCTAACAGAGGGTGCTTTGATTGGATTGGACTGCACACAGAAGTCTATACATTAATTACAGGGTTATGCAGGTAAACATCTGTCAACCCTTTCTAGTATTTTCATAGGGCCATTAAAAAAGACACCTGAGCATTTTCTCCCCACCCCGCCCCCCCACCCATGGTGGCATTTAGAAGCTGCAGCCAATATGAGCGAGAATGAAAACTGTCATCCAATTCCTTGGCAAAGCCACAGTCCACTGCAGACTCTTGGGTACAATCCCCAAGCCAGAAACCCAGGGTCTGAGTCACTTGCAGGAACTAGGACAGAGGGTGTGGGTCAATACACAAACTTAAAGAGTCCTAAACCGTTCTAGTTAAGTTAGGATTAAGTATTTCTCCAGGCGGTTCATTGATGACAGACGTGCCCTTTTGTCTTGGGCTCCTAGGGAAGTGGTAAGGCCAAGTTCACCAGCAGCTGGCTGAGGCTTTACTTATTGTCATGACCTGGAGGGTGCCCAGAAAAGCTCCAACTGTTGCCTCACCAAGCTGCGAAGTTATGCTGCGGCTGCCGTGGCTGTTAACCCCGCCCAGGAAGGCCGTGCAGGGCCAGCGTGCAGGCCTTTGTATTCTGCCCCCTGGTGCCCTGTTGAAACCTCAGTCCCGAAGATGACAGCGTATAGTGAGGCTTCAACGAGCCCCAGCCTTAGAGTGTCTTTACACTCTAACCTGTCCTACAAAGACCCCACTGGAAGAAATAGATATCTGGCTAGAGCTAGGCCCAAAGAGAAAAGTTGAGAATTCAGGCCGTTCACTGCCTCATCCAAACCCTTCTCCTAAGCATCTGGACACCTAAGGCTAAAAGCATCTGGGGAGTTTCTAAAATTAAATCTCCCAAGGATATTCTGTATGGCCCCTTGAATTGCTAAGTCATTATTAAGTGTGAGTCGACTCTGCAGTGGCAGCTGCACATTACAGCCCTCGGCTCTTAGGGCCCTTCCAGGGAATATTAAGTGTGGGAGAGAAAAATGAACCTGGTTTGGGGTTCAACTCAGGCTTGACTTTATTAGGGAGGGTAACAACACAGGCCCATTATGTTCATTATGTTCACAGGGGATTTGCACTGAGAAGCAATATGAAACACGCATCACATTTAAAGATTCACGAGCCTCATAAAAGAGATGTAGCACTATTATTCTTTTTTAGATGTTAGCAGTGTCAACATGTGGCCAGCTAACTTCTCACAAGTGTAAGAGAAAGCGGTCTGTTGAGTTTCAATTCCTGCTTTAGTCAAAACAGGAGTAAGTAAAAATTGTGTCTGTTCCTTTTGAAAGACTTGTGCCATGGAAGCTACTATCGTTGTGGGTCTTTGTGTGTGTGAAATTAAGTGGATGAGGGAAAACCGAGGGAGTGTTGTGGGAGTTCAGCCTTTCTGAAGTGCCTGTGCTGGCTACTGCAGCTTAGAATCCAGGACTGGCATTTACAACCCATCATCACACAGGTTCTCTTGACCCTATGTGTCGAAATTTCACGTGCGCAGAGTGCTATGGCGGATGTAGGCAGAGCAGAGCCAAATGAATAAGGTAGTAAATCAGGAAAATAAGCCTTTCTTCATCTTGGAACTACAAAACAAAATGACGTTTTAGTTGTCAGCAGGTAAAGCCAGTGGGGCCGGAAAATGAAATACGTGTGACCACAGTGGTTTGCCCACTTACAAAATTATCCTGTTTTTAGCATCTTCAAACAGGCATGTCTTTCTAAGGTAGAGGACGCGCTATATAATATTCATTAGTCAGCCCCAGGAGAAGTGTCTCCTCCTGGTTCCCCTTCTATTGTGGCATCCTCATGTGCTCAAAGTGTAGTTTTACCTACAGGTGTAAATTAGCCTATTGATTTGAATTGAACTAGAGAAAGGCAATACAGGGAGCTTTCCCAAGTGACAATACAAATAAACATCTGCAGAGTAACCACTGCTTTGTCCCAAATACAGAAATTCTCTCTGCTTTGTTTTCCTTTAGCTTCCTAATTTGTGTGTGTGTGTGTGTGTGTGTGTGTGTGTGTGTGTGTGTTAAGACTGTACTATGATTTTATCTCTTTACTGAAAGAGATACATACTAAAGTTGTCCATTTAGGGGGAATAAAACCACATAATTTTGGTTTCATTAAAACAGTCCTTTTATTTCAAAAGTAAAATTCTTTCCCTTTCCCAGGCTTTAAAATACCTGTGAGTTGCCAGCCCGTTGTAGGGGTCAGACTCTCACCAAAACATTTCTTTTTATTTATTTTTCCCTTTTATAGTTTCACTTATGCCATGATAGACGTTACCAAGGACTTAACTCTCCCGGAGCTGATGCCTAGCATTTTAAATGATGGGATCCACATCCTGTCGGAGCAGCGGCTTGATGCCAGCGTTGAATTACTATTGAATAAGCAGCAATGAAATCTTTATCAAAATAATCAGTAGTTCCAAAAACCACAAATAACAACAGGAGCCGAGTTGTACTAAATCAGCAAAGACCATTGAGATATAATAAGTGACTGAGTCACTTTTTTCTACATCCCCCCCTCTTGCAAAGTCTACTCGGCTATTTTCTTGCACAGCCTGGGGGAGGGCAGGTGGAGGGAAGGAAGGGCATTGCTCAGAAAAGAAAAAAAAAAATTGACATCACTTAAGTCACATGATTGGCAAGAACCAATTGAGATGGGCTGTGGAAAGGGGAACAGTTAAATTTGTAATTTGGGTTGTGTGAAAACTTCTTTGGGCCTCATAAACAACCACAGAACCACAAGTTGGGTAGCCTGGCAGTGTCAGAAGTCTGAACCCAGCATAGTGGTCAGCAGGCAGGACGAATCACACTGAATGCAAACCACAGGGTTTCGCAGCGTGGTGAGCATCACCAACCCACAGCCAAGGCGGCGCTGGCTTTTTTTTTTTTTTTAATCTTTAACAATTTGAATATTTGTTTTTACAAAGGTGCATTTTTTAATAGGGCTTGGGGAGTCCCAGAGGTATCCAGCAGAGGGGAGAAGAAAGAGAGATGTAGGGCTAGAGGGGTGAGGCTGAAACAGTGACCTGTCTTGGTTTTCGCTCCGAAGGTAAAAGAAATCATTGAGTCCCCCGCCTTCAGAAGAGGGTGCATTTTCAGGAGGAAGCGATGGCTTCAGACAGCATATTTGAGTCATTTCCTTCGTACCCACAGTGCTTCATGAGAGGTGAGTACATGCTGGTCTTGTAATATCTACTTTTGCTCAGCTTTGCCTGTAATGAAATGGCAGCTTGTTTCACCTCGGTGCAGAGATGCCTCGGTGCCTGCCAGTTCCCTGTCTTGTTTGTGAGAGGAATTCAAACTGAGGCATATGATTACAAGTCTATTGGATTACTTACTAATCAGATGGAAGCTCTTCAGAAATGTTTTAATAAATACTTAGTTATGCTGTTGGAGTGTTCAGTCGGTGCGTGAGAACTTTGTCAAGTGCGAGTAAGTTGTGCTGGTCTTGTTTAAAGGCTTAGAGATTATGAAGCTTGCACGAAGCTCCCTGGGTTTTATTTTGCTGTCCCTTGCCCGGAATGCCTGTGTCTGAGTTATCCTTAACTCGGCATGCTGTGTGGCCCAGAATGCAGCCTGCCCTGGGGCTTAGCAGGCACATGCACAGAGCCAGCCAGGAGGGCTGGTGCCAGTGTGGGGCAGGAGGCGGAGGCTCTCAGATAGCCTTGCACCAGCCTGGGGACTTCAGGGCCAAAGTGGCAAGGCAGCTGTCTCTATAAGGCAGAGAGTACAGGAGACTGACAGACTTGGTTAGGTTAAAATCATCAGCATGGGGCTGTGCTGTGTTTTTCCTTGTAGCCTCAATGCAAAGAGACAACCAGCATCTTTCAAGAGAGAAAGGAAGCAAATTGTGGCATACCGAGGTCTCTCTGGAAAAGGGCAATAGAGAAGTTTCCCGAGTTAAGCATTCTCGCAGCTTAAGTCGTTAGATTACAGGCTTATGAATAGGAACAGCCAGGGTGGAAAACCTGTCTCCATTTTTGAAACCAGCCTCTTGAAATGGACAAAGCTGTGGTTGAGCTGTGAGTGTGTGAGTATGTGTGTGCATGTGCGTCTTGTGTATCTTTCGTGGTAAAAGAGGGCTGTGCTTAAACAAACAAAAATAATAACATAAAATGTCTCAAAGGCATTGCCGTGTGCGTCGGGGCACGCACTCTGACCAGTGCCTGCAAAGTGTATCTTGATGGTTTGGCAAAGCTGAGATGGAGTGGGCTGGGATGGGAGAATAATTAATTTTCTGGCTACAAACTCTCTTGAGCACCCAAATTGTATCTGTGACTCATTATTTATTCATACAGCTAAGTGAGCAGGGGAATGCAGAGGGCTTGCCGGCCACTTTATCACAGCAAATGCTATTGTGAATGCACGGGGCTGTATGTTTCCGGGTCCCTGAAATTAAAAAACTTGATGAGAGAGAGAGAGAGAGAGAGAGAGAGAGAGAGAGAGTGTGTGTGTGTGTGTGTGTGTGTGTGTGTGTGTGTGTGTGTGTGTGTTGGAGATGGCAAGAGAGAAGTTAAAGAGAAAGAGAAGAAAACAAGTCATTAACCAAGCTCAAGTTTCAAATTAAAGAGTTTTCAAGTGCTTCTTTACTGGCAGCAGAGGGAATTTTAGTGAAGTTGAATCATGCAGACGTGCGTTAGTCACTAGTCTTGCAGCGTCGTTTGGTTGGTAACACAGAGACACCGGCCACTGGTGAAAAGCTGCAAACGGCTCCCTGGCTGCATTTCCTCTGGGCTGCTAACAAGCAGAGGAAGCAATATTTGTATAGAATAACAGAAAAAAAAGATCTTCCTGGCTTTACTCTGCTTTCAGTACCCCCTCAGAACGTGTATTGTTTCCTATTTTATCAACTCAGGAAGGCAGATTCAGGAAATTTTTAAGCATTCCATTGAGCAATAGGTTGGGTTTCAGTGTGCAGTGCTGGCCCCTGGGGCTCTCCTTACTGGCCAACGGCAAAGATGGTGAGGGACACGCTGAGCTATGCAGACATCAGGAAATAGCAGGAGTCTGGCTATCTCCCGGACAAGCCCAGGGCTCCTGTGCCCGATGGACACTCAGCTGACCTGCGCTAGGTTAGGAACAAGGGTCGGTTAGCTTTCACGGAGGCAGTGTAGGGAGGGCCTGAGCTCGCACCAAGACTCAAAAGGGATCATCTGGAAAGGTTTTTCCACTCCTTCCTTTCAGTGAAAGGAACTCAGGGTTCTTTAGAATCTCTAATTTGGTAATATAATATTGAGATTTGATGTCAGAGGGCCAAGTGAAATCTTGGCAATTTCCTGGTTAATTTCATCCAAGTGATCCATCAACATAAAGGTTTAAATTGTCCAGGTTAACTGTCCACATCATTCACCCAAGCCGGAGAGGTAGCAAAATATCATTTCTTTTGATACCGTTTGGTCATCATCTTAGAGCTTGATGCTAGAAGAATCACCATCCCTGCCAACAAATGGCTCTCCCCCAGAGTTCTCAGCCTGTTGCCATAGCTGGGCCACTCGCAGTGGTCAATGCGGTCACTTCTGGCTGCCTATAATTTACAGCGTGTGTTCCCTCCCCAACGGCAACTGTGAGCCGAAAGGGAAGACAGCATCTTTGTTTTCTTCCTGGGATGGTACTTTATCAGTCCATGCAATTCTCACAGAAGGAAACCTGTAACTCATTTTTAGCCAGATACCCATGTGGAAATTGGGGGGAAAGAGAGGAGTGAAGCCAAGCAAACCATTGTTCCCTTCCTTGAGAGAGGCAAGCCGGAGTCTGAGAGACTGGCACATGAAATTGATGTGGTCTACCACAGAGAACTCGGGGCTTTTTCTATCACACCACACCAGGTTCCCACCGAATTTGCTTAGGAAGGAAGACAAGATGCGATTGAAATTCCCTGGAATTATCACACACGGTGTGCAACGTACAATTCTTGCCGAACCCAAACTTGGGTTCCCTTGAAAAGTGCAGTGTGTCGGCAGAAAGAGTTGAGGTAGGTGTGGGGAGGAAAAGCCTCGGCACGTACATATTTTTGCAAAATGGCTCAGGTAGCCTTGTTCTTAGAAGTGGCTTAGTGGTCTATGCAAAGCCTGAACACTCACATGCCTCTGCGTTCCTAGAACCACAGGTAAAAATCTCAGCGAGACCGACTCCCTGCTTGTCTTCTCAGCGGTTCAAGTTTACCCCACTGAAGCAGTCTTTCAAAGGGAATTGCCAAGTACAAAGCTGCATGTATAAAGTATGTTCTTCTCTAAGCATCGGCTTGCCGCTCTTTTCAGAAGAATATTTATTAAGACACTTCTTCTGGCTTGACTGAACACTTAAGATCTTAAGACTTCAGGCTTAAGCCACAGAAATTTATTTTCACACAGTTCTGGAGGGAGACTGGAGGTGTGAGATCAAGGTGTCGGCAAGGCTGATTTCTGGTGAGGCCTCTCTCCTTGGTTTTGCAGACAGCTCCCTTCTCCCTGTTTCATCACATGGTTATCCCTCTGTGTGTGTCTGTATCCTAATCTCTTCTTATAAGGATACCAATTGCATTGTATTGGGGCTAGCCTAATGACGTCATTTTAAAACCCTATGTCCAAATAGTGTCAAATTATGAGCACCTTGGGGTTAGGACTTCAATGTATTAATTCTAGGGAGACATACTGCAGTCCCTAACAGTGGGTCTTAGCAAATCTGACCCACCCTGGCCCACAAGGAAACTGTGGGATGGGGCATCCTGGCTGCTCTCTTGGATGTTAAAGAATCAGACTGTAGTTCCTCCTTTGTGAGATGGAGTTTCACATCTGAAACTGCCCACACATTTTGAAACTATAAAAAAAAAAGGTGTGATAAAACTATCTAAACTCACAATCATGCCTTTGCCATTTAGACTTTTTGCACGCTAAGAAACTGTAGAAAATGACGAGTAATTTTGAAATGTTTAAGTGTTAAAAGAGCAAATGGCAGCCGCCCCAAAGAAACCTCCTCTTGGCTCTGCTTTCTTGGGGAGGATTGTCTTTGTACTTCAGACTGACTTTATTAGTGGGGTTTAGGGGGCTGTAGGAGGCCCCACAGCTGCTCACACACCGAGTACAGGGGCATGGAGCAACCAGTAGCAGAAGCACCTTTGGAAACAGCAACTGACCCGATTCTGAATGGCAAGAAGCCTTTCTGAGCTTTTGAAAGCAAATGAGTAGCTGAGACGTTCCTACATTCTCTCAAAATAGATCCGAAAGATGTGCTCAGAAAATATGTAGCCCTTTACTGAGAAATCAAGCCTGGTGAGATGCTGGGACAGAGGACGGCTGCACAGCCGCTGTGCACACACAGACTTTAATAAGGAGCCCAAGGCCTAGAGAGAAGAGTCTGGAGGCATAAGAGCACCTGCTATTAGAGAAAGCAATGGCAGGAGGTCTGTGCAGGGAATGTGCTCAGATGACACAGTGATGGCCTTTTCTTTCTTTTCTTTTTTCTGGCTTTCATCAAATAGCATATAGAACTTCTCTCTTGAGCCTTAGTTTCCTCATCTGCAGAGTAAGGATTGCAATAGTACCTGTTATTAAGGTAGCTGTGTGGACCGAATTAATCTGTGTAAGGTGCTTTGCCCAGCCATATAAAGTAAGCAATAAATCTGAATGGTGGCTATCAATGTTCAGTTATCTAAGAAGGCAGCCAGTCAACCGCTGTCTGCTCTAGGGAGGGAGAGGTCACAATGCCCTGGAGGACATTACAGGAGGCTCCCTGGAGAGAGGGACACAGGAGTTGGGGGAGGGGAAGTTGGGAACAAAGGAAAGAAGGAAGAGTGGTCTAGGCCGAGAGTACAGCCTGGGCAAAGTTAGAGCTGCAGGATCCCACATGGGCATGGACAGCAGTGGGTAACTCAGTCCACCCTAAGGGCTTTTCACCAGCAGGTCAGCCTTCCTTCCCTTGTGGAAAAAGAACGAGAGCCCTTTATGAAATTCAACTTAACAAGTTTTGATTTTAAATATGGAGGCTAGTTGGGGCAGGATGTCATGCTAAGTCTTTGATCTGAACACACAAGGACAACAGAGATGTCTCTTTTCATTGAGACTGCTGGTGTAGCTTTATTTTCTCCAAGGCTCTTCTTAAGGAAAAGGCCATTTTGCCTGTATACCTTTGAGCAGGTTCTCTGGGCCTCTGAGAGACTCCCATTTTCCCTGCTCCTTGGGAACATTTGTAATCATGTACTTTGTCAAAGCCCAGACATGAAGGTAGCTTTGATGGCTTGTCTTGTTGGAGGCAGCAGAGGAGGCCCACACAGGAAACTCAAGCAAATTTTCAGTTTCTCAGGTAACTTCCTAGTGACCTAGATGAGTCAATAGATGTCTTTGTGTCTCATTTGAGTTCTGCAAAATGGGCTAATAATATTCTAGACAAGCTTGCATCTAAATTACCAAGTTCCTGTTGGAAGTCTTTACATGCATCAGAAAGAGGTACCATAAAACACATCACAAATCTTCTTAGCTTAATAACACAAAGCCACTTAAAAATATTTTATTTTCTGTTTAGAAAATAGTTCTCCCATCATTTCACAAATGCAAGATATTTTCCCTCATTTTCGTAATTGCTTTCTCCAACTCCCATTTTTCAAGAAATCTTCAGAAGCTACACTGGTGCCTGAACAGATATTAAAATGTTCAAAGCACTTTTCCCACAACTCTTGTTTCTCGGCCTCCCCTGCTCCTCCCCATCAGATGCCACCAGTCCCCTTCTTTAGCCTTTTTGCTGAGCCTCCAGCCAAGGCAAAGAGGTATGTCTTTCTTGACCTCTTCCCTCTCATAAAATATAATAACTAGGATGTCCTGGAGTGGTAAAAAGGGAGCATTTCCTTTGAGATCTTTGCTGACCGTGAACACAATCAGGGAGTACTTTACGAGAACACAGGCTGGCTCTTGAACACAAAACAGGGCTCAAAACCTCCTGTCACCTTCAACATGCTGGGAGGATAAGCTCAGACACACTGCTCTCACTTGCGCAGGCTTCACTCTTTGTTGGGGAGACACGTGTTATACTCTCTTGGCTCTCTGAATCTCTCTCTTTCTCTCCCTCCCTCATCTTGCAATAACACTGAGTAATGATGCCAGAAAGGAGCCAAGGTGGAGGAATAAACACTAAATCCGAAACATGACGGAAATTATGTATTTTATTGCAGTGACAGAAAGAGTAAGGCCCTTGCTCAGGTTTACCCATGAAAATTATGTTTGGCTGCACGTAGAGAAAAGCTGACCACAGTGGCTTGAGCAGACGGGCAGGAGTTCCAGAGTGAGCAGTCCAGGCTGATACGGTGGGGTGCAGGACACTCCTATGTTTTGGTCCCACCATGCTGAGGCCAGGGAGAGATGGCCTGCACCTCTGATCTGTCCAGGCAGAAAGGACATGGGAGGCCTCAACCCCTTCTTGTGGGTCCTGGTATTTTTATTCAGGAAGGGAAGCCCTTCTCTGCAAACTTTCGCTGACATATTGCTTAGGCCACAACTAGGTCACAGGCCTCTGGCTGGAGGGAACTGAGGACAATGGAGTTGTCACTTTCCAGCCTGGAGAGTGGAGGGAAGCAGAGAGGAAGGTAGCTGGGAGCAGATGTCTCGTGAACCCAGAGCCACATCTGCCAGACCTGGTGACAAAGACAGGCTGTGTGCCTTCCCAGTCATATCTTGTATCATTTGTTTTCTGTGCCAGCTGGGCTTTGGAAACAAATGCAGAGAAACTTTATGTTCTTCCTTCATTCCCTCTTGGAAGTTGCAGATGGATGCCAAGGGTGAATATTTATTGTTGACCCATTGAAAGCAAACTGGACAGGAGAAGGGATGAGGTGGGGGAAGGGGCTAGGTTAAATGGATCCAAGTTCACACCTATTTTCAGTGTCAAAGCCCCAAATCACACTTGAGCGTCTCCTCAAGTTAGAATGAGCAATAGAAAACCAGACAGCCCTGTATCTATGGGAATGTTGCTTGCATCAGAGCCACCACACCTTGCTGTGAGGTTGATCGGTTTCTCGCAGCTGGAAATAGTTGCTTCCCGCCCCCCATCTTCCTCACTCTTTTAAACTCTCAAAAATCCCCCAGCCTCCCAAATTTGTTTTAATTTTTAAGAGAATTCTTTTCTACAAAAGAGGGAAACCTTCTTTCAAATGGCCCTTCATAAATTTCCCTAAAGAGGTTTTTATCTCTGATAGAAATATGAAAAACAGATAACCAGATAATTGCCCTCTATCTAGGCTTTAAACACTTATTCATACATTGAATTTCTGCAAGTTACAGATGATTGTTGCTGTGTGATTACTGGCCCTGTCTATTTCCTCAGCATGGATGCAAATCTTTCTCCCTGAGAAAGTCATTGCTTCGTTAAAAAAAAAAAAAAAAAGAAAGAAAGAAAAAGAAGAAAGAAAGGATGAATGAAAAGAAAGTTGTTATTCAGTTTTTCTCTTGAAATTAGAAATTTCTTTTTGTTTTGCTTTCATTTTGTTTTTCTGCAAGATCGGTGTTCATTTAGAGAATTGTTGATTTTGTATGCAGCACTGCCCTCCCATGCCATGGTCCATATGTGTCCATTTTTTGATGGACTTCTTTTTAAACAATGAGTTCCCCAAGACATTTTTGGGGCCTCAAATGGGAAAGGTCATCACAAATAGAAATCTCAGTTTGCTAGTTGGGCTTGCTCAATCGCTCTGCTGATCTCAGGACTGATGCTGCTTTGCATAAATGCGAAGTTCATGTTAAATTGATTCTAAATCAAATACTCAACGTATTCAGTCTTGAAACATGTCCATTGGGAGAGAGAACTATGCAGCTCCAACATTTTGCAAAGATTCTACTTTGCTTTCTTTGCCAACATCCAACTTTTACTTCTGGGCGTTAGAATACCCTCCGTAGAGACTGTGACTTCTCAAAAGAAACTTTGCTAGTCTCGAATGGAGAATGAAATAATAAGATTTGAGCAATAAATCAAATATAGCCTGAGAGCAACACCACAGAGCAGCCTCTGTCATCTCCTCTCCTTGGGAGGTACGTGGGTCTTGATCAGCTCTCATGTGCTTCTGAAAATGTGTAGGTTTTCATATATATGTTTTTCATTGTTAGTAGATCCTAAAGAAAGACCCAGAAAATCTTGCAGCAGTCAGCTTGCCAGATGGGGGTTATGTTAAAAAGAGCAAACAGAAGTCAGAGCTCTGAACACACCGCAGGGTATTCCATAGTCACATTCCATTGTGGGTGAGTTTTTGTTGTTGGTTTTTTTTTTTTTTTTTTTTTTTGGATGGAGTCTACTAGCTCTGTCACCAGGCTGGAGTGCAGTGGCCCCATCTCAGCTCACTGCAATCTCCGCCTCCCACGTTCAGCCATTCTCCTGCCTCAGCCTCCTGAGTAGCTGGGATTACAGGTGTGTGCCACCACGCCCGGCTAATTTTTGTATTTTTAGTAGAGACAGGTTTTCACCATGTTGGCCAGGATGGTTTCGATCTCCCGACCTCGTGATCTGCCCGCCTCAGCCTCCCAAAATGCTGGGATTACAGGTATGAGCCACTGCACCCGGCCCATCCTAGGTGAGTTTTTTAAGGGAGACAAAAAATGTCAGAGTGGCACTCATTGCTCAAGAGAGAAGCACTTCCCCTTTTACTGTGCAAAATTTTATAATATGTATAGCTATCAATGTTTGTTTCTTATTACTGCCCCAGAATGTGCAAAAGAGAGTTTAGGTCAACTAAGATACATTGGTTTGAGTGCCATTTTTTTCAGGAGCAGTTTTAACACCAACCACAGTTTGCTGCACTTTCTTACACAGCTTCTGTTTGCACTTTGAACTCTGTGCACTGAGCCCCTCATTCCACACCATCTGCAGGCTGCATCTGGGCAGCTTCATCCAGCTCGGTAACAGTCACAGCTGAACTTGACATTCACCCACTTTGAAAGTATAGAATTCATAAAATCTGAAACCACATATGTGTATAAAACCCATGCAAGAGTGGGTAGGAACTAAAAGGAGGAGAAAAAGTAGTCCTCCCCTTCAGGAGTGTTCTCTCTTATCCCAGCCCCTTTCATGTAATGAATGGGTGAATGGGTGAAAATGAAATTATTTAGGCATTGACTGACAGGTAGGAACAGAAACTCAGGCTTCTAGTTTATTATTATTTATTATTATTGAATCTACTGTTTCTAAAGATGAGAATGGCTTTTACTTCCAAAGTTCTAGAGGAGAGGAACAACGTTAAGCAACCTTAAACAAATATTAGCACTGTGAAAGGTGCAGGGTCATATAAAGAAGTAGAAGTGCCGACAATGAAAATTCTATCCAACTGTCAATCATTCCATATCATTACTTCATTTTTTTAAATAAAGGCTGTGTCTCCCATATGCTTCCCTCCAGGTTGTATTCAAAACAAAGAAATAATTGTATTACAGATGTGAATAAATCTGTTTAAAAAATAAGTGAACCCTGAGACATATGAACTATGAGACATTGTTCTATATGATGCTTTGTAAGTTTTATGTGCTGTGTCATAGAGTTATATAGAGTTATGTATATATATAGTTCTGTATAGTTTCAGTTGGCATCTAAAAATTATATAACTTTATTTTTTAAAATCTATAATTATAAATATTTTTAAACTGCTAGAAAGGAAGAGCCGAATATTTGGCTGGAGTGATTTTTAGACATTTCTCTACCTTAGGGCACCAGAGAGGTTCACTTGCCCAGGGTTCCATAGCTGGTTGGTGCCAGAGTCCGAACGAGAAACCAGGTCTTCTCAGCTCCTGTCACCCACAGTTTTGCAGACACTGAATTTATGAGGTGGATTCCATTCAAGCATGCACATAACTAGCAGACACTTCTCCTAATCCTCCTCAATTCCCCTTTGCATTGCTCAGATACCACAATCCTTTGCAGGTTAAATCCCTTCACCTTGTGAACTCATTAGGCAGGGCAATGTATATGAATCCCTGAGTCCTTAAGAACGTCCTTAGGCTGTGTTAGAAATGCAGTTGCCATAGGAGTAACCGGCCCCTGCTGTCATTTGGATGTTCTCTCTTCCCCAAAATCCAGCACCACCTTGGTTAAGCACCCACCATGTGCCTGCCCACCTGGCTCCTTAGGCAATGTTACAATTAACCAGGTTGGTTTTGATGAGGGTCTAGGGCAAAATTTGAACCACCACAACAGCCAATGTGCACATCCATGCAGAGGGTTCAGAGATGGCCTCGGCCAAGGCTGCCAGGCTTCAGCTCTGGAAGGAGCCCTGGGAAGTGGGAGATCTTTGTATAAAAATTGGAACCCAAACTATAATTCCCATTAGGGATATATATGCTCACATCACTCCTGATTCAAAGCTCAGAAGTGGCCTCTCAGGAGAAATAAAGGTCTCTCTCTCTCTCTCTCTCTATCTCACACACACACACACACACACACACACACACACAGAGAGAGAGAGAGAGAGAGAGAGAGAGAGAGAGAGAGAGAGGCCAGCATTCAAAATTCCCATGCTTAGGGAATCCATTGGGACTTCTCCCCAGGATGTACTGAATTCAAGGAAGCTTTCTCTAGGTGTAGCAGAAACTGCTGCTGTCATGTCTCTGCTCACCAGGACGTAGCTTCTCTCTACAGACCTTTATTTCTTTCCCTGGAGGCTTCAGTCCATGTTGAAGTGTAAACTCCACTCAGCTCCAGGAGGAATCGTGTTTTCTTTATCACCAGGGGCTTCTTCTACGAGTTGCCTTTGATAGGGAGGCCAGGAGGAAGATAGGCCCAAGCTCAGGGGTGGGATCGGGGAGCAGGAAGCCTGTGGGCTTTAGAATCGAGGTATTGGTTTCTCCCTGTCACCATCATCCACCACCTGTGTGAACTTGAGCCATTTATCGAACCTCACGGAGCCCCAAGTTTCTCATCTGTAAACAAGGGGAATGAGCCCTACTTTGTATGGTTGTCAAGAGGATTTGAGACAATATGTATAAAGCAATGGACACGCAGAGGAAGTCAATAAGTACAAGGTAACTCTGAAAATGCCACCAAAGGGAGGCTAGGGACAGGAAAGCCATCTCCGCCAACCTCAAGAACGTGGCCCCGAAGCTGTTCCAGGAACTGGGCATGTATGAAGATAAAAAAAAAAAAAGAAATGTCTGCCTCTCTCATCATGTAGCAGTGCAGAAGTGATCTTGGTGCTCTTTGGCAGAAGGCTGAGTTTATGAACTTTAAAACCGATAGTAATAACAGCTAGCATTTATTGAGCATATGCTATGCGCAAGGCACTTGCACCGTTCCAAGCATTTTCTTGCCTTACTGTATTAAAATTTTGGCACAACCCTGTGAGTAGGTGCTCTCATTATTAATCCCACTGAGTGAAGGGGAAGCATGGCCTGCCAAGGTTACGTGACCTGCTTGTGGTTAGGCTGCTGGGAAAGGTGGAGGTGCGGTCCAAACAGAGGCAGTTCCTGCAGCAGAGCCCACTGTCTGTCTGCCCGTGGAGGGGACAGGTCGGTGTTGAGAATATCTGTTTGGCACATGAGGGAGTTTAGCCTTACAGAGCGAAAGGCTTGCCAAGGCCCCATGGACAGGAGGCGACGCTGTGGGGTGGCACCAAGCTGGGGCACTGGCCACCATCCTGGACTGCTTTTCTGACTCTGGATGCATTTGGTGGCTTTATGGCCCCACCACTGGTATCCAGACCTCTCCTGCCCACGTGTTTCTCCCATCAGAACTGAGAGAGATGTTCAGGCAGTTCCCAGACAGCCCACAAGAAACACGCCTTTAAGCCAGGGGTGCTCAAACTTGTTCCCAAGACGATGGTGACATGCTGGGGTGGGGAGAAACCACTGCTATGCCTTCTTCCTGACCGACCAGTTGTTTTCATTTATCAATCTGAGAATCCATCGAAGGTGATATCAGGGTGACATAAATGAGGCACTTCCTGTGACAAACTTAAGGCGACACTTGCTCCCATTGTTGTACAAGGCTGACCTTGCATTTACATGGGCTTGAGAGCGCACCACCTTGAATTTTGTGTCCCAGGTATATCTCTTGCCCTGTCCCAGTCCAGGCCATGGAACACATGTACAGAAGAAACCACAGAGTGATGTACCCAGCAATCAGGGGCCTGCCACCTGAGTCCCTCCTTCAGGGGTGGACCACCCCAACCCTGACTGACCCTAGCCAGGGTTTTCCGTGAAGCTTGCCCCAAACACTTCTCATCCACTTATTCCTGAGGCTAAAATAAAAATCGTAGCCAGAAGCAGTTGTTTCAGCTGTGATAGCAAGCAGTGGCCTCAGTCACTCATGTAAACAGGACCTCATACCACTAAGTGTCAGTGGCATAACAAGAGTTGAGATGCACACGCCTACTGGTTGGCCTTTGAGAATGGCCTTTCTGCAGAGGCATTTGTCATTTCACAAAGTCCATGTCACCAGTCCTCTGACATCATGATAATTCCTTTTGTCAAGAAGTTGGGGTTTTTTTCCCCTTCTTTTCCCCCTTCACCTTTATTGTATAAAAGGCATTTCTCCTCTGGTTATTCTACAACAGACTACTTCAGAGTCACAGAAAGTTCCTTCCCTTTCTGGAGGGGTTCGGCATGCTGAAGGATGCAATCATAAATGACTTTCTCCCCGCAAAGCCTGCTCACAGCCAGCCATGTGAGTGCCCTGATCAATGGAAATGCAGGGGGCTGGCCAGCCTCTCACGGCTGCTCTGCAAACATCTTAATGGGACAAATTAAAAGATGTGCAAGCTAATTATTCTCCACAATAAACAATAATAATATAATAAAATCATAAAGCTCCTTAGGAAAGGAACCTGCTTTTCTTATACAGAATGTACAATTAACAGGAAAGTAAAAATTTCATGCTATAAACTAGAGATTATATTCTGGGCATCCTTGTGATTTGCTGTGCTTCTTCCGGCTTATTTAGCACTTTCTGCACACACGCCAGGGCTCGGTGGCCCACCTGCTCCCTGCTCCCTCTTCTGTCTTCCCTCAGGGATAATGGCCTCCACTGTCACCTTCAGACCCAACTTGGGTTCTTCCTGAGGAGTCCTGGCCCCCAGACCCACAGCAGCCTCTGGGGAGGCCCAGAGTTCCAACCCTTAACCCTCTCAGTTTAGGATCAAACACATCATTTACATGGAAGCAGTTGGAGTTGTTTTAAACAGCCACATCACATCTCTCTATTCCTCTTTTCAATCACAACCACGTGACCTGAAGGAGCAGAAAGCAGAGAGAGACCTGCAGTGAGCCTGGACAGCCCCCACCTGTGCCCCACATGGGTTCTGAATCTGGAGTCCGCGTCAAACGAGAGGGAGAGGGAGGAACCCTTAGTGCTGTCCCGTGTCCTCCGCACTGTTGTCGTGAACAATTCTGGCTGACCCACTAAAGTTATGAGATGATGCCGTTTCATTGTGGCTTATGAATAATGAGAACAAATAACATTCACTTGCAATGGTGTGAGGCACACTGCCTCCATTGTCTCTTTTAATCAAAACCTCACGATATAGGCACAGCTACTAATTCCCACTGGCTAAAAATAAAAAATAAAATGAAGCAAAAACCAGGTTACAAAAGCAGCCCAGGCCACACGGCTTCTAGGAGGCAGAACTCGGTTGGAGTCCAGATTCTCTTCGGCTTTCCCACTCCCATCTGGCCTCTCTGTGATGTGACAGGGTGTGGGGAGGAGAGTTTTACAGGTGCAGCCTGTGGGGTCTGAGAGCCTGTGTTCAAATGCCAGCTCTGTCCTTTCCCGCTGAGTCACCTTGAACAGGCTACTCACCCTTTCTGTTTCTCCCTTTTCCTCATCTGTACAGTGTGACGATGATGATTACCCATGCAGCTGTTGCGAGCACTGAATCAGAAATACATAGAATATGCTGCCCGATACATGGTCGCTATCATCATGGACTTTTCCTTTCCACCCTGATTTGATTTTAAATTGGACACTATTTGACTGGACTTTCCCATTTTCTTCCTTACACACTACCCAAACCAAATCTAACAAGTGAACCCCAAGTGGGTTATCCCAGTGAGTGCGCGTGGTCACTAATGCATCCTTGTACACTGGATCTGTTCACTCCTGGCAGCAAACGGCTGATGCTTGGGATGAGGTGGGGAGTATAACAGGAACAGACTCAGGCTGAGTAGGGGTCTCAGCCCTGGCTGATGTGCCATTGTACCCTGATCTTCCTCCTGTACATCTCTCGGGTAAAATGAGAGAGCTAGTGGCTGGGATTACTCAGCTCCCATGGTCAAGGTGAAAGGCATCATGGAGGCTGAGGATCTGCCCTCTGCTCACACCAGACAGGGTTTCCCGACCTCGCCACAGTTGACATTTGCAACCGAATCATTCTCTGTTGAGGGGACTGCCCTCTGTGCTGTATGTAGGCTGCTAAGCAGCATCCCTGGCCCACACCCACTAGACACTAGTGACAACCCTTCCCTCCTCATGTTGCCACAACCAAATGTATCTCCAGACATTGCCAGATGACCCCTGAGGGGTAAAATCTGGAATGTTTTTTGGAGAACCACAGCTCCAGAAAGACCTTAGGAACCGAGGTACTGTTGCTGCTTCCCACAAAGAAATAAAATGATGTGGCGGGTTTGACCCTCTTTAGCATGTTTGCCTCCCACACACCTAATTTGACCTCTACCCCACCCCAGCCTACTAATGCTGGCTACAGATGTCCACAAAAACTGACAGTCAGTGTGCAAGGGCATGAAATTAAGACCATCAGCCATGTCCCCGACGTGAAGAGCAGAGAAGAAAAGGCAGCCATGACTCTGGCCTGCTGGCGCAACAAAGGCTTGCCATCTCTGTTATCTACACAGTGGAGACAATTACTCTCCCTAATTTTACAGATTGATGACTGGGCTATAGAGTGGCCAAATATTTCATCCAAGGTCACACAGCTGGGAAATGGCAGGGCTGCACTCAATCCTAGTCTGGTTTTGAAGTCTGGGTGCCTGACGAATAAGCTGTGCATTTTTCAAGAGAAGGCCTTCTAGAGAGGGTGTGACTTTGGTACTCTTGTCCTGTGAAATAAACTTAAAATAAGTTATCTTCGTGTCTAGTTATAGATGACATAGGAAGTAGGATAATGATTTGGTAATCAAAGAGCCCTTAACTCTTTTAAAATTATTGGAAGTAATAATAATGCTGTAATTCTGAGTCCTCCCAGTGCCTGATTTTGAATAACTCATTTTCCTTCTCTTTTCCTAGTGGGGATCATCAGTATTTCTTTGAAGACTTTAAAAATCTAGGAGGAAAGTAACCTAAAAGACAAGATAATGATAGATTTCAAGGACCTATAGATAATACATTTAGTCAAAAGTTTCAGAAATCCCAATGCATATTTAGTTTCATTTTTCTATGTGTTATTTTCAAATCCTCTCTGGGAGGTCACTTCTCCATGCTTATTTGAACAACTTGAATTTCTCCCGAAATTTCTGGTAGTAGTCATTAAAGGCACCTGACAGGGCTGTTGTTCAGCAAGAGAAGTCATTGCACAGGTTATGAGAGTTGGGACATGTGTCTGCATGAGGTGTTAGAGGGACAGAGAACAGGAATCCCACATCCCCATCACAGACATGGATGGACACACTCCATCTGCGTTTGCTCCCTGAAGCAGTAATACTTCCAGGCTGACACTCTGATGACCATGTCTTCTAGGATGCTCATTGGTAGCTCGTGCAAAGGATCACATTCTTCTTCTTGCTCTGGTTTATTTGCTCTTACCAAAACATAATTCCAGCTTTTCTGTTTATGAGTGTGTTCTTTCAGAGACTCTGAGCAATTTGAGAGATGGCTCATATGTCACTTACCTCTCCAAAAACAGAAACTGGCAGAATTTGGGCACTCAAGAAATGTTGGATGGATAGATGAATAGGCAAATGCATGGATGGACAGATAGTTGAATGAATGAATGAATGAGCCAGCAGATGGACAGATGGACAAATTGATGGATAGATAGAAGGATGAATGGAAATGAATGGATGGATAGGCAGGTAGATGGATAGATAGTTGAATGAATGGATAGATGGATGGATGAATGATAGAGGGATGGATGGATAGATGGATGGATAGACAGATAGATGGACCAATGGATGGAGGGAGCTTCACCAGTCCTGTGCTTATGGCTTAAGTGTAAAAACATCAGTGGATGTAAGCAGAAGAGGCCACACTGATCTCCTCTCACATACAACCACAGCAGGAAGTAAGTAACTGGGATTTCCACCCAAACTTGGTTCCCCTTAATTCCTGTGATCAGCTAAGGGTAAGAAGCTGTATGTGGGAATATTAGAGCAGAGAGGAGCAGGCAACATGGAGGTGGTTCCAATTCTGTCCAGAGGTGCCAGGCTGGAAGTCATGTAGGTGTCCCTTGTGGGAAGCTGGACAAGTGTGCAAGGAGAAGCATGTGAGAAACACCACAGTCAAGGGACATCTTACTGCCCATGAGCTGATTGGCTCAGGCTTTAAATTGAATACCTGTGTAGAAAACAAATGTCTATGACCAAGAGGATTCATAGTCACGGGACTGATCATAAAGTCTGGTCCGTTTCCCATTGGGTTATTTACAGGACATCAATCAAAGAACAGAAAGGATGCCCTCTTTTCCACTTTATCAGCTTAAATAGACTTTCTTAATGGAAAAACTCAACTCTTATTTTTCCTCTTCAAAAAAGGTAACTAGTGGGATAACAGAAGAGGTTTGCTAAATAACTTAGAGTAGATTCCATTCAGTTCTAAGTCCACCTATTTCAGCGACACTTCAGGAAGGTCAGTAAGGGCAAGGATTGTCCCACTTATCCAGCCCATTATTCTCAGTACTCTTTCTCCATATCTTTCTATTTAGGGGAAAATCTCCTTCAGTGAAATGTTGAGAGGTGATATGACATATGTGTGTTCCTTTTCCATTTCAAGGCTTGTGGCATGTGTCAAACAATCTGTAGGAGCTGGTGCTCCTGATCACCCCTGATCATTCCCCAAAAGCCCCTCTGTACCCAAATGCTTCTCAGCCAGGCTTGGCCTGCAGTCACTTAGAAGCACCCATCTGTGCCCATAGCCACATCCACATCTAAGACAGATTCCATCTGTGTTGAGGTTCATTCTTTGTTCCATTCAGGAATGTTCCTTAGTGGATCCTCCACCAAAATAAATAACTTCTTTTTAAAAAATATTTCCATAGACAGATAACAATGGTAGGTACCTTTAATGTACAGTCTTTTTAGATTTAACTTTTTAGGATTCCACATATACATAAGATGATGCAGTGTTTGTTCTTCTATGCCTGCCTTATTTTATTTAGTGTAATGTACTCCAAGTTCATCCATGTTGCTGCAAATGACAGGGTTTCTATCTTTTTTAAGGCTTAATAGTACTCCATTGTGTATATATTCATCACAGTTTCTTTATTCATTCATCTGTCGATGGACACTTAGGCTGATTCTTTATCTTGGTTATTATGAATAGTACCACTATGAACATGACAGTGCAGATATCTCTTCGACATACTGACTTCATTTCCTTTGGATATATACCAAAAAATCAAGAAATAAGATTTCTGGATCATAGGGTAGTCTATTTTTAATTTTGGGGGGAACCTCCATACAGTTTTCCATAATGGCTTCCCACCAAGAGTGTGCAAGAGCTCCCTTTCTCCACAACCTCACCAATACTTGTTATCTCTTGATTTTTCTATTTTTTTGAGACGGAGTTTCGTTCTTGTTGCCCAGGCTGGAGTGCAGTGGCACGATCTCGGCTCACCGCAACGTCTGCCTCTTAGGTTCAAGCAATTCTCTTGCCTCAGCCTCCCGAGTAGCTGGGATTACAGGTGTGCGCCACCATGCCCAGCTAATTTTGTATTTTTAGTAGAGACAGGGTCTCTCCATGTTGGTCAGGCTGGTCTCGAACTCCTGACCTCAGGTGATCTGCCTGCCATGGCCACCCAAAGTGCTGGGATTACAGGCGTGAGCCACCGCACCCGGCCATCTCTTAACTTTTTGATAAAAGCTTTCCTACCAGGTGTGAGGTGATAGCTCACTGTGGTTTTAATTTGCATGATGAGGAGTGATGTTGAGTATTTTTTATACTTACTGGACATGTGTGTACCTTTTTCTGAGAAATGTTTTTTTCAGGTCCTTTGCCCAGTTTTTAAATCACATTATTTATTTCCTTGCTATTGAGTTGTTTGAGTTCTTTATGTAGTTTGGAAATTAATACCTTATCAAATGCTATGATTTGCCAGTATTCTTTCCCTTTCTGTAGGTTTTGTCTTTATTCTGTTGAATGTTTCCTTTTCTGTGCAAAAGCTTTTTATTTTGAAGCCATCCTAGTTGTCTACTGTTGCTTTTGTTGCGTATGCTTTGAGATCATATTCAAAAAAATCTTTGCCCAGACCAATGGCAAGAAGCCTCTCCCCTGTGTTTTCTTCCAGTAGTTTTATAGTTTCAGGTTTTAGGTTTAAGTCTTTAATCCATTTTGAGCCGATCTAATGCCCTCTTATCTTTGCAATTTTTATACTTTTCTTTAACATTTTATCTCCTGGTTTCATTTCCCATGGGTCTATTTAGTCAATCTCCTTTTTCATTTATTTAGACCATATTTATTGATCTTGCCAGTTTAGTTTTTCCTCATTACTTTTCTCTTCTTCTCCATGCTTGTCACCTTAAAATATCTTACACCAGTGGTTTTTTTATTTTTTATTTTTTTTTGAGACAGAGTCTCACTCTGTCACTCAGGCTGGAGTGCAGTGGCACGATCTCGACTCACTGCAAGCTCTGCCTCCCAGGTTCACGCCATCCTCCTGCCTCAGCCTCCTGAGTGGCTGGGATTACAGGTGCACACCGCCATGCCCGGCTAATTTTTTGTATTTTTAGTAGAGACATGGTTTCACCGTGTTAGCCAGGATAGTCTCGATCTCCTAACCTCGTGATCCACCCGCCTTGGCCTCCCAAAGTGCTTGGATTACAGGCGTGAGCCACCGCACCCGGCCTCACCAGTGGTTTTTACCTGGAAGAAGGAGGCAGTGTGAGGAGGAAGGGGGTCATTTGGCACTGTCTGGAGACATTTCTAGTTGTCACAACTCAAGGGATAGAGGGGACTGTACTAACATCCAGTAGGCAGATGCCAAAGATGCTACCAAACAGCCCACAATGCGCAGAACAGAAATGTGATCGTGACAAGGTTGACAAATCCAACCTCGTACTATTACCAGGATCGTGGTTGTAGGACTTGCCAGAGTCCTAGAAGCAGAGTTGGGGGCACCACTGAAGTGGTGAGGAGGGTGCCAGGTGACCAATAGAACCATGCCAGAAGCCCAAGACGGAAGAAATTCCTACAGAGGTCAAAAGATCCCCTTAAGAGAGAAGCTAAGCACTAGGACCAGCAAGCTGGACCAGGAAGAGCAGTAGGCCTGTGATTGGGATGGTAGTGAAGGTGCCTGAGGCAAGGAATGGCTAGGAACACTAGGAAGCATTTCTCCAGAAAGATACCTCGCCAAGGGCTGGGGCCCTGTAGGTTGCCAGCACCAACCGTGTTCCAGGCTCTCTCAGGTGGTCTCCATAACTACCCCACTCACCTGCCCAATGCCTTAGAAGCCAACATTGTTATGCTGGCTCTGTTAATGAAAACACTGAGGCTCAGAGTTTAGATAACAAAAATTTTGAAGCTCAGAAAGGCTAAAGAAGAAAACCAAGGTGACACGGCCAATGATGCTAGCTGTGTTAGGATCAGAACTGAGGTGTATTGGCTGCTTTCCACTAAACCATGTTAAGCTAACTTACTAGTATACTACTGTTCTTTCAGTCTGCTTCATTATATGTAATACACTTGAAATTTCCTTTAACTTGAGCTTGGAGTTGGGCATTTGAGTTGACAACCCATCAGGCAGAAAGGAAGAAGGGAAGCCAGCCAGAGTGGAAGAGATGGTGGAGCAGAGATGGTGGAGAGAGGCCACCAAGAGCTCCATCACTAGGCAGTGAGTGTGAAGGGCAAGCATCCATCGTTTGGCTCATAGGTTTGGTGACCTTGATTTCAAGTGGAAAATTAACTATATTAAACAAAAAGGAACCCCTCTCCAATTCACACTGCAGACAGATGAGCTAGGGGTCTACACTCCCTTTTTCCCACTTCCTCTGTGTCTTTGATGACTGTATAACCAGATTCTCATGACACTCTCACCACTACCCCATTTCTCTTCCCAGCTTCTTCTGATCCTAGACCCATAGAGAGTGTCCCTGCTTAATAACACTCTGTAAAACATGTTGGTGATAGATAAGCCATCGGTAAATTTACTGAATGATCCATGTGGACATGACACTGCGTTAGAAAGTAGTCTTGAACATAAAGATTATATAGCATGAAATGGCTTCAGAGAACTTACTGTCTGGTCAGGGAGGCAAAGCCTAAGCATGAGAAATATTCAGTCAACAAAATGAGAATCGAGTGGCCTATCATTAATACCACAGCAGTGGCAGACCAGGAAAGTAACTGCTTGCTGAGTGGGAAGCCATGATCTGAAGAGAGTTCGGAGAGGAAGATGGAAGTCATTTTATTCCAGGGCTGGGGAAAGACAGAGGAGAAGAAATGAATGAGGCAGCCAGGTGGCTCCAGGAGTGCTCAGAGGGCAGTGAGGAAGTCACTGAGGCTCGCCTGTGAACAGCAAAATTGAAGCCAGGTCTTTGAATGCTGCAGTGAGAAGGTTGAACTTAAACCTGCAGACCAGGGACTCCTAAACTTGGCAGTACATAAGAATCCTCAAAGCGTTTGTTAAAATGCAGGTTCCCGGCACCCACCCTGAGAAACCATGATGAGTGAGGCAGAGAGGCCCAAGAATCTGCATCTTAATAGCCCTGTAGTCCCAGCCATACTTTAAGAACCTTTCTGTAACAGGAAGTCTTTGACTGGTTTTGATGAAGTCTAAATGAAATCTTCAGGAAACTTCAGGCCTAAGCAAAACTGAGCAGAACCTATTTTTACAGCTGACAACTGGCACTGCCTCTGGAGGGACCTCTATGTTCTAGCTGCTGTCTGGAGATTTTATTCATATACCATGGATTTCTTAGTCTAGTCTCTCAGTTCTCAGATACTACTACTAATTAAACATGACTCAGAAACATGCATTTTTAAATGTAGGCCACAAGATCCTAAAGCCAGTCTGAGATAACATTGGATCTAGAATATTCAAATATGGGCTCCAAATTCTGTACCATTACACAAAACCATTCAACTTCTGAAAAATGTGGACACGTGTGAGTTCTACCTGCAAGATGCAAATGTTTCATTGATAGGAAAGAACCTGTGGTTGGGCTGGGGTTTGTGTGTGTGTGTTTATATTTATTTGCCACATCCCACCCTTCCTCCCCCATCTCTTGGCTCAGAACCTAACTTCAACTCTCCCGAATCCCCAAGGCCACTCCCAACTAGGATTTTTTAAATACCTTAACCATTTCAAACTTTCCTTCCCTTTGGAACCTAAAGGAATTTCATTTTCCATTTTCCATTAGCAAGGTGGCTCCAGTTAAACCAGGGCCTCAGGAATAAATACAGCTTGGTTTAAATATTTGCACATCTATTAGGTTTTACTCTAAAGCAGACTGTCCCGACGACGCCTTGCTATTCACAGTGTGGTCTTTGGACTGGCAGCATCACTACCACCTGGGAACTTGTTAGAAGTGCAGAATCTGAGGCCTCAGCCCAGACCTGCTGAATCATCGTCCCCATTTGCTCAAGAGCCCCGTGATTGGCCTGATTTTCATGCACATAAAAGTTTAAGGAGCCCTGCCTAAATCTCCCGCCTCCAAGCTGTCCCCGAAATGTTGGCCTCTCTGCCTCTGGACGCTTGCAGAGATGGGGTAGTGGAATCAGTTTCATGTGGGGGTAGGGTGCGGGCTTCACCCCCTCCCTTCGCCCCCTGCCCCTCCACCCTGCCCTTCTTGATGCTCTCCCAGCGGCTGCACCTGCAGAGTTTTCACTTCTCTGGGAAGCCTCTTGACACAGACCCCGTCCTTGCCTCTAGGGTGGGGCCGCTCTACTTCTTTTCTTTCAAAGAGCCTGGGATGCTGACAGCCTCAGATGGAGGCATCCTGTTTGTCGAAAAATAAACCGGCAGTTAAAGCAGGGTTGCGAGAGCGAGAAAACCACAGGCCTGCGCGCCGCTGATAACGCGCGGGCAGGCAGCTTTTGCAGAAGTTCCGTCGCTGCGGCGCGCTGCGCACCAGAGCTGCGCCACCGCCTCCCTTCCTGTCTGGGCCGCTCGCGTCCCCGCCGTTTCTGGCTGTTGCTTTCTGCGTCGCTCTTTCAGTTACTTCGCCCATTGCTTTTTCTAAAGGATCCCCTTGCTGCTCCGCCATGAGGGATGGATCCACCAACAAGTCCCCGGGCGGATGCGCGCAGATCCTGGACCCATAGGAGGCCAAAATTTACGAGCTGTCATGAAAATGACACCGTTTAAGAGAAGCTGAAGTTGCTTTCTCTTCTGCAGTATGTAATGCTTTGACCTGGTTAAAATAAATAAATAAATAACAATTTAAAAAGAAAGAAAGAAATACAGAAAGACTACATCCTCATGAGGCCTGTAATGCCAAAATGAAAAGGGACCCCAAAGTGCAATATCCAGATTGCTTTTCTTCTTGGAGAGAGTTGACCTGGCCTGATTCTATGCGGTGAATAACTAATTATCAATCTTCCCCTTTTGAGGGGTATTAAAGCCTCTTTCCCCATTTGCCTGTTATCAGATAAGCTAGGCAGATGAGAAGTCAGTGGGTAACCACAGGTATAACCACGATATTCACTGGAAACCAAAAGA
The DNA here is from genome assembly GCF_000001405.40 of Homo sapiens. Classification (NCBI taxonomy): domain Eukaryota; kingdom Metazoa; phylum Chordata; class Mammalia; order Primates; family Hominidae; genus Homo; species Homo sapiens. Next base: position 35,026,248 of record NC_000021.9, on the reverse strand, counting down.
TTTGACCCCCCGAGGTAAAGAATGTACTTGAAAATAAACCTGAAAATAGTTTTACAGGAGCTGAAAAACTCAGTGTTCCCGAATCAGTAATACGAACTTCTCTGAGCATTAAAAAGTACAAGCACTCCTAAAAAGGACATCTTGAGTCACAGAAGATGATGCCTGTTGGGGTTGATTGAGTCCCTTTGGAAGAGACCCCTGTGCCACGGTGCACCAGAAAGTCTCCATCATTGTTGGGGCCTCTGCAGTTGTTCCAGCTACCCAGTGCTTTTTTATTATTCTTCTTGTCCGAAAACATAGAGTAGAAACAGTCCATACTCATTCCTTAATCTTCCTGTGTTCATAACGAGCAAGCACCCTAGATGAGTAAGAATCTACCTTATTTTTAAGAATTAGCAGAGAACCATATGAGTTTCCCTTTTCCTCCCCTAGAAACGTCCTCAGGTTGGCTAACTTTCCTATTGAGCAATTCCTCACAGCAATCACTCCGCACACCTCTCATCTGAGAGGCTGTCTTCCCATTCCTATGAGCTTTTCTTCCTCTGTCTCATGGCCTCACTCCTAATTATTCATGTTCTCCTGCTGAAGGCCCCTTGACCTAAATATAGAGACCCGTATATTTTGGCTACTCATGTATAGACCCTAATAATGAATAACTCAACTTTATGGTGACATAAAGGAGGAAAACTCAGGCCAAAGAATGTTTAATTCTTAGGGAAGAAGGAGAGAGCTGGCCAGGGATAGCGTGTGCTGGGTGTTAATAGCCACGTGCATAGCCTGTTGGGGAACTTGGCTCTCTCTTGAATCTGGTGCAGGGCATCGGAACGTCTGGGGGAGGAGCAGATAGGATGCTGCTCAGGTTGAACAGGGCTGGACCATGAGAGCTTTGAATGCACTCAAGAAGGAACTTTCTTCAGTGGGCCGGGGCCAGGCCAGATTGATGAATGATCGATTCCTATTATTTACCTTGAGGTCCTCATGGAGATATTTTAAATGGACTTCTTTCTCATTTATAAACTGTCATAAACAAATGACTAAAAGATGTCTAAGTGGTGACTAGAAAATAATAAACCTCATTTTAGCCATATATTTCAGAATTTACACATCTGTTATTGTAGTGTCCTTCAAAGTCATCCCCTGGGAGGGAGAGGGAGCACCATTCTAACAGCACCATTATTACTTTAAACATCTTCGGATCTGCTTTTTTGAAATGACTTTCAGAGTTAGTTTATTGGCTAAACAAGTAAATCCTCCTTACTTTTAAATCACACCTCATTTTTGAACAAGACAGGTATTGTCAAGCTTCCTTGGTCACCTTATTTGTCACCAGTCTTGATCTTAAATGCCTTCTGGCTGTTTCTAAAAATCAGACCCATCACTTATATTCCAGACATTGAGGCTATTCTAAAGCATATGCACCATTGTATGAATTCTAACTGGATGCTGAGAATTTCATCATCACTAGAAAAGAATGTCAAGTTGCAAAGTGACTAGGATGGAAGAGGCAGTATTAGCTACAACATCTTAGGTGTATGTTTAAAAAGTAATCTCCAAATTAGTCACACCTAGTTAAAAAGAAAATAAAAGCCTGGTGCTGTCATACTGTAGTACTTTCAGGGCAGGAACCTAACTATATAACTGATCCTCACTTTCTGAGAAGTTAAAAGGATGGGATGCAGAAAGTGAGTTAAAAGTCAGTTCTAAGTCTTTTGAAGAATGCCCAGAGGTCTACTTTTACCACAGACATGCTCTGATTACTAATAGCACACACATAAAGACATTGTGTTGTATTAGGGTATTGGTTAGGTTGCTATGAGAGAGAGATTCCAAATTATCAGGGCTTAAACAAGATAGAAGTGTGTTTCTCTCTCTTGTAGAAGTCTCAGTAGATTGGCATGGCATCTTCACAATCACAAAGAACCAGGTTTCTGCTACCCTGATGGGCTGCCTTCTGCAATGCCTGGCATTTACCTCATGGCTCAAAATGGGTGCTCCAGCCCCCAACATCACATCCACATTCCAGCCAGCAGCAAGAGAGAATATGGAAGGGGAAGATCTACTCTTTCCCTTGAAGAGCAGGATCTGAAATTTGCCCAGACACTCCTGCTGACAAATCATTGACCAGAACGTAAACAAACATATGGAGGCACCTAGCTGTAAAGTAGGCTGGGAAATACAGTCTTTTGCTGTGCAGATATGTGCCAGGCTAAATATTTATTTGTTTATTGATTTGTATTTATTTAATATGTTGATATATATTTATAATTAGTATATAGTATATATGTAAACTATATAAATATAGTAAAATATATAATAATTTAATACACACATATATAATAAAATATATTTCACCTAATATTTAATTTATGTGTTTATTATTTTTACAAAAGAAGTCTGTGACACCATAAAACTGGTACCCACAGATGCTCTCCTTATTCTCACTTCCACCCATCCTCAATTGTGTACCCACTTGTGAGCCGTCACTCCTGTAAATCAGGCAATGTTGACTGGATTCCTGTGCCCCCCTTTCATTTCCCACCCTCAGGCTCCAGTCCTGTCTTTATCCAGATGCATTCACAGCTGGAGACTAGCCAGGAGAGAAAGCAAACCATTGGCCTCAATGAGGCAGGGCTGGAGACCAAAGTGCAGGGAAGCCCTACTCTGCCCTGCTAGCCCCGCAGGTCAACTTGAACCACCTGAGTGCCTCTGGCCTCCCGGCTAGGGAGGAGACAGTCATCCACAGTCCAGCCCCCTGCCATGAGCTGCAGCCTCAGTCTGATCCACCCACCCACCTGGGACAGGGAGAGAGTGACAGAGGAGAAGGGAAATGCTTGCAGGTGAAAATCTGCCTGCTTTTCCTACAGCAATGACATATGGGCTTCGAGTAGTTTCTGTTTGCATCATCTCACAAGACTTGATTGTTAATTTTCCGGAGTTTTGCAGGCTGGCAGTTAAACAAAGACATCATGCAAAATTAAATTATGCAAACTTAAGAGTTAAACAAAGGCCAGGTGTGGTGGCTCACACCTGTAATCCCAGCACTTTGGGAGGCCAAGGTGGGCTGGTCACTTGAGCCCAGGAGTTTGAGACCAGACTGGGCAACATGGCAAAACCCTGTCTCTACAAAAAAGTACAAAAATTTTCCAGGAATGGTGGCATACACCTGTAGTCCTAGCTACTGAAGAGGCTGAGGCTGAAAGATCACTGGCCCTGGAGACTGAGGCTGCAGTGAGCCGTAATCATGCTACTGTACTCCAGCCTGGGCAACAGAGCAAGACCTTGTCTCAAAAAAAAAAAGGTCAAAATCACTAAAAAATAATCTCCGCCTTATTATTATTATTATTATTATTATTCAAACAGAGTATCATTCATGTTGCCCAGACTGGAGTGCACTGGCGCGATCTCGGCTCACTGCAACCTCCACCTCCTGGGTTCAAGCAATTCTCCTGCCTCAGCTTCCTGAGTAGCCGGGATTACGGGCACCCGCCACCACACCCCACTAGCTTTTGTACTTTTAGTAGAGATGGGATCTCACCATGTTGGCTGGGCTGGTCTCGAATTCCTGACCTCAGATGATCCGCCCGCCTCAGCCTCCCAAAGTGCTGGGATTACAGGCCTGAGCTACAGCGCCCAGCCTCTGCCTTATTATTTTATTGCAGTTTACAAAGATCTATATGCACTTGTTTCTTATCTCTAAATGGTGGAAATGCTCTAACATAGAGTGTTGCTGTGAGAGGAACTATAGTGATCAGCAGTGATTGCTGAAATCTGCACATGTTATAAGTCAAAGCTGTTTATCCTGAAGAGCTGGTTGTTAAATGTTCCCCAGCTCCTGCTGGTTTAGGGATAGGAGATTACTGATACCAGACACCCTTCAGGCACTCCTGCGGGGCGCAGGCTAGAAAACCAGCGGACTCCATCAAGAGTAAGACCGAGAAGGAACCTCTCTTTACCACCCAGCCTATCTCTCAACATGCCCTTGCCTGCACACACCTGGTGCAGACGCTTCCACCCTCTTTCGTCTGTTCAAAGGTAAGCCACATTCCTTTGCCCGGTGCTGCTGGTAAACCACGGAACCGCCAATCAGCTCCTTCAAGACTATTGTCTACACCCGCTCTCAGCTACATGTTAGCCCGTGTTCAGTCTGGAGGGGACAATGATCCCCAGCAAACTGCTTCTGAAGCTGGAGTTGACTGTTTCACAATATAAACACATGTATTTCACATTGATATGTGTCTTGGGGATCATTCTCGCCTGCTCCTGGAGTTCTTGCCAGCCTCTTAAATGGGAACTCCTACCCTTTTGGAAGCATTGAGAGAAGAGCTCTGAGCTTCTATCTGCCTCTGCCTTCTTCCGCCTTATGAGAGGAGAGGCACATCCAATGGGAGAGATTGAGAGAGGCCTTCTGGGGACAGCCTGCCTGATATGGTGCATTCTCCTCTGCCTCTGTCTCCCTGGATGAGGCCTGAGGCAGGGCCCGCTCCCACCCCAGCTATGTCCTGATCTCAGGGCTCAGCAGAGATGAGGTCAGCGCAGGCCCCTGTGGCTGGCTGGGTAGGTCCCTGCAGGTACTTCTCATGCTCTGGAAGAAACCCCAGATGGGCTCTTTCTCCAACTCAACTCTACAAGCAAAATGCTGGTATTTACTTCTTCATTTGATTTCAGGGGTTTATTTCTCAGTTGCTTCAGAGCTTGACATGGGGAAGATAGTAATGTTTAGCTCAGTGTATTTATATATTATGTGTATGTGCACACGCATAGTGCTCATAGTGTATTTAAGTGACTATGTTTGGAGCTTCTATCATTATTGCTTATTCCACAAATAGCACACAGAAACATTTTCCCTGATAGAGAAAAAAATCAGCACCTAGAAAGTTAAGACCATTTATTTAGTTAGTTCATAAACACTTAGACAGTGCTCGCTCGCTATGTGCCAGGAATTGTTCTAGGTGCTTTGCAGATAATAACTCATGTAATCCTCAGAACAATCTTTACATAGTAGATACAGCTATTCACCCCATTTTGCGGATGGGAAACTGAGAAACAGATTGGTGTGCAGGGTTACAGGGCCTGACTCAGACTGACTCAGACTTTCTGGCTCCATGGTTCAATTTTACTTTGCCAGTCATGGGGAATGAGCATACTCCAAAACCTAGGGACAGAGTATCCCTGGTGGACACTGCCAAGATGGAATTTTCTCTTGAGAAAAGACTAAAGCTAAACATGTTATTGTCTCCCCAAAGTCATTACCCAAGTGCCTCAGCCAGCCAGCCTGAAGGTAAGTGGAGATGATGGGAAGCCCCAGATTCTTTGTGGGGACCTCATTCCCCTTCTCAAAGCTACTGACAAGGACTTAGGTCAGAACGTTCCATAAGTCCCCATAGAAGCAAAGTGTACTTTTAAAGGTTGTAAATACATTTTATAAATGAGACACTATTTAAAGGCATTAAACAAGCAACAGACTTCATTTATTTAGTTATTTGGGGGTTTTCTAATCAAGATTCTCACTTGCACATCAGCCTAGACCACAGAGAATCAGTCCTGGCTTAAATCTAAAACTGAGATGGATGATGGGGCAAGAGGAGGAAGTCGATGCAGCAGCCAGGTGACGTTGGCAGCTTCCTCTTCCCCATCCTCGAGGGGACAGTGACTAAGAGAGTACCTGGACCAATGTTTGTGGGTGCTCATGGAAATTCCTTTGCATAAGCCAAACTCTTTCGGGTCTCATTGCCTTCTACTTTATCCTCCCAGATCTCACCTCTGCTTGCTTTGCCTTCTCAATAAAAAGCCTTAGGAACATCCCCAAAGGCCTCAGACATTAGAACTAATTACATCTGTCTTCAGGAGCCACTTTCTCCATGAGGGTGATCAAACCCAAACACAGAAGCACTGTGTTTTCTACCCGTGGGTCACAGCAGCCCAGGATTCATCTCTGCTCCATTAAAAGCATGATGCTATGATGAAAAATGCTCAAGGGATCATTCTTTTGTTTATTACCAGGTCCTCTGGAAAGTAAGGTCGGGGAGGAACTAATGAAAACTTTCTATAGAGAAGGGGAACAGTTGTGCTATTTTGGTTAAAAAAAAAATCTAATTGCAACTCTTAAAGATTTAGAAAATAATACTTTTTCAGTTTTTTTATTGCTATATATACAGTATTAAATCATTTTGACTTGTTTTGCTGTTTTCCATATTTGAAATATCTGGAATTGGGAAACCCTAAGACCCAAGATGAATCCTGGTCCGCCTAAGACTATGTAAACAGCCCATTATCTGCTTCCCCGATACCAAGTTTGTCATGAAATTGACAGCTTCCTGATAAGGGCTTTCTATTTCTATAACCAAGCAGCCCTTCGCTAGAATCTTCTGGGGTCAGGAGAAAGTTGAAGCCGCGTGCACTGATCAGTGCACGATTTTCCCAGTGAGTAGCTGTGTGCAAAGGGCAATGCTAATTGTCCCCTTGTTCTGGCGATGGACTTGGCTTCGGCAGGTTTGGGTTTATGATTAACTAGGCAGAAGGCTGATTGTGGTTGTCGATCCCTTCCCTGGAAGGTTGTTTGCATAGGTCTTATTCAGCTTTCTGGGGGGTGTGGGTGTGATCCTGTGTGAGGTGCAGAGGCTCAAGGGCTCAAGGAGGTTTGCCACATTTTCTTGCTGTGATTCCAGAATGCTTTGTCCGAATATAGATAATCATTGAATTATTTTAATTTTTTCAGCATTAGCATTTTCTATGAGGTTGTTGCTAACTTGCTCAGTGCACTGGCAGTATTATGCCAGGCCTCTTACAGACATAAAAGAAAGCTATGTATCTTTGTCTCCCAGCAGTTTGAGGACAGAAGACATATACCTGTGGAATAGGTGGGGAGAATCTTAAACTGCACAGGACTAAGCAGGGCATGCAGTAATACCATAGCCATTCAGACGACTGGAAGGCTAGAAGGTGTCTCGAGCCATTACAGAGGACTCAGGTCAACTTAGGATTTTGCTGTTAAAGGAGAACAGGGAAAGGTATCCAGGAGAAGAAAGCAGCACCTGCAAGGCAGGAAGTGCCAGGTGTGGTTGAGGACGATGAGTGGATCACTTCAAATGAAGGGGATGCAGTGTTAGAAGGTAATGATGGGATGGTTGACCAGTTCAGGTTAGCCCAGGCCAATCTAAGCCAGATGGTAAGACTTCCTCCTGAAGGCAGTAGAGACCTATGGAGACTTTTGAGCTGAAAGTGTGGTGAAATTATTCCCTGTTTCCCTTCAACCCCCAAAGAAAACCAAGCTGCCTTTGTTCGAACAACTAACGTTGGCTGAGGGTGCTTGGAGAGTCAGCCCCAAGCTAAGTCTTAGGCCTCCAAAAAGATTAAGATAATCCCTATTCCTGAGGGGTTCCTGATCTCATGCAGGTTCACTGCAGATCGTTGGGCAGGTTGGACACTGTACAAAGGCACCCCACTGAGGGGGACTGTGGGAGGTGAAATCCAGCCTTGGCTCTGCTTGCCAAATCAAGGGTCCCAGGGTGAGGTGTGACTGCGTAGAGGAAGGGGCACCTTTTTCAAACAAAAGGATCATCCACTCACCAAGCTGTGTTCCTGAGGGGCTGCGTATGTCCAGAGTGCCTTATTTAATTCCCCCAAGTTAAGTGATAATTCAAACGATATCAGATCACACTAAGAAATCAAATTACTTGGGCCTACAGAGGAAAGATTTCTTATGAAAGGTTTGTAAGATATATGCATTCGTCCGCTCAGGCTGCAAAGTACCACCGACTGGAGGACTCAAGCAACAGAAATTTATTTTCTCCCAATTCTGGAGACTGGAAGTCTGGGATCAAAGTGTTGGCAGGGTTGGTTCCTTCTGACAGCCATGAGGGAAGGATCTGTTCCAGGTTCACCTTTTGAGATACTAGGGGCTGGGCCTTGGAAATATGAATTTGGGGCCAGGCGCAGTGACTTATGCCTATAATCCCAGCACTTTGGGAGGCCGAGACAGGCAGATCACTTGAGGTGAGGAGTTTGAGACCAGTCTGGCCAACATGATGAAACCCTAAAAATACTAAAAATGCAAAAATTATCTGGACATGGTGGCATGTGCCTGTAGTCCCAGCTACTCCAGAGGCTGAGGCAGGAGAATGGCGTGAACCAGGGAGGTGGAGGTTGACGTGAGCCAAGATTGCACCAGTGCACTCCAGCCTGGGTAACAGAGTGAGACTCCATCTCAAAAAACAAACAAACAAACAAAAACAGGAAATATAAATTTTGGGGTATGGGCACAATTCAGCCAGTAACAATATACTATACTCTCCATATTATTCATTGATTTAATATCTGGGGTGCCCTTGCTGGACCCAAAGCTACCAGCCCTTCCAATTCAAGTGGACAGTTCCACCGTTAAATCTTTGTTCTTTAGCTAAAGACTTTACTTCTTTCTCTGGAAGGACTGCTGGTCCTTTGCACCCGGGTGAATGCCCTGCAGCTCCTTTCCTGAAGACGGCTATGATAAAAGCCCACTGGAGAACACAGAACTATGAGAAGAAAGATGGCTAACACAGACTCCCCAGTGCTCAGTCCCCCAAAACATAGACCCAGAGTGATTCATAGCAGGGCAAACTTAGAGTTCCCACGTTCCCTGCTCATTTGATAGATCAGCACCTTCTGGCCCACGGAGGTGAAATAACTTATCCAAAGTCACACCAGATAGCCTGAAAAGTAGACCTCAGGTGTCCTCATTTCAGTCTCCTTGGCCCCTATCACAACTGGCCCCAATACTCTCTCATGTTTTCCAGTTGCTTAGGCGTGTGTAAAATGAGCCTGATCCCTAACCAAAATGTGACATTCTGACATCTGCAAATTGATGATGCAATTGTCCCCCCACTCTCCTTTCGGCACCCTTTGTTCACTCGGAGCTCCCCTAGCACAATAAGCTTTAGATTCTTCATTCCTGACAAGCCACATAGGTTGTGAGAATTATTTAAATATAAAAAGCACGTGTGCTGATCTGTCAGCATACCCCAAGACTTTGCATATTGAAGTCTCTGATCTCAAACTCTGGAAAGAAAGGCTTTACCCCTATCAAAGGCATTTCTTACCCTAAGAAAGTGGAGGAGGTCTGGGTGCAGGGAACAGAAGGTAGACAAAGACTGATTCCCCACTTCATACCTCCTAAATCACAAGTGAGCCCAGCTTGATTCTGAGGGAGGCCAGCTCCACCCACTCCTTCCCACCCCCTCCCATTTTTGCCTCTTTTCCATTTAAACCCTCACCCCCTTCCCATTACTGCTCTTTGGGCCCTTACTCTGCACTTTATGAGCTTCTCTGCCTGCCACCCACCCCTAGGCCTTGGCTACTCTGTATCAGCTACACACACACACACACACACACAATGTGCACACACTGCAAGTCCCAGAGATTCTACGGATTCTGATACAACAGGCTCTTCAGTAGGCTAATGTAGAGCCTCTTGGATGGGAAGGACATGAAACAGCCCTGGATGGAAGGGGGCCTGGGGCAAGTGCTAAGAGGTCCCCAGCATTCCTGTCTTGGTCCCTTTATACCTGGACCCTTCAGGCCCCAGAAATGGGGTATCAAATGACTACACTAGCCCCTGGACCATGGGTCAGGACAGATTAAGGCTGTTCTGTCCCCTCAGGCAGAAGAAGGAGCAGGATGAGGGAATTGAACTGTACCTATTTTATAATTTGCCTGAGTTTAAGAAAGGGAGAGGATGCTGCTTCTTCCTCCTCCAATATGCAGTCCCTCATCTTAGGACCCAGATCTCCAATTACTTCTGCAGCTGGCGTATGGTGGGCAAAACAAACTCCAATGGGCCTGGGCTATTCCATAAGCCTTATTCCCACTGTAACTTTATTTTAATAGAAAGCTTTACTCAAGCCCCAAACAACTGACTCACCAGTGCTCTTTAGGAGAGAAGCTGTCTACAAGAAGCTGTGTATGTCCTGCAACCTTTGTTCTAGATCAGCCACTTCACCTTGCAGTCACACCCCACGCGCAAGGGAAGCAGAGAGCACTGAAGACAATGGCATGTTGGGTTGCAGAGAAACAGCAGTGGAAATATAGCTAACCATATCCAAGGCCTGTCTTAGGCAAAACTGCAAAACAAGCATTGTTTCCATTATGCCCAGCATCCCCATTTGGTCTCTTTCCCATTGATGGACTCTTCAGCGTTTTCCAAAGCTGTTATTAGGTGACCAGGCTACTTGAGTAGTTCTGAAGCCTAAAATAACATGTATCAAGTATACTATCATAATGAAATGAAACTCACAACAAAGGTCACCCAATACACATTTGATAATTTCTGTAATTGCTACTGGGCTGCAGAGTGTGGTGCAGGACAACTTGTACACTGGAGTCATAAAGACTGAGGCTTAACTCTCTGCCCTGTCATTAACTAGCTCTTGACCTTGAGTGACCTGTCCACCTCTCTGAATCTCAGTTTTGTTGTCTGTAAAACAGGGACAACGCTTACTCCATAGAGTTCTTGTGAAGTTAGTGGGAGATGATGCAAGTCAAGTTCTCTTCTAGTCCAGGGCCTGGAACACAGTAAGCACTCAACAGATGCTCCTTTGCTTCCTCCTTCCTATGTGATCACTAAGTATGCCTAGTAGGCCATTGACTTTCGCATGATCAAAGCCTGAGATGAGTTTTCTAGTACTTGTTATGAGTGGCTGTGTTTGATGTTCGCACCTCAGCCACCACCTCTTCCACCACTGGCATCATTGTATCTCATTATTGGCGAGTAGGACGAGTTTCTTTTACCATAAAGCACCTTCTGTGATAAAGCAGCCTTCATCCTTCCAAACCCATTATCCCATGGTAAACATTCTCTTGTCTCCTAAATATGCTCAAGAGCTTCTCATACCAAAAACAAGGGGAAGAAAGCTAACACCTAAATATCCTGCCTTGGCTTCCCCTAGCAACAACAAGAAGAAGAATTATTAATTATTATGTGGTGTCTATTCTAAGCACTTCCCATATATTACCAAGTTTAACCCTCACAGCAACCCTCTGAGTTAGGTAGGATTATGATCCCCACGTCACAGGTGTGGAAGTTGAAATGCAAAGGGATTTAGGAACGTGCCCAGGATCTCACAGCCAGGAAAAGGCAGAGCTGGTGAATGAACCTGGGCAGTTTGACTTCAGCATCTCCGCGCTTATTCACTCCACGTTGCTGCCTCTTCTCCATCAGCTGTTTTCTCTCCCTCTTCTCCAAATCTGTCAAGAGTTGAGTGCACTCCCTTCCTTGTTTCCTCAGTTCCTACCAGGACAGCTGTGTGGGCTGTGCAGCATATGCTCTGCTATCCAGACCTTGTGGGAAACCCAGGGAGGGAAGACCAGGCTCTGATCAGAGCATCACCATGTGCTGCCAAGGGAGACGAACAGAGAAGTCGCAATAGTGCAGCAGTGAGTGCTGTGATGGATGTTTACAGGGAGCTGAGGGCTCCATGGCACACAAGAGTAAACGGCTGCCTCGGCAGAGAGGGCTCAGCCCCGTCTGTGGCTGGAAAGCAGAGCTCTGAGGACGCCCTGGCAGTGCCCATGGAGGAAGCTCCGATTTGCTAACATGGGTTGCTGTTACCAAAAGCACACATTGTAAAAACTATGGGGCAGTGGTTTCTACTGGCTCCCCTGGCTTAACATGTTATGGTTCTGGGTTTTCAGAACCACTGATAAGGAGAAAGCCATATCATGCTTGACCTTCCCAGGAACTCTTTGGAGATAAGCTGAGCCCGGATGTTTATCTCCTTTCCGTATATGTGGAAACTGAGACTCATGCGTTATGAAATGTGCCCAAGGCTAGAGATGACTAAGTATCGATCCTGGACTAGAAGGAAAGTCACCAGATTCCTAATCAAGTGTGTCTATGCCACTACTCCTCACCTGAACAACTATACACCTAGGCAGGATGTTTCATTGTTTAATTCAGTTGCTGCAGGAGATTGAAATATTAGACTGATTATGTATGGCACGCAACATGAAAACTGGACCCTTAGATACCAGCTGAAATTGTCCATTTCCTTAAAAAATCCAATTAATTAAAGTACAGCTGATTCTGGTTAACTAAGATAACTAAGATATTAATTTTTAAAATTATGTGTACTTTTGTCTTATTTCAAAAGTTCATTGGAGCAACCTTAAAACATCAGACATGTTTAAAGAAGTTAACATGACCCATAATCCTAGTAATTATTCCAGGTCTCCTGTTATCATTTGATGTCCTTTTTTCCATAATGTTAAAATGTATTTTTATTTGGCATCATACTCAAAGTGCTGCTTTGTAAACTACTTTTGTCTCTTTTAAAATGTTATGAATGAATATATTTTATTCATTAAAAATTCTTCTAAAATATCACCTTAATTTTTGCATGAATTTCTATAACACAGTAGTTTACTTAAATGGCCTTAAATTGTTGATAATTTAGATTGTTTCTAATGTTTCAGTATAATAATGTTGCAATGAACATCTCTGAACATAATCTTTGGGTGCATTTCTGATTACTGCCTTAGGATAAGTTCCTAGAAATAGACATCTGTTTCAAAGGCTACAAGGATTTTTAAGAGTTTTGGTACGGACACATTGCCCTTTCTGGAAAGGCTGTGCCAACTTATATTCCACCCCACAGTGCATGACGGTGGCTATTTTGCCTCCACTCTTATCATCACTGGACATTATCTCCACTTTGTTTTATTATTTTTTTTCATTGTAACTTCTCTCCAATTTGGGGATGAGGGTCTTTAATAAACTCAACTTTGCAATAACCTTCACCTCTCGTAATAACTTCTCAGAGTTGCTGTTATTCTGGTAGCCATTTCTTCCTGTCTGCAGAGCTGTGAAAAGCAAATAATGAATAAACTCAGTTGATATTCAGTTATAAACTAGATTTATATGTATAAAGGTGCTTATGTGTTGGTCTCATTTAGATTAGATTTTATAATATGCAAGGGCCAACTGTCAAATGTGTTGCCTCAGACTTTTTTTCTTTGCTGCAAGGCAAGGGTGAAAATTCAACTAAATCTATAGACCCCCAATATAATGTTATTTACTTACAGGTACCAATGGCTTACAAAAGGCAGGACATTTTTAAAGAAGGTAAATGATGTAGATGTGTGTATTCATATTGGGATAGTATGTTTGTATACATGCGATAACATGGACGTTCACGTTGTTCAGTCATCGCAAGAACTAGTGTTTAAATCAGGGCTCAGCAAACTGAAGTCCGTGGGCCAAATCTGGCCTGAGCCTGATTTTGTAAATAATGCCTTATTGGAATACAGTCATGCCCGTTCATTTATGTATTATCGATGGCTGCTTTCTTGCTGTGACAGAGTTGAGTAGTTTTGATAAAAACCTTATGCACAAAGCCTAAAATATTTATTGTCTGACATTTTACCATAAAAGTTTTCTGACGCCTGATTTCTACTCTACTTTAGAGTATCTAAAGGGTTTTCACCGAGAACACTTTCCTTTCTCTTTACCATGCTGTGACAGCAAGTGTAATCATTCATCTCAATGTATAGATGTGTAAATGAATCTCTTCAAGGTTAAATTATTGTCCAAAGTCATGCTCAGAGATTTTGTCATATGTCCATATAGATGTGGACATATGTCCTATGTCATATGTCCATATAGATGTCAAACCTGTGGGTCACTAATTTTTATTAATCCAAGTATTTTGTTCATTAAGAGAGAGTCGCCACCTCTAAAAGTGGATACCATTCAAGTCGATCTTGCCTTAATGATTCAGAAACCTGAAGCATCTTCAGAAATATCTGAGAGTTATACAAAAATCTATTAATTTATCATGGCTCAGAATTATAGATGTGAGAAATAGTCTGGAATCCCCTACAAACTTTGTAAAAGTGACTTTAACAAAAGAATAATTTCCCACTGTAATTTATTAATATTCTACTTGTTTTTCTCTCATAATCCTAGAAAAGGAGGTCATGTGGGTATTTGGGCTTTTGGACTGCTGGGCCTGATAAACAGGAAGGTCTTGGAAATTTCATCACGGACAACTAACCTGTACTCTTGGAGCAAGGCATCCAGACACATACACAAATAATAGATGCACATGCCAGCCGATTTTTAAACTTGCCTATTAAATTTGAATCTCACGTTAGATATGGAGGATTAAGCTAACGATCATATTTACTTTAGTCAACTATTTTTTAAAAAATCCCCCTAATTCAAAGTTTGTTTCTGACCAGCTACCTTCTTAATCCTGTAGCACCTGCCAGAAGACATCCAATAACCCACTCTTTAGGTCAGAGAAAAACATACAAAAGAGAAAGCTTTGGCTGGAATGACTCATGTTACAAGCCAGCTGCTTTCCAGAATCCGTTAAGCTTTAGGGTCCAGATCTCTTTTTGTGGCTTTCTACAGACTTTATTTGAACAGAGAAATTATAACAACACTGCCCACATAAAAGTCAAGGAAAGAAGCTAGTTGGGGTAGCGAGGGTGCCCTAAATCTTACTATACTTTAAAACAAAATGGTAATTAGCAAGAATTCTTGTCTGTTTCATGATGATAAATGCTCTTCTGCTTCCACTCGCTGTTGAAGTGATGAAACATGGATGGGATCAATTCCACTTGACAGTCAGCAGAGCTCTTGTCCACAGGCAGTGGCCATGGAGGGCGCTGAAACCCCTCCTGGCATTTTTTTATTAATGTAGATTTATTGCTTACCCTCCTCGGTTTCCTATGGATAATGCCAAGTTGTTTTAAGTTCTTTTCTGTTTCAACCCACGGAGGGATCCACCTGATCCCCAGACATTAACATATGAGTTGACAGCAAAGAGCCATGTCTATTCCAGGGATGGAACCTTTACTTTATCCCAAGTGACAACTCTTATGAATTAGTAGTGGCTGTCTCACTGCCCCGGAGCTGGGGCTTGAGAAGGAGTCTCGGTAGGAAAGTTGCCTGGATCAATTGTCATGTGTGTCATGGGCTTGGGATCAGGAAAAGGCCTGAGAAGGTGAAGCATCTTCACTATTCCTGAACTACTTAACCCTTTCCCTGTTTGTCCCAAGAATACTCACCAGCAGTGCTTGCAGGTGCACCATTTATCCCCAGTTAACTTTGCCATGAAATATCTCACTTTCATTGTTATTCACATCACTTTTAATGGCAAAAACCGGAATTATTTCTGCACCAACCTACTAGCAAATCGACTCTGGAAACAAAAGATATCATTCTATTTATAGCATTTTGATTTTGGTAGTGGTATCTTCACTTACAAAATATAGTAATTCTCAGTCACTGAAAATGTGAATTCTAGAAAACATAGCATTCCTACCTGTGATGTTCACATCATTCTCGAACAGTTGTTGGCTAAAGATGCATTTGATGAATCCGATTTTTCCAGAATAGATGATTCTGATGTTTCAGATGATTCTAATGATAGTTCTGTTTGGAAATAACTCCAAAAACAGTTTTTAGATTTTATTTTCACATTGAAAATCAGAGAGATTTTCTTCAGCCTCAACGAGTGTGTTTATGTAAAATTACATGAGTGCTGGCAGCGAGTTGCACATTTTTTTCTAAATGGGAATGGCCTGGGGTAGTTTCCTGTGTAGGACTTTGTGAATGAGTGTGTGTGTGTGTGTGTGTGTGTGTGCGTGTGTGTGTACTCACGGTAGTGTGACTGACCATATTTTATGTTTACCTGTTGATTCATTTAACAAACTATTATTAAACATCACTCTCTACCAAGTAGCATCACAGAAGCTAGGAAGAGAGAGAGAAATGCAACAGACAGCCAGGCAAAAACATTCTCGTCAACAAAGGACATGTCTTAATGTGAAGTGTCTGGTAAGAAGGCACAGAGCACCTAATTGTCAGGTGCTTTGAACCTCTGCATATTTAAACATTAAGGCAGAAGACCAGATTTTTTTTTAAAAAAAGGAGTGTAATTGATGGATTAAATTCCTAGCAGTTGTTGTTACTACCCCAAATCTATATTGGATATGTTTTTAAAAATAATGTTTTTGGAGCTTATGGAGTAATAATGCCTTGCTATTGGTATAAATTTAGGGAGGAAAAAAAAACACCTTGAAACCAAAATATGCAATATGGTTTTGTATGCCTTATAGCCAGAGATGAAACAGAACCCAACTTAATATTGCCACACAATATTCAGCTGTCACAGACGTCGTGCTTTCTCTGAACAGTTCTAACCTAGGCCCTCATTACCAATATCAACTTTCTATGCAGTTCTGTGTGAACACTCAGGATAGACTTTCATCCAGCCTAGTTATACCAGCGTGTGATTTGTCTAACACAGCTTCAGCATCAACTGATAGGACCTTAATGCTTGCAAGTGGCATATGGTCATCTGCTCATCTTTTACATATAAGAAAACTAAAGCACAAAAATGTTGAAGTATTAGGCCCAAGCTCCATGTTTGGTTAGTCAAAATTTTAAACCCTCCTGAAAAAAAATTAGAGTCACCCTTTAAGTATTTAGTTTCCATATTTTTTACTCAGTCACCTTCATTCCATCTAAATCAGAAGCATGGTGTGTCCCTGTTGTCCCTTAAGGGCTGGCAAGAGGAATGAGCAGGGCCAACTCTGACCAGTCCAGGTCACAGTGCATAAATGGGAGAAGTGCCCATTGTCCTCTAGCAGGCCTGGCTCCATGAAGCCTTTGAACCACCTTGATCTCCGTTTTTCAGTGATGCATGCTTAGGTGGCTGAGATGCTCATATAAGTGTGTCTTATCCCAGGAATATAATAATGTGTAATTAACACTAAAATTGCATTGACCGGAGTGTAATTATTCTTTGGAGAATCCGCCCAAACTTCATGGGCTTGTAGTGCCTCAAGATTATATTGGTGAACAACACTCACTCGGTGGGGTTTGTGCAGAAGTGTTGGTTCCTTCCTTGTGGATAAACTGCTAGAAAGCAGAGAAGACATCGGGCAGGATTTATTTCAGTCTTTAAAATCATATAACATTTTCACAATCCCAATTTGGGCCCCTAAAAGAACACGTGATCTAGCAGAGAGTTTTATCCTCGCATCAAATGCTAACAGTTGTTTTACCAACAACATTTGTGAGATTTTAAGAATAGGATACATCATGGAAAGTTTCAAGTGCAGTGGAGTTGGCACAGGGTTAAAAGATGCAGCAGGACCTCCCTCCTGATAGACCAGATTTCCTTTTGACGCAGTTCTAAATTCTTCAGGGCCAACAGGGAGACCACTGATAATTGCCTGTAATTCAACACACACACGACCTGCTCTCCTAAAGCCAAGCATCAACCTCTCCATTACAGTCGGTGGGCTCCGTTTTTTGTTGTTGCTGTTTTTCTTTTCTTTTCTTCTCTTTACCTTTCTTCCCTTTGGATCAATGGCTCTTTTCATGCAAGGTCCTACTTGACGTTCTAATAGAAGTGTAATTTTATCTTCTTCCAGAAGCCTACCTTATTCAAAGTCTGTAATGATCATTCCATAATCAGTATGGTTAGAAGCACCGAGTCCACCACTAGGTATCTGCCATATCGGTGATGAAGGAGAAGAGGGTGAAAGTGGCAGAATTAACCATGCTTGAGCATGTTCTGGGCTCACTGCTATAGAACTTTGATCTTTAAATATTCTTGCAGTGCACATTCAGCAAATATACTGAAGTAACAAAATTAGAAAGTCTGCCTATGCAGATGTGCACAACCTAACTTTTCCCTTTTTCTCTTTAAATGCTACTGTGGTCTGCCCCATCCTCATCAGTCCTCAAGGAATTCTCCCAGCCCAAAGCTGAGACAAGCCTGAGCATCGATCCTTCCAAAGACGTGTTAGGTTGACCCTTGTCTTTGCCTCAAGTCACCCTCACGTATTGAACACCTTCCAAATGGTGGCTGGAAGTTGATGCTAGTTGCTATGGAGGAGGGAGGATCAGAATGTGAAGAAATAACCACCAAATACTAAAGAAGTCCTCCTCTAGATGAGAATGGAAATGCTCACATACATTCCCCTAATATGAGGCCAACTCGAATGTGTACATGGCACCACCATGAAATTGCCATTGGTTGTAGGAAGATGAACCAATTCTGTTGGGGGGAGGGGCAGGGAAAGTTTTTGGAGAATGCAGGTTTTAACTGAGCCCTCAGGTTAGATGGAACTCCCCAAAGCAGATGAGGGAGTGAAGAGGACATTGGTGCCAAGGAGCACCATGGATCAGACACTGAGAGCTAAAAAGGTACAGCATGTGTTTGTGAAAAATAGCATGGCCCAGGGGTGGTGGCCGTGGGGTAGATGGGAGGAGGCAATGGAAATAACAGGGAATAAACCTGGATCCATAAAATGGGGCTGAGTTCTAAAGGGCTGTGAATGCCAGGCTGAAGAGCTTGGGTACCAGGGAGGATCAGGGACATATTTTAAAGCTGGAACATGAAATAGTTCTGGATTATAAAAGGATCTCATCGGCGTTTGGGGGTAATAGGAAGATAAGTAAGCTGATCAGCTTGGAGGATGTTGAAACAGTAAATATCACAAAATAAAGGGCCTGAACGAGGGTGGTGGCAGTGAGAGTGGAGAAGAGGTAGGAGAGAGGCCACCAAGGGGGTTGGCAGATGACTTGCTTCTGAAGAGCAAGGAGTAGAGGCCAGCAAGAGGTGACATGAAGGTCTGGACTCTGGTACCCAAAAGGGCTGCTATCCTGGAGGAGAAACACTGCAGGGAGACAAAGGGTGGAGCCAGGGAAGGGGAAGTGGTGGCACATGTCTGAATATATTGAATGTGGTGGCTTTAGCACATCCAAAGGACGGCGGGTCACCTAGAGAGCAGGGCTAACTGCAGGGATGCAGGGATGGAGACCCAACCGGGCCAGGGCATTAAGGCACAGTTCTGGGGTGGGGCTGGGGGAGAGCATTTCCCCCAAAGCCTGAGAGAAAATGTGGTGGCAGCCACAGCGTCTGTCCAGAGCACAGCTACATGTCCACTGCCCATGGGGCTCAACCTCCAGGACAGCCCTGCCCCGCAGAATAGAACACAAGCCCGCAGATGAACGTTCTGTAGCCACAATCAAGTAAGTGAAAAGAAACACGTGAGATTAATTTACTAATATTTTTAACCCACTATAGCCAAATGTTACATTTCAATATGCATTCTATATAAAAATTATTAATGCCATAGCTTACACTCTTTCTCTTTCCCGAGTCTTTGAGATCTGGTGTGCAGGTTACACTTTCGAGCTGTCTCAGCCACATGCTTCTTGCCCACATGGGGCTGGTGGCACCAATACCAAGCAGTGCAGCTGTAGAAGCCACCTAAGGTACCTCCTAGAGAGGGTGACAGTGTCATTTGTCCTCCTTAACTGGGTACTTCCCAGAGTGGAAAAGGAGGTGGCAAGTACAGTAAATGGGGACTGTCCTGGGTGAATCAGGAGCTCCTCTCTTCTATCTTTCCAGCACGTTTTGCCTGGTAGAGAAAGGCTCTGGGCAGGCCTTGATTCAGGCTCAGCCTTCACCCACTCTAAAGCACCACTGAGCCCCAGGATCAAAAGATGTGGTGACACCACTTCTCCATGCTCCTCATTCACCACTCAGACAAAGGAAATATTAATAACGATAATATTGACCAGCATGTACTGAGCACCCCTTATGTGCGCGGTGCTGTGCCCAGCACTTCCTATGTAACAACCAGGATACTGGTATTATTGCTCTCCTCTTCTGATCCAGAGAGGTTGCCTAACTTTCCCAAAGTCAACCAGCAGAATGGAACTCCTATCCATGTCTGCCTGAGGCTCGTTCCCAGGCCCTTAACCTCTGAGCCATGTGGGTAGTTTTCTTCTATGTCTGCTAGAGGAAGGGTGCTCTGGAAGGCTTGAAAGAGAGAGAGGGGGAGAGAGAGTAGTGTGGCTTTATTGTGTTAACCAGATGATGTCCTTCTCATTGTGTTTCCTGAAAAGTACATTTAGTTCAGTTTGCCTCCTTGAGGCTTTTATGGAGGCAAAGCAGATTTTCAAGAAAAACATTGAGGCTGTTTCATGTTTAAATCTCCAATCTTCCACGTGTGGGTGCCTCCATCTCCTTCACTGTAGCCTTTCTCTCAAAGACAATGCATACAACAACTCCACAATCCAGCACCTGGATGCAACGCTTTAGTTTAGCTCCTCAGCACTCAAAGGCCTGGTGACCTTAATAGATGAGACTTTTTGTCTGCCTTGTCTTAGAGAATGACTTAAAATTGGGATGAGCCTGCCAACAATGATGTGAGCAACTTACTCACTGTCAGAGACCCTGGAGAGATGCTTCCCAGCTGTGAAGACGTCATCCATAAAAACACAATCCCAGGCATTCCAGCTGGAGTGGACGTACTGGTCGCCACACATCCCAGTTGAAAGAAAGTGACATTAAATGTGTCAAGGCCATGAGGCACACCTGCAAATGTGGCAGGAAAATCACATAATAGTGCCACCCCATACTCACCTGACACTGGCATGAAATTCAAAGGGTACTTAAAAGATAAGAGATGGAGGGGAGGAGACTTCCAGCTGCAGCCAAAAGCCATGTTCTTCCTCCATGTACAGCATTTATAGCATGAGGGAAGGCAACTAGCTGGCGAGTGCTGAGCAGGTATATCAGGGTCGGTCCAGCAGAGTCTGAGCTGTAAGAAGGAAGCTAAGGGATAGCTAGGATCATGAATGTCCTTTATGATTAGGTGCCAGGGATGAGGATGGAACTGTGGAGCCTGTCTTTTAAGTCATATAGTATGTCTGGAAAACTGATAGTTCCTAGGCTTAAAAATAGAGAAGCTGTAATATGAAGGTTCTTAGTATAGATTAACTAAATTATTAATTAAATTATTCGTGGGGTATGGGGTGGGGCCATTGGTCTGATCTGACTCCAATTTGACTCAAGTGTGGAATTTAATTGTGGTGCTTTAGAGGACAGAAGAGGCTATTTCCTTGCATATACAATGAGTCATACAGAATCCTAATGGTGTTTATAGGACTGTAGACAAATTGTGGGGTCAGTGGGGGTCTTTACTGAGTAAAATGCAGCCTCTCTCATCTCTGTCTGTATCTCTGTCTTCATCTCTCCCGTTTCCTCATCACTCCATCACATTGGGTAAGCATATTGGTATGAAGAAGAAATTCAACTCTAATAAAAAAAAAAACATGATTTCTGGAGATCTCTGAATACATCAATAAAATCTACCTATGCCTTCTCTTTCAACAATTCAGTGGTGACAGCAGTTTTTGTGGTTTATGCTGTGGATAGAGAAAAGCAGAGGTGGTTAGTCTTAAAACTGTGGCACAGAAATTGAAGCTGATAATAAGAATTTTAACCATGTCTTAGGAAAAGCCAAATCAAAGTCCCCTGCTGATAAGAGAGTGAGATGAATTTGAAACATGGGCACCACATCCATGTTCTTGTAGGCCTGGTTTGTGGTCCAGGGCCAATTGTAAGCTGGGATCACAAGACAGACACTTCTCCAGCAAGCAGACAACAAGGGAAGGTCTGAACTTAAAGCTGCCTCTCTTGTGAGCCCGAAAGTTGAATGTCTCTGTTTCCCCAAATACATGATCCCTTGTCATTTAATAAAATCTTCAGGTACAGAAGCATTAGAAGTGGGGTAGAATCAGGTAAGGTCCTGCTTCAAACAGTCCATGGACCATTTGGGAAAATTAAATGATTACTTCAACAATGGACGGGGTGATAAAAACAGGATCAAAGTTCCCAGGTTCTAGTGTAAGCTTTATCTGTGACTTTACTCAAGACACGCCCTCAGCTAGGTCCTGAAATTGTCGTGCTGTTCTATGGAACACAGATGGGGAGCTGATTTTTCATAGTCCCTTGAGATGTGCCATAATGCTAAGGTCTACAACTCAGAAGCCATGATGGGAGCCACTATGGCCAAGCAATTGAGGTCTTGTTAATTCATACAAAAGTGGTGTCTTGGTTCTAGCTTCTGGGCCTCTTGTTTTCTAGAATTATTTGATACAAGAAAGTTCTGGCACAACCACAGGCACTTTGTCATCCCATGGAATGTCACCATCATGGATGTGACTGGTATCAAACCAGTCTCTTGGTCCAAGTGTACACAAGTAGTCAATGGCTGGCAGAGTCACGATGAATAACCACAGTTCTGTATTTCCAAGTTCTCCCTTCTTTGACTGGACCATGTCTAGAACACAGCTAATGCTTTCTCATCCCTTTATTTTCTCAACAGTAAATGGTGGTGGAAAAGGTTTACCACTTTAAAGAAATCTTATATGGGTGGGATTATAGAATGTGTGTGGATTATTTTGAAAATATGTAAATATGTTGGATCAATAGATAAGTAGAATTGGAAGGTAAATGCCTGTGCTCTAGCTAAAGAGTGTATTTGAACGAAATAAATCTAAAGAATATGGTTTTCTTTTTTATTTTTTTCTTTGTGAGTGTGTTAAAGATACAGTTTCTCCAGGTTGGATCACAGTGCTCATTTTAGGCACTGCAGCCCTTTCAGTCTCAGGGTAAGAAGCATCAGTTTCTCCTCTCAGAGAGACAGTGGGCTTCTCTTCCTAAGGGAAGCATCTGCCCCTGAGAATGGAAATACAGGAACTAAGCCTTGAAGAGGTGCCATTACAAAGTGTTGAGCTTGGAGATAAAGCTGTGGCTTTGTGGTGTTCTGTGGGAGATTTCATGGCTTCATGAGGTCAGTGATGTAATTCAGGCAAATGTTCCCAATATCTATTTAATATAAGACATGGTTGAGTCATCTTTTTTTTTAAAAAAAAAAAGACAGCTTTTCTCCTTCTTGTTCACTCATTATCATCAAAGTAAAAATCATAAGTTAAGTATGTGCAATTGTACATTTGTTTGGCATGTAGTCATGTCTACATGTACTGTTTCCCACTTGTGGGAGTCTCCCATTACCGTTCGTCCTTGTTACTCACATGCAGGCGAACCCATGATTTTCCTACCAGCTGTCTACTTGCTCCCTTGCTATTGAGACTTGCTCTCACCCAGCCAAAGTCAAGTTCTTGGCATCCCACACTTAGCCATAACTGCATCTCCACTCACATGGGGTCCTTTGCCATTACAGATTAAGATGGATTAAGATACACTGATGACTTTTTCAGACTGGGAAATGATTTCAAATGTATTCTGATTCAAGGAGCAGTACATTGGAAGGAGAGTTGATGATGTGAAAACAGCCCAAAATGAATTTGCTTTTCGAGTGGGAGGAAATAGATGAACTCACCACTTCTTTGGGTGTGTAATGAAGTTGTATTGTTCTTGCACCACCATGTTTTGCCACAATTTTAAATTCTGTTAAGGAAAATGTGAGGCGAAAATCCCATTAGTAATCACTTGTTGGTCTTGTCTCATTACAAAAATAATAAATGTGGATGTATTGGTTTTTCTCATACATTTTACACTCATGCTTGCATTTGATAAATATTTATCTTGAATGCCTGCTATGTGCCTGACATGTTTTAGATGCTGGAAATACAGCAGTGAACAAACATAAAACTTCCTGACCTCGTGAAATTTGTATTTAAAGGGGAAATTATAAAAATAAATAAGTAGGCCGGGCACAGTGGCTCACGCCTGTAATCCCAGCAGTTTGGGAGGGCAAGGCAGATGGATCACCTGAGATTAGGAGTTCAAGACCAGCCTGGCCAATATGGTGAAACCCCGTCTCTACTAAAAATACAAAAATTAGCTGGGCATGGTGGCGTGTGCCTGTAGTCCCAGCTACTCGGGAGGCTGAGGCAGGAGCATTGCTTGAGCCTGGGAGGTGGAGGTTGCAGTGAGCCAAGATCACGCCAATGCACTCCAGCCTGGGTGACAGAGCGAGATACCATCTCTAAATAAATAAATAAATAATAAATAAATAAATAAATAAATAAATAAATAAATAAATAAATAAAATGTGCTGTGTGGGAAAATGATACTAAGGGCAATGGAAAAGCATAAGACAAATAAGGGGCAGCTGGGGGTGCAAAGCTGGTGAAGGAGGGGCACGCTGAGAAGGTGATGAGTGTCATGTGGCATACTCACCTGAAGGAGGTGACACTGGGAGCCATGCTAATGTCTGACTCAGGAGCACACCAGGAAGGAGAAACAGCAAGTGCAAAAAGCCAGTTAGCATTTCAGGATGGGTCTTATTATTTCTGTAAAAATAGTAATAATAATAATAATAATATTGGGATTTTGATGGGGGATTACACTGAATCTTTAGTTTGCTTTGGGTAGTATAGTTATCTTAACAGCAGGTCTTCCAATCCATGAACATGAGGTGCCTTTTCATTTATTTTGTTCTTTAATTTCTTTGAGTAATATTTTGTGGTTTTCAGTATATGAGTCTTTTGCCTCCTTGTTTAAAATTTACTTGTACATATTTTGTTCTTTTCAATGTTATTTTGAATGAAATTGTTTTCAGTTACCTTTTTGAATTGGTCATTGCAAGTATGTAGAAACACAACTGCTCTTTGTGTTTCTATATATTCTACAAGCTTGCAGAATTCACTTATTATATCGAACAGATTTTTATTTCAGGATTCTTTAGAGTTTTCTACATATAATATCATGGCATCTGTAAAGAGATAATTTGACTCCTTACTTTCCAATTTGGGTGTCTTTTATATGTTGTTTTCTTAATTGCTCCGGCTAGAATTTCCAGTACTGTGTTGAATAGAAGTGGCAAGAGTGAACATCCTTGTCTTGTTCCTGATCTTAGGGGAAAAGCTTTCAGTAGTTTATCATTCGGTATTATGTTAGTTGTGGGTTTCTATATATGAGCTTTATCGTGTTGAAGTTTTCTTCTACTCCTAATGCATATTTAGTCTTTATTTGGGCAATTAAAAAGTTTTGGGAAAAATGAATAGTAATTATTATTGCCAACATTGTGAATGTAATTAGTGCCATAGAACTATAGTTAAAAATTCTTAAAATGTCAAACTGTATGTTATATATGCGTATATATATATATATATATATATATAAAACCATAACTCAAAAAAAATAATAGGCCAAAAACTTATTGAATTGTACATTTGAAATAGGTGAACTATATGATATGTGAATTATATCTCAATAAGGCTATTAAAAAAACTTTTAAAAAATACAAATAAGAAACTATTGCAAATGGAAGTAAAAAAAATTATAGAGACGGTAAAGAGAGTGACTGTTTTGGAGGTAAAACCAGCATTAGTCGATGACTGGTAGATGGAGGGAACGAGCAAAAGAAAACAGGCATGGAAGTATCACATGTTCTTCAGCGTAAGAAATCTGGAAACTGCAATTGCCATAGAGGACTATGGGAGGAAGACATTTGGAGGGAAAGACCAAAAGTCTGGATCTAGAGACATTCGAGGTTGCCTTTTGCTTTCTGCTGCCTTATCCTTAGCTCAGCCTGGCACCAGAAGAAGTGGCTCAGGGACAAACTAGTAACCAGGTGTTCCCTGCGTGTGCAGGGCTGTCATTGAGAGTGACTTCCATTCCCATTTTCCCTGGAACAGAACTCAGATTAGGAGGCCATACCAAAAGGCAATGATGTGAGAGACGGTTGAGAGAGATAACAAAGAATTTCCCAGTATTAAGAGTAGTTAATGTTACTTATACAAGTCCAAAGAACATGAAGCACTCAACTATGGGAACATGAATAAAATAGCTATCTGCCTGCCCTTCCGGAACTTTGCATACAGTCGTGTATGGTAAACATTTGTTTGCCAGTTGATTGTTAAGCTTTAGTGCCTGATGAAAATTATATGAGGCTGGGTGCGGTGGCTCACGCCTGTAATCCCAGCACTTTGGGAGGCCGAGGTGGGCAGATCACGAGGTCAGGAAATCGAGACCATCCTGGCTAACACGGTGAAACCCCGTGTTTACTAAAAATACAAAAAATTAGTCAGGTGTGGTGGTGGGTGCCTGTAGTCCCAGCTACTCAGGAGGCTGAGGCAGGAGAATGGCGTGAACCCGGGAGGCGGAGTTTGCAGTGAGCCGAGATTGCGCCACTGCATTCCAGCCTGGGTGACAGAGCAAGACTCTGTCTCAAAAAAAAAAAAAAAAAAAAAAGAAAGAAAGAAAATTATATGATCGTCTTCCCTCTAGATTTAAAAAAATCAGTAGACACAGTTTCCTTTTTGGGAATTATAACACCTCTTCCTTGAGACAAAAATTCCTTAGATACCTTTCAGCCTTGAGTTTTAAGATGTTTCAGTGCCTTGTATCCATAGTTCTAACTTTGGACATCATTTGCTTTTGTTTGGATTGCAATCAAATAACTGTTTGTGTAAAAGTCAAATATTATAAGCGTGGCTCCAACATCTTGGGTGAAAGCTCATCTCGTTCAGCCCGATAAAGATGAAGCTTAACCACTAGGTAGAGCCAGCTGAAATCATTTGGAAAATTTCACTTAGCTTTAATCTAGCAGGTTCCTTTCTGTTGAATGATACCAGTGGCGAGTTCCTTAGAAAGCTTAGTCTGACGCAATAGTCACACTTTTAAAAGGAGGAAGACCAGGATTTACACCGTCTTGTGCCTAACGGGAGAGAAGAGAGGGAGCCAGGTCTTCCACTCATTTTCCATGTGCTTTCCGTGGGCTGAAGGCCTAACCACGTGTGGTCACAAAACCCAGCACTGAAACAGCTGTCCCCTTTCATCTCGGTCCCCACATGTCGAACACTAGATTGTGTGTGTGTTTTCAATACTCTCTTCCAGGGAGTTCAGAACACACGTGTTCCTTTTAACTCCTACCAGACCCTGAGATCTGCAGGCCAAAAGGACCATTCTGGAAGGAGTTTGGAAAGATCAGGGGTCAGCTGTTGAGCAACAGCCTGAGAATCAGGAAGCGCAGGTCTCCCAGGTCAGCCCCTAACTCACTCACCCTCAGCTGTGGGGGCTCCATGACCTTGATGTATCTTGGTTTTGTCACCTATAAAACACAGATAGCAACACTTCCAAAACAGACACTAAATGGAATGCATTTTGTGATCTTTGGAGAAAAGGCAGCCTGTTAACATATGCTAACAACGTGTTATGCTGGGGCAGGCCTGGAGCCACGGCCTCCCATCACCACCAGAGTCATTTCATTTCAGGAACCTCTGCCAAGAACAGCCTGATCACCCCAGCCTCCAAGCTCCGGCTCTGGGTCCAGCTGGCATGAGATAAAGGGCCACTCTGCCCAGTTGTGTGTGCTGCCCTGCTCACCCAAAGGCCTGAATTCAGGGCTTCCAGTGCTGATGGCCAGCACAACTCACCTATTTCACCTAAGAACAGACCTCCTTATTGCCATGTGCCTGTCTCCCATCAAGTCTATTAACTCTCTCATTGGTGGGATAGAGCAGTCTAGGCTGGCTCCTTCAAAGAGAATGGTTTTGCTTTGGAGCACAGATTTCCCAACTGTACTTCATGGGTGGATATTTAGTAGGGTGAGAGCGTTTGTGGTTTGTTTTGGTCTTAAGAAAAAAGAGGCCGGGCACGGTGGCTCACGCCTGTAATCCCAGCACTTTGGGAGGGCAAGGCGGGCGGATCACGAGGTCAGGAGACTGAGACCATCCTGGCTAACTCGGTGAAACCCCATCTCTACTAAAAATACAAAAAATTAGCCAGGCATGGTGGCGGGTGCCTGTAGTCCCAGCTACTCGGGAGGCTGAGGCAGGAGAATGGCGTGAACCTGGGAGGCGGAGCTTGCAGTGAGCCGAGACTGGGCCACTACACTACAGCCTGGGTGACAGAGCAAGACTCCATCTCAAAAAAAAGGAAAAAGAAAAAAAGAAAAAAGAAGCTGACCAGATGAGATGAGGACTGGGCTCTCTGACTCCCTCTGCACTCTGTGGAGTTGACTTTCATGTTGCCCAAAGCCAAATAAAATTCTCTGAGGAGGAGGATGAAGGATGGAGGTGGGGGAGGGAGCAAATGTTGCCAGGAACTGTCGCTGTTATCTCTGAAAGTCACACGGTGGTCTCTGGACGTTGTGTGGTCCCTCTGAGGAAGCCACAGGGACGTTCTCAGGAAAATGGGGCTGATCTCTGTGGCCCCTGCTCAGGTCCCCTTTTCCTAAGCCCCCTGCTTTTCCTCTTCATCCCCTCTCCCAGCCCTTCTTGCTTCCCTAAATATTTTCTTGAGAGGAAACGAGGGCAGCAAAGATATTAATATTGACAGGCTCAACCCTTTCCTGATGGTCTCAAAGTTTAAAAGAGAAACATAGAAGATGCAATGCTTACCCAAGTCATACATTTGAGTGGTAGATGTCTAGATAATGTCACCAGGGCAAGGCAGAGGCAAGGGAGATGGGGGAGGAGAGTAGAGATGGCCCTGGATGTGCCAGGTGACCATACGCTCAGCCCAAGTGAGAGCCCAGTCCTGGTCCTTCCACCCCATCTTGCAGAACCTTCTTTCCACATGCACCCCAAATGCACAGAAAAGGCCAAAATGAAGCGCCCAGATTGGGGGTGTTGGGGAGAGAAGGATGATGGTCTTGAGTTATGAAAATCATCTTGGGAAGTTTGCAGGAAAAGAATAGTGCCTGGCAAGGCCCCTTCTGCACTAAGCTCCAAAGCAAGAGGAAGTGGGGTTGAATATCAGCATGAAGAATTTAAGATAGACCTAGGAAAGCATCTCCACACAGAAAGAGCTCTTCAGCCTGGTAAGACGTTCCTGCCTGGGGTGTAAGCCCCTCTCTTTGAAAGTCTCCAAATAAGCAACAGTTCTATCATCTATTGAAGCTGATCGTCAGCAAGACGACTTCCAGTGCCAAGACTACTTTACCATCTAATTTTAGCAATCCCTCTTGGCAAAGGAAGAGTTTCCCCTTTCCTCCGGCTATCTGGTGTTCCACACACCATCTCCTACTGCTTCCTTTGATGTTGGGGGATTCTGTGGACTCAAGGCCAGATACAACACAGGAAGAGACACACTCATAGGCATTACACTGCCCTATCTCACTGCAGCAATAAGAGGCCTATTTTTTTTTATTGTGAATTTGAGGCACTCAGTTTGAAAAATATGGGCTGTCAGGTTTGGGATTAAGACTCAGTATTGATCATTATGTCTACAGCCATGCAAAAGTTTCTTTTACTTTTAAGTGCTAGGATGTTTAAATCATGATTTTATTTCAGTTGTTCATTTAAAGATTTCATTCATGCTTTTAATTCACTGTCAGTGAATGCAATTTAAGCCCATCACATAATGATAGAAAGTGGCTGAAAGCCATGAGAATATGTTTCTCATTGTGGAAACTACAAGTTAAGTCATTTTCTTCTCCCGAGTAAATTTCTTCAGTTTGGCTAAGGGAATTTTTTTAAAAGGAATCATAAGTTCTGAATTAGTTTTTCATCTCAGATGTTAACCCTATGGAAAATGTGGCAATGTTTCTGAGATTTGCAAAATATTGTGATAGTATCTATGTCTTATTGCTCAAGATCTAAACTCTTATGTTTGGGAGTAGGGGTTTGCTGTGTATGTGTGTATTTTTTTTTAACATCTTGGCCTCACAGTGTAAAGTGATAAGCTCAGGAGGAATGTTGTGCTGCAGAACGCCTACATTACTAGATTACTTACGGCAACACTTTCTTTAATGAGGATCTCTGTGAAACCATCTTTTTTTCCACTTACAGTTTCAATAAGAGGAGATCAGTTATGAAATTAAGTAGGAGAGAACAATAGAGAGAGAGAGAGTTCAGCATTCCTCTTCAAGCTAGCTAATATTTTTAAAATGTCGACACTGTTCCAGGAACTCTGCTTTTTAGGCCAAAGATTCTGCCCTGGTCTTCGTCCTCTCCACACCCCCAGCATCTCGTGGGCTGACACATCAACAGGGTTTGAGAAAGAGACACAAAAGGTCAGACGCATGACACAGCAGGAACCCAGGAGGACGTCCCTGCAGCCTGCTCTCTTCTGATAGATCTCCCCCAGCCCCCAGTTCCCAGCCTCTGACCCCAGTCCCACCCTTATAATGTCCCTTTCTCTCTATTTTCTCTCCTGTACCACTTTTCCCTCCATTTAGCCCTCCTCCTCATCCCCTCTTAGGCAGAGTTATCACACCTGAGCTCTACAACTGAGCTGAGCAATATATACAAAACTCAAGCCTGGTTTAGGCAGGCCTGACCCCTGGGATAGGTCAGGGCGGTGGTTCCTTGGGAGAATTCCTGCTTGATGAGATGGAAGGTCCAAGTCAATAGCCTCATGGTCCTCCCAAGTCTGACAGTCTGCTATTCTACACACCTGTCCACAGGCTGCAGACATATAAAGGTAAATGTTCAGGTATTAGAAAATATTCAAAGAATTCTCAATGTTCAAAATTCTGAAAAGCAAATCTATGCTGAATGTGTGGTGGGGGCATTCTAAAAGATAAAAAATGATGGCTACAAAAAGCCAAGTATAAAAAGAAACACGTACATATACACACACATACACCTACACATGTACATTCGAAGAGGCAGAGGAGAGACAGAGAAAATAATTAAGACAGCATTAGTTCCTAAATAGCCTTTTCTATAAACTCCATGACAACAAAGGACAATGAGTAAACTGCAGTATCTAAAGATTTAAATCTCAGAATACCTGCCAGATGCCAGGCATGGTGGTTCACGCCTATAATCCCAGCACTTTGGGAGGCCAAGGCGGGTGAATGGCTTGAGTTCAGGAGTTCGAGAACAGCTTGGGCAACATGGCGAAACCCTGTCTCTACAAAAAATACAAAAATTAGCTGAGCATGGTAGCGCACACCTGTAGTCACAGCTACTTGAGAGGCTGAGGCAGGAGGGTCACCTATGCCCAGGAAGTCAAGGCTGCAGTGAGCTGTGATCACACCACTGCACTCCAGCCTGGGTGACAGAGCAAGACCTTGTCTCAAAAAAAAAAAAAAAAAAAAAAAGCTCCCAGAAAGTAACAGCCTTTATTTCAAAGAGGTCAAGTCTCAACAGAGTTGTCATACTTTTTTTTTTCAGTTAGGAAAAATGATGACTTTAATGGATTACTCATTTTATCGCTTTTAATTTACCAAAACCAGTGAGAAATTGGGTTCCCAGCTCATTAAGTTCCACCCTTTGTGGTCAGAGCTGAAAGGGTCAGAGAGTCTGCTGGGAAGGGTGGAGTCTGATGTGTAGGGCCAAAGGGGACATAGTGGCCTCACAAGGTGGGGCCTCCGTGGCCACCAGCCATGCTCAGGAGCCGGTCCCCACCCCTCAGTCCCCCAACATGGCACAGCCTGCTTGGCATCCATTGCTGACTTCGGCTACCAGTCAAGTTTCCTTTCGGGCTTAAATGCCACGGGTGTCCATGCGGGGCTGATTCATGTTCTCCTAGACTTCTTGCCACCCTGTTCACGGGCCTGTCTGGAGCTCCAAGACACTTGCCTGCAATGGCGTTGCGGTTCCAGCCAGGAAAGCCAATTAACTGCTTCAGAAGTTGGCTGAAGTCTCTGAGGGTGTACGGGAACAGAAGTGCCCAGTCAGTATTAGGCTGGAAGTTAATTCCTCTTTTCTTAGGTCAGTCTATATCTATTGACCAATTTAACTACAACCACAAAAGTCTGCATATATGTGTATGAGTCTAACATACCAAACCCTTCATTATGTCCTCATCAGTAGAAGAAGATAATAGATCATTTCGTTTATTTATTTTTCTTTTTAATTTTCAATTTTTACGGGTACGTAGTACCCGTAAATGTAGGTACCTAGGCATTTAGGTGCATAGTAGGTGTATACGCATAGCAGGTGCACAGCTGTGGAGCTGTGATCACACCACTGCACTCCTATGCACACATTGTACCTATACACATCTCATGTATGGGGTACATGAGATGTTTTGATATAGGCATGCAATATACAATAATCACGTCATGGAAAATGGGGTATCCATCCTCTCAGCATTTATTCTTTGTGTTATAAACAATCCAATTATACTTTTAGTTATTTTAAAATGTACAATTAAATTATTATTGACTATGGTCACCCTGTTATGCTGTCAAATACCAGGTCTTACACATTATTGCATTTTACATAGTTTACACCATGGGTAAATATTTTATCCTCCTTCCCAGTTTAGAAAATGTCTTGGAAGTTTTTTTTTTAATTTTCTTAAAAAATATATGAATAGCAATGGTAAAAAAAAATGTGGTTCCGTCTAGATGTTCTGGTACTGTTAAATGATCCAATGGTTGTCAAAACTTGCTCTATGTTTATCATCACAACCTTTACTTTCTCCTTCTCCATTCACTAAGAGGGGGCTGACCTTTCCTCTGTTGCTAACGGGGCTTTTGAGACAATTCCGTATGTTGCCAGCCGGCCCGGAGGGAACAACCCTTTCCCCAAAACCACTTGCTTGACTTCAAAGGATATGAAAAAATCTGCTTTTAGGAAAATTAGTGAGTGGAGAATCTCAGTGAATGATGTGGAATAAATTAGAACATTGCATTTATGCCAGGTCATTCATGTCACATTCCTCAGTCACATACCCGTGTGTGTGTGTGTCTGTGTGTGTGTCTGTGTATGTGTGTGTGTGTGTCTGTGTGTGTGTCTGTGTGTGTGTGTCTGTGTGTGTGCGCCTGTGTGTGTCTGTGTGTGTGTCTCTGTGTGTCTGTGTGTGTGTGCCTGTGTGTGTCTGTGTGTGTGTGCGCCTGTGTGTGTGTCTGTGTGTGTGTCTCTGTGTGTCTGTGTGTGTGTGCCTGTGTGTGTCTGTGTGTGTGTCTGTGTGTGTGCCTGTGTGTGCCTGTGTGTGTGTGTCTGTGTGTGTGCCTGTGTGTGTCTGTGCCTGTGTGTGTGTCTGTGTGTGCCTGTATGTATGTGTGTGTGTGTGTGTGTGTGTGTGTGTAGGGACAAACAAACAGACATTGTCCTCTGACTCTATTCTGGCTCCTATTAATGGTGTTTTACCTGAAAAGGCAAATCAAATGGAAAGTCCCTGAGGTTCCTAGGAGCCCCTCTGGTACAGTTTTGTTTGCCCCTAGAACTGCTTTTTTCTCTGAAGTTGCTCTTTTTTTAAGATAATGGTTTCTACCCTACATCTTACCTTACCCCATCCTATAGCTACATCAGTATGCTTGCATTTAAAATTATCCCTGTCCAGGAGTGACATCGCTAAGGCATATAGATTAGATTGGGAAACTTGGCCTTCTGCTCTGGGAAGTTTAAAAAGCTTCTGAAATTGCCACGTCTTCCTCAAAGCAGTCACCCTAGAAGTAGAGCAGAGGTGATGGCGTCCGCCAGATACGAGGTGAAGCACCCAGCACCTTCCACGAGTGCTTCCCAAAGGCCCCAGATGCCCTTCCTGGCAGGGCAAGAGAGTGGTCCTTTCAGGGAACCGTCCACCCTGCTGGCAGCTCTGCCTAGAGAACCACCCGGAGGGAGTCTCCGCTCCCCTCCCTGCTGAGGCCTGGGCGGGCTGCCTGCACAGTCATCCTCCTCATTGCTAGCCCTGACATGGAGAAACTGGACTTGGATGGGCCCCTCTGGCCACAAGGTAGCTGCATTGCAAAGCCCTGCCAGGCCAGCTCGAGGACTGGCTGAGTCTGAGCTTGCTGGGCACTGCCTGGGCTGCCACGAAGGCGTTTGTGTGGATATGCAGCAGTGAACATGGCCAAAGGGCATCGCCATCCCATTTCTTGGGTTGTTTTTTTTTTTCTTTTTTTTTTTTTTATATTTGTAATGTTTAATCTTGTGAAAGAAACGTCATAATCTTTTGAGAGGGGAGTTTTTCTTTATACCTCTTATCACTCTCTGAAATCACCACTTGTTTAATGATTGGGAGATTCATGGCTGGTCACCCCTAGGATGTTAATTCCATGGAGACAGAGACTGGGACCAATCTCACTGCCTAATCCATCCTCAGTGCCCAGAACAGTACCTGACTCATGTTCACTTCAGGGATTCATTTTCTAAAAAGGGAGATTGAAGCCCCAGGTGGCTGCCTCCTGCTTTCCAAAGTCTGGCTGCCGGGAATGTGCCCCAGGCTCCTGGCTCGTGCTCCAGCACTGTGTACCTCCCAAAATGCCATCTTGGGAGAGGAACATGCTGGCCTGCCTGTGCAATGTGTGCGCCATCTGGGAGTCCCCCACTACATCCACCACCGGGCAGAACTTCCAGGGAAGCAGGCCTGCTGGCTCTGTACCCTGTCCTGGGAAGGGGCAGAAATGTCCAGGCCCCTGGAGACACCGCCCGCTTCACTCTCCTGAGAGGGGGTGCGTTACTTTCCCATGCTTGCCATAACACATTACTACAAACTGGGTGGCTGAAAACAACAGAAATTATTTTCACAGCTTTGGACGCCAGAAGTCCAAAATCAAGGTGTTGGCAGGCCCTTGCTCCCTGTGCAGGCTCTAGGGGGAAATCCTTCCTTGCCTCTTTCTACCTTACAGCAGTTGCCAGCACTCCTTAGCTTCTGGGCTACATCAGCCCAGTCTCTGCCTCCAGCATCATATGAGGTCTTCCCTCTGTCTGTCCGTTTTTTCTTCTTATAAGGACATCAGTCATTAGATTCAGAGCCCACCCTAATCCAGGATGACCTCGTCTTAACCAGTTACTTCTTCAAAAACGCTATATCCAAATAAGGTCACATTCTGAGGTTCTATGTGGACATGAACTTTGGGGAACACTACACAACCCAGTTCAGACCATACAGACGTGGGAGCCGTTCCCCTATCTACCACTTTGTAGCCGTGTGACTTCAGGCAAGTCACATCACCGCTTTGTGCCTCTGCTTTTCCACCTGTAAAACAGAAATAACAGTCATCATCACCATCATCATCATCATCATCATCATCATCATCGTAATCCCTGCTAGGAATGCTGCCGGGCACATAGTGATAGCTATGCAGTTTGGTCAGATAAAGTCAGCCAAGTGCCCGTAGCTGCTATGTAGAGGTAAACTGCATGGACAGCCATGTCATCAAGGGCCCCACTGGGGGTGACACAGAAGGGAACAGACTCATAGGGCCAACCAGAATGCACAGGGCAGGGCGCCTACCCAGGCTGAGGGAGCCATGGCAGATGTGAATATTCTCTTTAACAAGGGGTATCTAGCCAAGGGAAGAGAGGACCGAGGGAATTTCGGGAGGAGGTAAAGGCATGTCCAGGGATCTAGGGGCAGGTAGGGGCCTGGCATGTTCAGAAAACCTGAAGCAGCTGGGATATAGCAAGAGAGGCAGGCAAGGTGGAACCACAGAGGCTGGGCCCCGGTCTTCGCCAGCGCAGCAGTGGAGACAGGCTTCCAGCATTGCTCCTGGCTTTAGTGATCAGTGATTCTCTAACCCCCTGGTTGGACAGAATGACACAGCGTTCCCTTGAACTGTACGGCTCTTTGTGCAAATAAGTGAGTGACCTGTGGCATTCTCCTCATGAACAGAGTTACAGATGTTTCTATGAAAAAGTTACTGAGCATTTGTCTGCTTTTATGCAAAATGTATAGCAAAAATTTATTCCCCAGCCGGGCACGGTGGCTCACTCCTATAATCCCAGCACTTTGGAAGGCCGAGGCGGGTGGATCACCTGAGGCCAGGAGTTCAAGACCAGCCTGGCCAACATGGTAAACCCTGTCTCTACTAAAAATACAAAAATTAGCCAGGCGTGGTGGTGGGTGCCTGTAATCCCAGCTACTCGGGAGGCTGAGGCAGGAGAATCACTTGAACCCAGGAGGCAGAGTGAAACTCCGTCTCAAAAAAAAAAAATTATTCCTCATATCCCAACATTATATCCGTTAATGGAAGAGCCCCAGTGGTATGGGTGCACGTCTCTGTGGTTCATCATATAACAGCAGCAGGATAATGAAGCTCAACCTCTC
The DNA here is from genome assembly GCF_000001405.40 of Homo sapiens. Taxonomy (NCBI): domain Eukaryota; kingdom Metazoa; phylum Chordata; class Mammalia; order Primates; family Hominidae; genus Homo; species Homo sapiens. The sequence continues at coordinate 34,990,534 of NC_000021.9, read as the reverse complement.
AAAAGCTTTCAACTAAAACCCTCCCTCTGATCCACCTTTTATGACTAGGCCTATTGCACTGGCTCATTTTTCCCCACTATGGCAAAGATCCATCACTGTTTCTTTTTAGCACCAGGAATGTCACACAGCGGCACACGTGCAGCTCTGCCATTCTGGGGGTTCCTGCTCTTCCCTGGGGAAGCTTCCAGAAGAAACTGCCTTGTCTGCAAGTCTTCCGTGGTTTGTAGGATCCAGACCCTACTTGCATCACAAACAAACTCATTTTAGAGATTCTGGTTTTAAAAAGAATCTTCCTATTTTGTCGGATCTGATGCCTCACCCAGCTGCATGAAATATCTGATGATTACTGGTGGTCAGGGGTCTCTGAATGAAACTGACAGGCAGAGACATTCAGGAGGGAGCAGCTCAGTGCAGCAGCACAGAGATAGAACCTTAGAGCCTTGAGTCAGTCCCTGTGCAGAAAAATGAACGATAGAGTCATAGAAGCTCAGAGTGGGAGGTGAGACTTGTAATTGTGAAAACAGCTCACATTTACTGTGCATCCGTTTCATCCTCCTTCCACCCTGTGAGCATGCTCCCGTCCCCAACCCATGAGGAGTGAGGTTAAATGACTTGCTACTTGGAGCGTAAGAGGTAATCCACCTTCTCCCCAGTGTACAGATGTGGCAGGCAAAGCCCAGGGAGTCTCTAGGGCCTGCAGAAGGGAATGAAGCATTGTAAGAGCTGGATCCCTGTGGTTTACCCTTCGTGCCAATGCTTATAGTGAGCTGAAAGGCTTTGGTCAGAAATCTTACTAGACATTTCAGCTTTTGCAGCACAAAGACATTTAAATTCTACCAGAACAAACACTCCTGTGGCCAGTTTTTCATAGTTTTTTCAGAAGCTGCTTTGGGTGGATTTGATGTATCAAAAGAGAAAGAATCATCCTCAGAGCTTCCCAAGTAGACTAGGAGGAGAGAAACTGCTTTAATCAGGGACACATCATGCCAGGCAGTTGCCCAAGGGGATGATTTCAGAAGCCTGGGAAAGACCCTGGCTTCCAAAAGTAACTTCCTCCCCCACACCTCCTAGCACAGCCTCATGCCTTTGACTTCAAGCTTAGGTAACCTCTGAGAAGTCAGCTCTCCTAGAAAGGTAAAACTATCAGTCATTTAAGCTGTAGTACGAACTAAGAAGCTACCCCAAGCAGAGTAGAGAATGGCAAAGATCAGTATAAAGAGATCTGGGGCCGGGCGCCGTGGCTCACACTTGTAATCCCAGCACTTTGGGAGGCAGAGACAGTCAGATCACCTGAGGCCAGGAGTTCAAGACCAGCCTGGCCAATATGGAGAAACCCCGTCTCTACTAAAAATACAAAAATTAGCTGGGTGTGGCGGCGGGCGCCTGTAATCTCAGCTACTCAGGAGATTGAGGCAGGAGAATCGCTTGAACGTGGAAGGTGAAGGTTGCAGTGAGCTGAGATCATGCCATTGCACTCCAGCCTGGGCAACAGAGTGAAACTCCATCTAAAAAAAAAAAAAGAGAGAGAGAGAGAGAGAGATCTGGGCCAGCCAAAGGCACATGTTCTGGATCTCTCCACTTTGCCTGAACCTGCACCTATTGGGATCATCTCAGTTCCCTTTGAGGATGTGGGGGCCTCAGAGCCTGGAAAGCCACACCCCTATTCTCCTGCCCACTATCAGCTACTGGATCAGAATCCACCAACTGTTGACAGGTTCAGCCAGTGTTCTCAAACAACCTCATGTGCAGGGTGCTCACTCAGGACAGGATTATGGGTGCCGGAGGAGACCATCCCAATAATAATCATAATAAGTTGTTGCACACACTGTCCGGATGTCAGGTGAGGGGATGAGTAGGGAAGAGCCAATCAAAGCTGGAAGCAGCAGTAGAAATAACAAGCTACTGTTCTCAGGGATGGCTTCATGGTAGAGGCAGCATCTCAGCAGGTCCTAGGGGTAAGAATGAGTTTGGCAGATGGAGATGGGAAGGACAGTTGTACAGGAGCCGAGGCGAGTGCCCACAGCACAGTTTTTGAAAGTACTAGATGATGCTGCAGCACAGAGCCACAGCAGGACAGCAGGCTGGGCAGCTGAGCCCTGCCATCCCCTTCCCTGGGATCTGCACCGCCCTGGTCCTTCTGGGCTCATGTATGAAAGGAGCAGCCCCAGGAATGTTGATGAAAGATGAGACTACACGCCTGGTGTCCTCGAAAGTGCAGCAATGCCAGTCTCTTAGCAACCATGTTTCCCCCGGCTGTGTCCACAAGTCCTTTGCAGATACAAGGGAAGAAGGACCGTACTGACCCCAGGGGCACCAGGAGCTGGGCTTCTCTGATCTTCCTTGGCACCCCTCCTCTACCTTAGCTGGCACCCGATGTGGTGCAGGCAATAGGGATGTCTTGGGATCCTAAGCCCAGCCTTGAGGAGGGGCGCATACTGACTTGTCTACAATTATAGGATGCTAGAAATTTACAGAGTGAATTCACAAACAGCAACTCCTCTGAGCCCCACAAAATCCTGCAAGAGAAAAGAGAGGTGGCATGAATTGTCTCATTCTATAAATAAGAAACCAAACTGAGGTTCTAAGAATCTCCGTGATTTCAGGCCACCTGTGCCCTGGGGATGGGAGTTGTTCATCAGCCTGGATCTCTGGCATCACACAAGACTGTCCCCTCTAGAGCAAGTCTGCACACGAAGCTAGCATTTTCCAGGCACTTCAAGAAATCTTGTCTTTCATTTTCTCTTTTCTGAGTGACTTGGGGTTCTGCCGAATTCCTGTTTCTGCAGAGGGCTGTAGCCTTTTCTCCTTTCCACATACTTTGGTGCTCTCCTAGCTAGGATAAAATGCTCTTTTTTTCCCCCTCTTTGGTTTTATGAGAATTTTTTTAGCGATGTCAGACTTCAAAGGAGGCCTCCTAACCATAAAGATCTCAACCAGACTCACATTTGTGATTCTTTCTCATGCCTGCGTGAAAAGGACAGTGGTGCTAACACATGGCTCATCTCCCCCTTGACATTCAGCCTCCTTTAAGTGATTTTACAAAGCCCCCTCACTTTCTCTTTCGGGTCCTAAATTAGTATGTCAGGAATCAACAGCTGCCTTCTCAGCCAAGAAGCTGGGCGCCTGGGGACTTCATTCTTCACCGCTGTCTGGAGCCCCGAAGATCTCTGTGCTCCCTGCCTCGTGTCAGCAGCCCGCTCCCCTCAAATGTCTGGCTTTCCTCAGCAACTGGCTACATGCTCCTGTTCTTGCTAAGTCACTGAAACCCTGGCCACAAGGCGGACGAAGCGAGATTTAATTGAATCTTTCAGCAATGATTCACAGAACAAAGCCTGACTGTCTGACCTGGAAACCACACAGTGGGGAGTTTAGAAACCCCGAGCCTAGTCAAAACAACGTTCCTCTTTCAGCCATTGATTGAAGTTCAAAGTAACAAAGCCGTAAGTCAGAACAAGCCATTGTCATGGCAAGGGCGGTGCAAGAAACACACTTACCTGGGCATGCAGCCTTGTGGGGTGAGGCTTCCCTGGCCTGTCAATCATGTCGGTCCCATTGGGACTGGCTTCAGGGACAACATGGCCTCCTGGGAGAAACTTCCCAGCTAGTCAGTGAAGCTCAGTGGTTGAGGTTAGGGGACTGTGTTAGTTTCCTGTGGCTGCCATAACAAATTGCCACAAACTGTGTGGTTTAAAACAACAGAAATGTATTCTCTTACAGCCCTAGAGGCTAGAATTCCAAGATCAAGGCGCTGGCATTTCTGTGCTCCCTCTGAAGGCTCCAGGAGAGGATCCTTCCTTGCTTCCCCCAGCATCTGGTGACTCCCAGCAACCCTTGACATCCCTTGAGTCATCTTTGCATTACTCCAGTTTCTGCCTCTGTCTTCGCATGGCATCTCTCTGTGTACCCCTGTGTGTCTTCTCCTCTTCTTATAAGGATGCTGATCATTGAATTTAGCAGCCAACCTAATCTAGTATGACCTCATCTTAACAAATCACATTTACACAAACCTTATTTCCAAAAAGCGTGACAACCTGAGGTTCTAGGTAGATGTGGATATTTGGGAGACACATAGGGAACCATGGCTTTTTTGCTAAATGCCACATATCTCCTGCTCCCTGCCCCCATCTTGTGGAGTTAGTTATTCCATCCTCAATTTTGAGACCTCCTCCACAGACTAAACTCTTGGTGCATGATGTTGAATCTTGACCTTTCAACTTTCAGGTTTGAGGAAACAAACAGTGCCAGCCTTTGACATAGGACCCAGTGTGATTTGATGGAAAGAGCATTGAAAGTTAATGCAAGGCAGACTGGAAGGTGAAACAGTGGACAGTATCTAGGGACATAAATGATCAGCCAAAACAGTCTGGGCTGGGTGCAATGGTTCATACCTGAAATCCCAGCATTTTGGGAGGCTGAGGCGGGATCCCTTGAGCCCAGGAGTTCGAGATCAGCCTGGGCAACATGGCAAAACCCATCTCTACAAAAAATACAAAAATTAGCCCAGTGTAGTGGTGCATGCCTGTAGTACCAGCTACTTTGGAGGCTGAGACAAGGAGTATCTCTTGAGCCTAGGAGGTTGAGGCTGCAGCGACCATGATCGTGCTATTGTACTCCAGCCTGGGTGACAGAGTGAGACCCTGTCTCAAAAAAAAAAAAAAAAAAAAAAAGTCTGGTCAGAGTTGTTGATAGACCACCAGACACTTTCTCTAAAACCATTTGTTACACCGCATACCACATCGTTGGAGAAGGAAATGTTGGTGGCAGTGAAATGACTATAATAATATAATATAGGATAATAAAATATGAGTGAATAAAATAGGTGTGTACCCCATTCATAACAGTCCCTGTCTGTCTGTGAGAAAGGAAGCCAAGTCCACTGAGGAATATTAAAGAAACCCCCATATGGTATCCCCAAAGGGCTCCACCCTAAACATTTGGAGTAGGGGTCAGTATAGGGATTGGTGTGTGGTTGCCCTGAGAGTGTTTTAATGCTCACCATGGGCTGAGAGCTTTCAGAGAAAAAATCGTGTCATCTCCAAGATCTCACATTCTGGAATGTTCTTCCATCCACAGCTTCTACTCCTTCCCTGCCTATTCCACTCCTACAGATTGTACTTGCCGTCTTCATGGTGACCCCAGACACCTCTGGCTACCTCTGCTCTCCAAGCCAGTCAGCAAGCACCCTTTGACAAACCTAGTTCTGCCCCGATGGGCCTGAACCCAAGACTGGGTCACTCCATTGAGGTCCTGCTGGCAGCCTATTACTCCCTGCTCTGTCATCCCTATTGCAAGAAACTATGATGAGACCATAGGGAAATGAAGGACCCATCAATCTAATATCAATATTAAATTACTGTACCTTTCAATGGAGTGCTAAGTTCTTTACCTTCATTTATTAACTCAGGATGACCACTTACTTTCTCTGCTCTTGTTCTAAGTCTTCTAAGTATTATTGGAATCACATAACTACTTTGACACAATTTTTTCATCCTAACCTGTGCACTGAATACTCAATATATCCATGCACAACCTCCTACCATGCTATATATTTTGGGGCTATTCCAAACCTGGCCTGGGCTGCCAGCCCTGACCCCCATACCATGCAGCCTGTCCTCTGGGAAGATCCTGTCACCCCTGTATTCCTGAGAAGAGAAATGAGTTCTATGGAAAGTACCTGATCACTTCCTTCCTTCACATGACGGGGTCTATCTGCATCTTCATGTGACCTCTCTCTGATGGACATTGTATTTGCCCAACTACTTTGCAGACATGTGCCACATAACTGTGCTTCTGCACTCAAGCCCTCCAGCTTCCTCTAGAACTGTTCCATCAACCCTTCATTCCCTTCTTTTCCTTCCTGCACTTCTCTCCTCTCCACTCCTGGTCTCTCTCCACTGGCTGGGCATTTCTCTTGTCTTAAAATACTCTTCTTTTTGATTCTGCTATTTCTGCAAGCCACCAACTTCTTTCTCTTCTTCCTTTTGCCACCACTTCCTCTGAAATAGTGAATCTCAAACCATTTTTCCTCCACAGCGCACCAAAGAGCCGTAGCTATTGCAGTGGCCTCCCCCACAGATAAGTTATATGGAAGACTGTGTATAGTTCTATAGTTTTTTTTCTGCCCTCATATGGGACCTTCTGGTGCACAATGACATACTGAGATTGGCCACTTTGCTAACTGATTTGCTACTCTGGGGCTTATAGTCTAGGCCACTTCATCCTCCAAGAACAAATTATCCATCCTTGGCCTTGCTTTTTCACACTGTGATGATTTCTTCTGTTATCTTATTATCACTGCTTTTTCCACATTTTTTTCTCTAGCTACTCTTCCTTCTCTCTTACTCCAAATACATCCTAGACCCTGTCCCAGGCTCTCTTCTCTCTCTGGTCCACCTTGTTCCCTTTGTGAATCTGGCCACTCTTGTCTTGAACACCATAGACCCATGACTGGCAACTCTAACCCTCCAGCTCAGCCCATTTCTGGGTGCTGGCCTTATTTTCAATTGACTTCTGAACACATCCACTGGGGATGCCCCTCTGAGGAACCTTGAGGCAAATATGTCCCCAGCTGAATTAATCATCTTCTCAGATTTTCCAGCTCCCCTATTTCTGGCAGCAGCACCATTGGCCCCTGAGTCAGCAGGGCTAAACTTCAGAGTTAATGGTGATGACCCTGCTCCACCCCCACACCAAACCACTAGCTAAGTTTTAGCTACTCCACTCTGCTATTTCTGCAAGCTACCAACTTCATTCTCCTCTTCCTTTTGCCACCACTTCCTCTGAAATAGTGAGTCTCAAACCATTTTCCCCCCACAACACACCAAAGAGTTATAGCTATTGCAATGGTCTCCTCCACAGATAAGTTTTATGGCAGACTGTGTGTAGTTCTAGGATTCTTAGTAATCTAAACCCCTGCCCCAGGTAGCCAAGAATCAAGTTTGTTGTACTCCCAGCACACAAAAGAGATTGTCTTAGATAAGACAGTAAAGAGATTGTATATCATTATCATTTCATGTAATTACCTTTTATTTGACATTTAGAACATGCTGTTAGATGTTCTGATAACCCAAAAATCAAAATGTTGATAACAACTTATGAAAAAGTGAAAGCTCTGTAGTAGAGTAATAAATTTATTTTGGTGTTATTAGTAGGGGTAGTAAATTTAAGTAGCTTTTCTTCTACCCTCATTTGTAAGTCTGTTAAGAGTTTGAGAGAAATAAGGGCCATTGTCTCTGGAAAGAATGACTCATTCAGTAGTTTAGCTTAGCGCTTCCTATGATTCACATCACCATTCGAGTTTCTAATGCTTAACCTTCCTAGAAGCTACAGTGAAAAACAAGACAGATGCCTGGAGTATGATTTGGTGGGTTCAATAAAGCCTTAATCCTCCAAAATTTCTACCTCATGCGCTTGCTGGTTAACAACACATTTAATGCCTTCTCTCTTTGTAACCTACCAGACATCATGGATGAGAGAAAGAACCAAAAAGGATGAAGAACTAGGTGCCTGGAATGTTCCTAAAGATTCACTTGGGAAACAGCTTAATATAGTGGACTTTGGCAACAGACCAACTAGGCTTCAAATCTTGGTTCTACCACCTAACGGTTATAAGACCTTGAAAGATGGTTTAACTTCTGAGTTCATTTCCTATTTCAAAAGTAAAGATAGGCCACATGCAGTGGTTCACACCTGTAATCCCAGCACTTTGGGAGGCCAAGGCAGGCGGATCCCAAGGTCAGGAGGTCAAGACCAGCCTGACCAACATGGTGAAACCCCGTCTCTACTAAAAATACAAAAATTAGCTGGGTGTTGTGGCACGCGCCTGTAATCCCAGCTACTCAGGAGGCTAAGGCAGGAGAATCACTTGAACCCGGGTGGCGGAGATTGCAATAAGCCAAGATCGCGCCACTACACTCCAGCCTGGGTGACAGAGTGAGACTCCATCTCAAAAAATAAAAATAAAAAAAGTAAACATAGTAATAGTATCGCAATCATTAATGAGGCTATATAAAACATAAACAGAAAATTGACAACTAGGTATGCTAAGAGGAGAGTGGATGGTAACTTTCCCAATCCAAACTCTCTCCTCCTTCCCTTTCTTTCTCTTTCTTTCCGTCACACACACACACACACACACCCCTTTTGACTTCATAATTGAGCCTTGGACTAACCCTGGGACCCTAGTAAGAGCTACCCCTTCATCAACAACAATCTTTATTTTACTTAATGAATGATGTAAATGGTAGTTCCCTGGGTAGCTTGGACTTAGAAGTCTATCCCTAGAAGAATTCTCTACACCTTGTATGTGGCACAAAAGACTAAATCCTTGGTAAGAAAGATGGTAGCGATTTATAGTTATAATGACTTGAGTAGATAAGCGCTAATATCCATGTGATAAAGGAAAGGCAGGAAATGGACAAAGGCATTTAGTGACCTGCGGATGAAATGAAGTGCCTTCTGTCTGTACGGCTCCTCCAGCATTGGCATGTACTAACGAATGTGCCCAGCGAACTGGCATTGAGCACTTCTGTCTCACTATCCAGCTGCATTTTTAGCAGCTGTTCTGAGACTCACCCTTGCAGGCTTTTGGCCAAGCATCAGCCCCATATAAAGAAGAGAGATTTGTTGAGGGGGGCTCCTTGCTGCACTGATGGCAATGACCTACAGATACAGAAAGACCGGTCTCAGAACCATTTTGTAGCTAAGGAAACAGATACAGCCATTGTGAAACATCAAGCCATATTATTATAGTGAAAAGAGACAAAAAAAAATAGGCCACCACTGGGTGTTTTGGAACATTTGAATAATCAAGCAAAATGGATTAAATTAACTATCAAGTAAAATCTTCTTTGAAAAATCAGTTACCAATATGGCAGGAAATAATATTATTCTGAATTCCATGGCTCATGTGGATCCAAATATTTGTAAAATCTAGTCATTACTAAATCCATAAATAATGAATACTCTTTTTTTTGGACTTTCAAATAAATTTTCCAGGAGAAAGTTAAATCCATTCCTGGGTGAGCTTAAGCTGATCCATGCAAAATCTATTCCTTGGCACCAGGCTTCTAGAATAGGTCCAGGGACTCCATATTTTTATTTGCTCAATGTTTCTTGTTTAAGGGGAAGCTTGAATAGTACCATTACAGATTTTCACATCTAATTTTCACCGAAATTCAGAAGAGTATTGCCATGCCTCACTTATCCTAAACAATAACAGATTTGTCATTCTGTCACCAGCAGAATTAAGTGTGTGTCCCAGGTTTCCATGGTTGGAACAAGGACTCCAAAGGGAAGCATCTATTTTTCTCACATCAGATTGGCGTGGAAGTTAAGGACTTCAAAACGAACTCCACAAGCAATGCTATTAAAGCCGCTTCCTCATGTTTAGACCCTCAGCTGTTGTTGATCTTAGGAGGGACCCTTCCACAGACTTGTCTTCTCCTTTGATATTTTAGCCTCTTAATAATTTTAAGTCAACCATCCATAGCTGACAGTTTTGCTGATAAAGTACCTTTATAATGATAGACTTGGTGTTTAAATTTCCGCCTACGTCTTCTCTAAGTTGGTGACCTAATTGTAGCTGATGCTTCCAGTAGAAATACTCACTTGGTAACCTCAAGCTATTTCTGGGCACAGCTGAAATAAAGCAAATTGCTTTTTAAGCTGATGATTCCAGGTTCTGTGTCTTATTTTCCATTTCTTCTTGTCCATTTTTCCATGTAAGTTTTATCTGCTACCTACAAACCATGAAAAACAAATTATTCCATTCAAATCTTTGGAAACGGCTGTTCACTGGCACACAATCACAGTGTCTTGATAGTTTTTCTGGTTTTGAATTTCTGGAAGGGAAATCCTCCTTCTGAGGAGACTTCACTTTCCGTCAGTAATGGGGAAAACTGTTTCCCTCGGGATAGCAGAGGTCATTTTAAAAGAGAACACTCAGCAGAAATGAAAATCCAAACAACTGATTTTTAATTCGTGTCTCTTTGTTCAGTGATGTTGGTCCTGATTCTGCCTATGAGACGGGAATAAAGAGAGATTTCGGGAAAAGTGTGAAGCCAAACATGGGTGCTATTTAAATACCACCCTCATAATTTGAAACAAGACCCAGCTCCTCCTATCTTCACAGGCAGAATACCCCATCCCCAGGCTACGTAGGACCTGATAAATGTGGGGTGACCCATACTGGCCTGGCTTATGCCCACTGGCCTGCGTTGGTGAATAAATTGTGTGGTCTCTTCCTTGGTGTGATTTTTCCCTGGGTACTTGCAAGATGCCTTATTTAGAAAGAAAACGACAAGGCTAATGGTTCCAGAGAACTTCGTCCACTGTTTATATGAAGAGACTGAGACTCAGTGGGGCTCCACAGCCTGCTCTTCAGTGACAAAGCCAAGACCAAAGTAATAATAGCAGATCTTTATATAGCCTTTGCTGTCAAGCCAGGTACTTATACATAAGCGCTTTATGTATATTGACTCATTTAATCCTTCCACCAACCTGCAGGATTCGTGTTGTTTAATCCCATTTTACAGCAAGTAGCTCGCTTTCGGCCATGCGCTAGCAGGGGCAGAGCTGTGTTCTGGGGCAGGCGACCTGGCTCTGGAGCCCACTGAGACGAACCCAGCACCCTCCACCTGGCAGACCCAGCACTCCTCACTCTTGGTCCTACCCTCTGTTCTCTGTTAGGTTGCTTTGGGACCAAGGGGAGAAAAAAACTTGTTAATGAAAATGGAGCCCAACATTTCAAAGCTGATGTTTTTATACTACTGTGAACATCATCAGAGTGCTATCTAATGCACTTAAAACCGACATGACTTTAAAACAGACGTGAAATAGACTTGCCAGATAATATATAGACATGTCTTTAAGCAAACATTGAGCAAAAGGTACCTCGCTGGTAACAACCATTCAGAAGGAAAGAAACGCTGTCATAAAATAATTAATATAGTCATCCCAGACAGAATGGCTAAATAGCAGTCTGGTGGTTTTTATGTTAGCATTTGTTTGTCAAGGTCTTCCTGAATGAGACTGTAAGTCCCTCCAAACCACATATGTGCCTATGTAGTTCTCTTGTAGAGCACCTGATAAAATACCTATGGAAAGATTTTTTTAATAAATATTGTAATATTGTTCAATGGCAGTTATAGAGAATCCTTGGTACTGACCTTTGAGTTGCCAACCTATGCAAACAAAAAAAAAAAGCATTGGTTATAAAGACTATGACTTATAAGAAAGACTTATGAGGATGTATAGCATATAACGCTTGAGGCATATCTTGGAGCATATATCTATGAACAAAATCAAATCCAAAAAGACTCTTTCTCTTATTCCGGGGGCTGTGGGTCACAGATGCTATTCCAGAACCCAGGCATGGGAATATATGCAGCATCCTCCAGACTTGACAGTTCCCAGTCAGCTGTGCTTGACTGGAGCCTTCAGGGCTCAGAGTTGCAGGCGAGATGGAAATTACGAGAGATCTTTACTCTCTCAAACTCAAGGGATAATGGTCTGTCTCATAAGAACCTACCTGGCCCAGGATGGACAAAGATGCTGTGTGTGTGTGTGTGTGTGTGTGTGTGTGTGTGTGTGTGTGTATCTGTGTGTGTGTTTTGTCTGAGAAGTCTGGCAAGGGAGAGACCCCAAGGTCACCTGAAAATCTCCTCTTTGCATCCAGGTGGCTTAGGAAAACATGCTTCAGTATCAGAAAAAGAAGCCTTCCAGCAGACAGAGGTTTAAACAATACAACAGCCCACAGTTTATCAGTAGAACTGGCAGAAACAGCAGACTATCCTTCAATTACCCTCTACAGTTGTTCATAAATATTGGAATTTCCTTGCCTTGATCTGGCTCACAAAATGAGCAGCAAATGTTGAAAAGTTTCGTGCTTTTTAACCAGGAAACACACAACTATGAAATATGTGAAGCTGCAGTAGACAAGTTTTAAAAAAACAAAAACTTTCCAATAAAGTAATGGTCTCCCAGTGACATCTTGTTATACTGGTAAAAATAGATCCCTAACTTTGACAGTATATTTTTCCTTCTGGGAAACTACAAATAATAACACATCAAAATTATGCTTTTTGTCACATTCCTGAGGACAGTAAAAATGAAAGGAAAGTTTATTTTTTATTTGTAAAACAACATTTCCATTCATTTATTCCACAAGGACCACTTATTTTTGAGTTCTGTAGAAAACTAACGTAGAATGAGCACCCTCATACTTATCAATAGAAAGTAAGTCATCATGGCAGAATTTTTTACAGATTTCTCATTGGTCAAAAAATACTGTTTATGGGCGGGGCGCGGTGGCTCATGCCTGTAATCCCAGCACTCTGGGAGGCCGAGGCGGGCGGATCATGAGGTCAGGAGATCGAGACCATCCTGGCTAACACGGTGAAACCCCGTCTCTACTAAAAACTACAAAAAATTAGCCGGGCATGGTGGCACGTGACTGTAGTCCCAGCTGCCCTGGAGGCTGAGGCAGGAGAATGGCTGAAGCAGGAGAATGGTGAACCTGGGAGGCGGGGCTTGCAGTGAGCCAAGATCACTGCCACCGCAATCCAGCCTGGGCGACAGAGAGAGACTCCGTCTCAAAAAAAAAAAAAATGCTGTTTACTCTAAAGACATTGGACATTTTACACATTGCCTCATGAATCCATGATGAAAACTATGAAGTAGATGGAATAACAGTTACCTTCCTTACATAGCAATAGGTCACACTAGAAGGATGTTGGAAGAAAGATGGAGACAGCTTTTTGGCCTCTCCAGCGACATTCTCCATTCAGGTTTACAGCCAAGTCATTCCAGTGTGTTTCCAAGCTCCAAATATCTTTGTAGAAGTAACTTCTAAAAGTATGTGTGAAGTCACACATAATCCAGTCTGGATCAAATACCTGACTGTCCCCACTTCCATGTGTATATGTTGTAATGACAGTTTAAAGTATGTTTTGGGATTGAAATCCTACCCCTCTCTCCGCAAAAGCAGGTAGTAATAGGTTAAAAATGATGAACCATCAAATTATAGTTTTGGCTGATAGGAGTCTTGGAGTGACTTGACCAAAGAAAAATTGTATAAGATTGTCAAACTGCTTGGTACCTAAATCCATAGCCCAAGCTCAGTGAACCAAGATAACCCTCCTGGGGTAGTTTTCCAGAGCTTGTAAAAGCAGTAAGTTTTTTCCTCTAAATGGAAGATCATTGAAAGATAATAGCAGTTCACCAATTATTATTATATTGGCTCAAAATTCCCTTCTTCAGAAGGATGAGCCATCGATCTTTGGGTACAGTGGGGAATTCAACACCGTGTAGACTACTCTTATTTTTCAAATTTTTCTTTTCTTTTTAAAGACAAAATGGATAATTTTGATTGATTAAACAGAAATTCACACAATAGCCATAGTCAGTAAAACGGCAGCAACAACAAAACACAACATTATATGCTCAACCACTCTAATTTATTAAATTATACAGAGATTTCTCCAAAGAATATCCATTGAATTGGTGAAGATAAATATTTTCACAGCTATTACTTAATGGAAGGAACATTTCCCCGTTTGAGTGAGGTAATTTGGATAGCAAGAGTAAATTCAAGACTTCAGAGGCATACTATGTTGATGCTCACCCTCACACTGCTATGTTTTGTGAGATCCACCTCTAGCATTTTTTTTTTTAACTTTTCTACCGATATCACCTAGCAGAATGCGTAGCAAAAAATAAAGGCAGATTATTTTACAGGAAACACTGGTAGCCTAAGGGACGTATAATAACCAACATGTAACTGATCATGGTGCTCTAGCAATATTGTCTTCCCCAGTAGTTCTCTAGGTTCTCTGTTTGATTTTTGAATCAAATCTTTCACATAGCCTATCAATTGTCAACCTATTTGGCTAGGAGATTGTATCCGTCCTCCCTTCTGTGACGCAGACTTCACCAGACATCAGAGAGCTTCCACGGTGTTCGTCAAAATGTCATGGCAAAGCAAGCTTGGGCCTACACCATGCAGTCCCAATGGGAGCAATATTGCACCCAGGGGGATGAAAATTAGTATTCAGGGATAGAAAAAGTCTTACAATTATAATGACTTGTGGACCTCCAAAGCTCAATCCTACTGGATAAAACTTATTCCTTAGTGTTTTACTTCCCTCATTAGGGAGAATTTAAATTTAATTTTATTTTTCTCCTGGAAGGATAGTGATCATGAAAAAAGGAGCCCATATATTTGAGGAAATTTTTCAATTTGGGAAAGGCAGTTGATGATATACTCTTGCAAGATATGTGCTAATAAATACTAACTTCAAAATGTAAGCAAGAGCTTTGTATTAATCTGTAATCTCAACTAGATCTCATTGAGCTTGAACAGTGTGAAAATGATTAGCTTTTCTTCTGTAATTTTTTTTTTTTTTTGGAAAGACCAATTGATGTATTTTTTTCAATCTCCCTCCAAATTTCCAATAAGACACAAGTAATTTTCAGAGTTAAACTCTGGCTTTCACCTACATTTTGTCCTGATTTTGTGAATACTGACTCAAAAATATTTGATAGCTTTCTTCTGCAGATAAAACACAACTCAACTGGCCGTGAAACCAAGACCTTCCATAATTTAGTCTCAATCCATCTTTCCAAAATTACTTTCCTTAACTCTCCTTTATAAACTCTTCACTTCAACAAATAATCCTCTCTCTTCTCTGTTTTCAGCCACCCTGTCTCCCCTCCAAAACTATTTCCGCCCCCCAAGAGCTACACACCCAACTGCTCTTCTGTGTCACAAATGTCACTGTTTTTACAAAGATTTTTGCAATTGCTACCCTCTCCACCCCTCCTTCCCTAGCTAGAAGCCTTCTCTCCCCTCTTCTAAACCCACACAGCTCACCATTTGGACAACTTTTAGGAAGTTTAGCACTTTCCACCACACACTATTGTTTTAAGTACAGTCACCCCCCAGTATCCATGGGGGTATTGGTTTCAGGACCCCTCTGGAATAACAACATCTTCAGATGCTCAAGTCTCTTTTCTAAAATGGTGTAGTATTTGCATATAACATGTGCACATCCTCCTGTATACTTTAAATCAACCCTAGATTACTTATAATACCTAACATAATGTAAATGCTATGCAAATAGTTGTTATACTGTATTGTTTAGGGAAGAATGACAGGAAAAAAGTCTGCGCATGTTCAATACAGACAACCATCCATATATACAGATCTATACGTAGAGAGATCCACAGTTGGTTAAATCCATAGAAGCAGAGCAGAGCTTCTTTATGAAGCCAAATATGTATCTTCATAATATCCCGGAGGGCAGAACTTCGGTCTGATTTGTAGGTATTGAGGTCTAATGAAAATAGCTAGGGAAAAGATCCAGGGGGAAGTCTTTTCCTCCACCACTTACTAGCTGGCTCTGCCTAGTATTACACTTGCTTGCCTTCTCTTTTAGCATATGGGCAATTTATCCAATCACTCTGAGCCTAGTTTCCACATCTAGCTGGCTCTGCCTAGTATTACACTTGCTTGCCTTCTCTTTTAGCATATGGGCAATTTATCCAATCACTCTGAGCCTAGTTTCCACATCTATAAAATACGGTGAGAACTTAATAAGTTAAAATTTCTAGCACATAGTAGATATTTAAAACATATTAAATAAATTCATGCCATTATAACGTCACAGTCTGTTACTTAAAATGTTTTCCTCAAAAGTCTCAATGGCTGACTCACAAAAACAGATTTGTTAATGGATCTGTTAAAATAAACAAGAGCAAAATAGCCTTTGCTATTTTTGTATAGTGTTAATCATTCTGTTCCTTAAAGAAAAGTCCCAGGGAACTACTTAGTGTGGGGAAGGCCGTTTCTAGAAGGAGTGCCGGCAGAGAGCAGGAGCAGGAGTTGGCATCACAAAGCTGGTGCTGTCTTCATCTACACCACATTTCATGTCAACTTCATTTTATTCATTTTGTGCCCCTCATCTGAACCCTCAGTTTCAGGTTTGGGAAACAGAACCAAATGGAACATGAAATGTAAAACAAGGTCCAGCCAAACACAGTGAGCTCTCTCCGGCTTCAAGTCAAAACTTGGCTGAACCACAAAGCTTCACCTGGTTTTGAGTAAAAACCACACTGAACCACCTTTTTTTTTTTTTCACGGTTTCGGTTTGCAAATGGGGTTTCATGCAAAGCTTGCCCTCGTTTCCGTAGAGTTCCCTGGCAGAGGACAGGCAAGTCTTCAGCTAATATGGACTCTGCCCCATGAGCACCCCTGGCCAGCCTGTGTGGAGGTGACTGGTGGTTACTTATTGTTCGGATCTCAGAAGGCCTGGGTGTTGAGTAGTCTTGCTCGTGTGATGATTAAGATGACAGAAAACTATCAGGCATATCAAGAAGAAGTACAATCAGTTAGTTTCTCTCTTTGCACTTGGCTTTTACGAAAACAGAGAAGAAAATTTTTGAAAAGCCATGAATTTATGAAGGGGTGGGAGGAGCATAGCCTAAAGCTCCATCTACGTGTGGAGGCAAAGAGATCTGAAACAATTCTTTGGATAATCCAGGCCAAAATTCCGATTCATCAGAAATATTGAGATAATAAAGGCAAAGTGGGCTAGAAGAGTGCACTTGTGGAAGTATGAAAACAAGCTCAATTTTCCCCTCAATGTGTAAATGTAGATAAAGCCATCATATCAGCGATGCATTTCTCCCTGGAGACTTGTAGTGGATTTGGTGTCATTCATGTGCTATGCTGGCAATAGTAGAAAGGATTAAAATGTTCCTTAGAAGCTAACAGTGTCAGATGAGCCATTTGCCCTGGGTGGTGATGACATTTGGGAATAAGGTTTAATATAAAGTGTCTCCAAACTGAGTTTTCTATGACATGGAGGGAGGTTTGTGTTGTTCTCTTGGTAAATTAAACTAGTACTTGGGATTTACAAGCAGATTTATAGGAGGATTGTAATGATGAATGCATGAAGAATGGATTGGATCAGTGATAAAACATTTATTATATCAATACATGCAAAGTTTGGAAAACTGTAAGAGAAAATAAATGGCCTCTTAAAAATCACTTATATATGTATAGTATCATAAAATTCACATACAAAAATTTCCCACACATGATGACACTGGATTAGTCCTGGAAAGATTATGTGACTTGTCCAATCCAGGTCAGGAAGCCAGTACGTTGCAGGGATTTGAGCTTCCCTCGTTCTTCTCCATTCACAGACAAAAATTTGTCCTTGGCATGATAACTATGTAGCAAGGGAGACAATCAAATACACCAACCACTACAATATAACATCACAGGCACCAAAGTGGGACTATCTTTTAGAGATGTGAGGGGCCTGAATAAAAGATTCCTACATCTGCCTCCTCCCTTTGTCCATATAAGCATGCAGGACTGAAAACTATGAGATAGTCTCTAAGAGACAGATGGAGGGAGAAAGAGCCTTACTGCCTATCTCTAGTGAGCTGGGGAATCCATTCAAGTGATTAGTTTGGGATATATTGGTTTTGAGGATTCCATGAAGTACACAACAAGAGCTCTCAAGGTTCTCCAGAAATGTCAGTCTAGAATTCCAAGGAAATAGTTCTGGGCTGGAGACATGAATTTGGGAGTCACTAATGTAAAAATAATAGATTAATGATCTCACCCAGAGCAAGATGTTGAGGGAGAAAAGTCAAAGGGAGCATCAGGCTCTCTCCAACCCGTGGGTCCAGTTGCATGCAACTGGACAATGGGATTATTATAAAAGAAGATGCCTGCCAAATGATGCCTGCTGTATGGAAGGCTGCACACCACCAATCTCATTCTTTGTAGAGTTAATCAATGCAAAGTCCCAAACCACTTGGTCATTTAAGTAGAAAGTCTTGTCTCTCTAAACCTAACATTTCAACACCTTGCTTATACAGAAGATCAATCAAGAGAAATGTTTTATTTTATGATAAGATTCACAACAGAATTCTATCAAATAGCAAATGTCTTTAGTGATGGTAACATATGATTCATTTGACAAAGCACAAAGCAAAAATTGCATTTATCCATACTTTTTAGGAACAGGAGTTTGCTTTTGGTTATTTTCATTTGTTTGCTGTATAGGGCAATGTATATTGTACATTTCTTTGAGTAGATAATGAGCAAGTGGACACATGAGGCCAGAGATATAAATAATTTTTACTTCCAGAGGTTATTTGTCATGGAACCTAGTAAAACTTCTATTTATTTAATTACCATAGAATTGGAAAATGTTTTGCCATAGAATATTGATATGAAGGCAGAAACCAAATGGACATTTCCCTAGATGAAAAGTATGAATTCAAGGCCCCCAGTGGTCAATGTTGGGCTCCTTAGTTCAATATTTTAGGAGTCATCTGAAAGTCAGAGCAGGACAGGCAGTGAAATTTCCAGTTTTTCTGGTAAAAATGAG
Source organism: Homo sapiens (assembly GCF_000001405.40). NCBI lineage: Eukaryota > Metazoa > Chordata > Mammalia > Primates > Hominidae > Homo > Homo sapiens. The sequence goes on along the minus strand of NC_000021.9, from coordinate 34,972,124 downwards.
CTTATCCAGGTGCCATATAAATGGAATGAACTACAGAAAGATTTGGGTAGTGGATATAAAAATGCCATGTAAACTTGAAAGTTGGCCTGTTAATGTGTTCAGGAGAAAGTGTTCTAAACTATATTTTTAAAATTATGGTCTCTAAGAGATCAGTTATAACCCTGCAAAGGGTCATTAAAATCATGCCTGAGATCATTCCTCAGTGAAGACATCAGTGCAATCCACTGCTTCATCAGGGTAGGCCACAGAAATCCTTTATTAGGCACTGGTGAACCACACAACATGTTGTTATGCTTGTTCTGTAAAATATGTGGTGCTTGAGGTTTGATTGTTGCAATTCATGGGCTCCAAAGAAGCCTTTCTGTCCCCTCTGAGCTGCCGGAGTTTACCTCCCTATCTCTTGCCCTCACATGGGAACCTGTGCCCTACCTTCTGGTGTAGTTAGGCCTGTATTCCCTCCTTCACTTCAGTGAAGGCTAGATATGCACCTTTCCTTCTTTGACAAAGACTTTGTTCATAGTATGTACGCCATACATAATAAATGATGGAAGGGTGGGTGGATAAGATAGATGGTGGTTGGATGGATGGATGGATGGATGGATGGATGGATGGATGGATGGCTGATAAAAATTTTAAATGTATCTGGAAGGTGATAAAAATGATCCAGATAGTAAAGTACCTTCTTAAGATAAAGCAAAAGAATTATCATTCTTTAGAGTGATTATAAGGAAGAATTAATATTAACAAAATTCTCAATGTTTGGCCTTTCCCAGGATTCTCCTTATCAATCTATTATTTAGAAATCAATTAAGGGAAGTTAAGAAATTTTAAGTTACATGCTATATCTTTTAAGATCAGAGTCTTCATTGGCAGCTACTGTGTGTCCTCATAAAATCTTCTTTGATAAAAAAGAACTGATCTAACACTGTATTTCTTCATAGCTCTAGGAGCCTAATACTAATAAGTCAATTCAAACTGTAGATAAGCACAGCATAGTATACATAATCCCAGGCATTTTGGACACATTCTTCGACCTCCCTGAGCCTCAGTTTCCTCATGGACACAGCTGAAATAAATGTATAATACCTACATAAACTATATACCAACATAACCTTATAAGTTTATGAGGATCAAATGGGCGATAGATATAAAACCCTTAGTTTACAAACAGCTAGTAAGTAGTTGAGCCATTACTGCAATCCAAACTTATCTAGCTCTGGAGACCTTTTTTTTTCTTTTAATTTTGAAATAATTTGAACGTACAGGAAAGTTGCGAGAGTAATACAAAGAATGGCTGTATACTCTTCACCCAGATTGACCAACTGTTAACCTCTTGCTACATAAGGCCATGGTTTTCATCAGTGTGCAGTGGGTCCATCATAGTCCATACAAGAACACAACCATGGTGCCTGCCTCACAAGGTTAGTGTGGGGATTAAATGAGTTTGCAGATGTAAAGAATAATATGCACACATTAAGAGTGCACCAAAGTGGAACACGACCTCTGACCAACGTAGGAGCCCAGTGAGGTAAAATGTAAAGGGTGAAGGGAAGTGGAGGGCTGAAAAAACACTGAAGGATTTTTCTGAAGGCTGAAGGTGACTTTTGAGGGCAAAGGCCAATCTTAAAACCCCAGCCATCCAGGATCAGAATAAAACAGCAGTGCCCCTGTTCTTCTGCCACATCTGTCTTCTCCCAGGAAAAGGGCTGAATTTGAACAATCTGCAAAGCATATGAACTGATTTAATTTGGAAAAGTAAGTGCTGCTATTGCCAACCTGATTTCGCCACCCTTAATGGTGTTGGAGTCATCTGTGGTGCTTCCAAAACTAACTGCTGTGATGAGTAGAATATCTCTCCACCACGTCTCCTGACATACCCCCAGCCTTGAAGTGAAAGGTTCCTTTTCCTGATGTTGCCATGATTCTGGGAAGTGAAAAGAGACCTTTCTAAAGCATCTATTTCATTTAGCTGCACAAAGTCTTATCTGAAGGCATGAAAAAGTGTTAAATACCGTAGCCCACATAAATTATCTCAATGCATAACAAGTGTGTTCATAAAGTAATTATCTCTGGAGGCAAGCCATAGCTTGGAGAAGGAAGACATGAACGTCTGCCATCCAGCCCTTCACATCTATGGAGGCTGCACATGGTCACTGCAAGAAATGTCAAAATCCCCAGAACAGATATGATCCATACCTTGTAAAATGTTCTGTATCCCACATAAAACAATCCTCAAGATGATCAATTTTGCAAAGTAAGCGTGACACCAGTCTTTTGTCTTTCTTTCAGTTCTCATTCCACTTTTGACTTATTTGTGGAAAGTTATAATTAGATTCTGCCTGGCCTTTGTTTTTTTTTTGCTTTAACTGATAAAGCGCTGTAAATCCTGGACATCACCCACGAGTGCAGTCATTTATGAATTTTGCTGTTTTTTTTTTATGCATTGCACCATATGCAGACCCAGCTAAGAGGCATGGGTCCGTGTTCCTGGCATGCAGGAGAGTCACTGAGAGATATCATATGGTCTCCTGGCAGAAGTACAAAGTGCCTCTCGCTGTTTGATCTACTGTCTTAAACTTAAATGCAAAATCTGATAATTGGGTCAGGCAGAAGAAACTGAGCAATAAAGTTCTTTTCATTTCCTTTTGCTATTTCTCCACGTTTCATCTTTTCTTCCTTTCTTGTCCTCTCTTTCTCCCATCCCCATTTTCTGTGTTTTTTTTTTCTCTGTTGGCCCCTGCAGGAGACAGCCTGCCCTGTGAGTAGAATGGATTAGAAGAGATGGGTTTGTGGCTAGACAACCTGTCAGAGGGTCCCCAGTCACCTCCACCTGCTCCCTGCTCTATGCGCATTTTTGCTCCATTAGCAACCACACTGGGTAACCATCTTCAGCTTGCAAACACCAAAGTCGTGGCAGGTTTACATGTTGAGAAATATTACTGCCTTTTCAGACAGGGTTGTGTTTGATGTAAAAGGAATTCATCGTAGTCGCCCCGGTTTGGGCCATTAAGCAGACAGAGGCCTGTACTTCAAAGGGCGCAAGAGATAAATGAAAACTGAACTTCCTCTTCACACTGAAGGAGACCTGTAATAGGAAAAGCCTGACTTATACCTTTCTGCTCAACAGTTTCTAAATGGGGAGGCAGAACTCTTCCTTCTTGATTTCATCACTCCAAGAACTATTGCAGAATTGCCGGCGGGGTTACTGAATTGTTTTAGCTACATGTAGAACCACGTAGGTCTCCTAAAATACATGAATTTGGCACTCGCTGCAGAGTTCAGAAAAGTTCAGAAATGACAACACTTTCTGTTAGCATCATTCTTTCAAATCACAAAGGGCAGTTACCCTCAGGTGAATCATAGAAGTTTTCCACAGATCAGACCACCTGCTCACAGTAGTAGATGCTGCATGGATACCCTCAAGCAGAGTTGGAATGTTCCAGAAACTCCTGGGGTTTGGGGAGGGGGTGCCTGGCAGCCAGGCACACTGGTTGTCCTCATCTACACCCCGTACTGATATTAGTATAGACAATCAGCTGGACTCAGGATAAAGAACATTCTAGAGGGTCTTAGTCTTGAATAAGAAGGCAACAGGGAGGCCACTGAGGAGCGGTAAGGTAGGAAAGGTGTTTGCCTCATGAGGATGTGGAGGATAAGTTTTCCCAATGGTAGCAAAGCCACCCTCTTCCGTGCTGGCTGCCCCACCTGTGGCTCCCCAGGCCACCGCTTTCGGAGGGTCTTGTCCCACATTTGGACTCTTCAGAGGCCACGCCAAAGGACCCTTTCTACCAGGACCTCCATTTCTGAAGCTTCCTAGCATCCTCTCTGATGATCCCATACTGCCTTGCAGCTCTAAGAGACTCTGCGAAGAGACACATTGCTTTGGAGGAATCAGCCCCAGGCCAAAGCAACAAGCAACACCAGAGTCCTGCGGAGAGCTGAGAAGCAACTCGCCCACTCAGACATAGACACACAGATGGACAAACTGGGATGCAGTCCTGGATCTAAACAACTCTGCAACCTGCCTCCTGGGGACATTCACGCCCTTGCCACAGTTGCAGGAAGCTGGATCGGGCGTTTGGGGCTGGTGAGGGAAATACAGCAGCCTGGAAATGTCAATCAGTGTTTTTCTCAGACTTTAAGGCACTGGGAAGTGGGGCCAGGGAGGCGTCCACTGTTTCTCTAGTTGCCTCAGCCACAGCACCTACATTAAGGAGGCTGCAAAACTGGTTTCAATCTGACGTGGAAAAGATGTCTTTCAGCAATTGGTGATTATATGAATTGCCACTCCCTTCGATGGAAGCTGCCTTGGAAATAAAGGCAGTTGCCCTAGTGAGTTCAGTGTGGTTTTGTCAGTCTTCTAGCTGCAGTCTTTCACTCAAACATTTGAGACCCTGCTAGGGAGAGCTCAGAGGATCCCAGTGTTGGGATTAATGAGTCACCCTCACTGTCACAATCACCTCAGGCCTCGTCATTTTATGTAATGTGACTCTGTGTCACTTCTCACCACTATGGGGCTGGAGAATCCTTTTCTCTTTAAAACACTACATTAGACCTTTTCAACTTAACACCAGACTCTTAGACACCCTGTGCATGCCTGCAAAAGGGCTGATTTGAGACAACACTGAGATCCTGTGTTCAGGGCTGGATGGCGAAGTTCAGCCTCCCCCGTGACACTGACGTGGCACAGTTGAGTCTCGGTGGCCTGGTGAGGGGTCCATCCATGATTCCATCAGTCCAGACGAAAGCTCAATGGGAAAACGCTATTCTTCTTTTTTTTTTTTTTTTTTTTTTTTTTTTTTTTTGAGACCGAGTCTCACACTGTCGCCTGGGCTGGAGTGCAATGATGCGATTTTGGCTCACTGCAACCTCCACCTCCCAGTTTCAAGCGATTCTCCTCCCTCAGCCTCCCAAGTAGCTGTGATTACAGGCGCCTGCCACCATGCCTGGCTAATTTTTTGTATTTTTAGTAGAGATAGGGTTTCACTATGTTGGCCAGGCTGGTCTCGATCTCCTGACTTCATGATCCACTCGCCTTGGCCGCCGCGCCCGGCCTGGGAAAATACTATTCTTAAAAACACGTTTGTGAATGTGTTTTCATTACATCCCTAAGATTTTTTTCCACTTACTGAAGAAATTGGATAATTGCATGAATAACCTTTTTATTTTTTAAATATGCCCTTACTCTTAGGACCCCTGCGCTCTCCTTCCTTCACCTCATCTGGCACATTTTCATGAAGAGAACGATTTACAGCCACTGCAGTTCTCTCGTTTGTAGCCTCCATCACCATAAAAAGTGAAAATCGAAAACTCTTGGGTGGAAATTAATGTAGATACAACATTACTACAATTCTTTTATGGCGTATATAACCATAATAGCATTTTCAGTGGGAAAAGCAAAAATAAATAGAAGGGCAAATGATGTTAATTTCCATTTGCAGCAAACGCATAATCAGATCAATTATCTGATCCTTGGGGAAAAAGTAAGTTGTCATTGATTGGTGGGGTGAAGCCTTCTCTGAATGTCCATGACAGAGTGAGATACTTATGGTGTTGTACATTGAAAGCAGTCAATGAGGGGGTGTGGGTTGGGGGCTACCTCACGCCTTCCTCTGGACAGCAGGGCAGTAAACCAAAGCATCTTCTTCTCCCTTCATTGGCCATGTGGCTTTAGGCAAGTGGCTTAACCATTTGGAGCTTGATTTCCACATCTGCTAACTGGGGATAATAAAAGTATCCACCTCATAGCATTGTAAGGTTAAATAAATTGATCCATAGAATGCACTTAAAGTGGCGTGAGGCACTTAGTAAACCCTTGAAAAATGTTTGCTTATCATTTATTATTATTTTAATTATTATTCATGATGCAAGGTAAAGAACAACGTTTGGACTTAGATAATGAAAATCCAAATTTAAGCTCCACTACTTTCTTGCCTTGTGATCTTGGGCAAATTAACCACTCTCAGCCTCAGTTTTCTGATCTGTAAAACAGGGCTCTATCTAATGTATAGAAGTGTGCAGATGAAGTGGGGTAAGAAATGCAAGAGCACTATGTAACTGAATGTGAGACCTCACCAATGTGCCTTTCTCCTGGGGACATCAGAGACCCACAGGAGGGGACTGCTCCATCGAGACCGCCCTGGGATGTGGCTGGCACATAGCCATCCCTGTCCTGGCATGCAGCAGTGAGGATGCTTACTTTCCCAAACTGTTAACCACAGGCCACACAGGTGTCACCAGGTGTGACCCTTAGCAATGTCCTCCTCAGCTTCTCTTTGCAGCTCTGGGGCCAGGTCAGAGAATGGCAAGGCACAAGGAGGTAGATACTTGATTCGGAAATGCCCTAGATTTCAGAGCATCCAGCTTCACAGGACTCCCCTGCCTGGGTGTGTGTGTGTGTGCTCTGTGTCACAGATTTTCATCTCGAGAGTCCCATAACTGGTGAGTATGACCACCAGGAATTCTAGGGAGGAAATGGGGCTCCACAGAAAGTAAACAAGGACATGCAGTTCTTTATACAAATATCCTGCATGAACACTCCAAACATCCTTTTTATTTTTTTGCCATGAATGGGAAAAGCTTTTTTTCTCTTTTTTTCTTTTTCGTGTTTTTTTCTTTTGTTTCAAATTCTTCTCTTGGCTCATTGCTCTTAATGCTTTGTCTCCCTAAAAGAGGTACCTATGTAAAAACGGAAGTATCTGGCCCTACGCAGTGGAAAAAGAGACTAAACCCGAGGCTGCGAGATCATCAGGATTGCATAAAAACGCTCCAGATGATTTTTATTTTCCTTTCCTGACTGGTCTGTTACTGCTTTCTGAAAATTTGGAAATAAAGTGTGGATTATAGGGCACTCAGATCTGTGTGTGTAGATGTGTGGATGTGCATGGCAGTGTGTTGGCATGTGTGTGAGGCTGTGTGTGTGCACGTGCGGGAGCATATGAGTATGTGTGCATATGTGAGAGTGTGCATGTTGTGGGGGACTGTGCACTTGTGTGAAAGTGCATGGAAAGGAGTGTATGTGCGTGTGCATGAGCATGTATGTGTGGATGTAGCATGTGCATGGAAGGCTGTGTGTGAGCATGTGTGTGTATTCACATCCCTGCCTACATTGGTGTGTGCACGTATGTGAGTGTGCTTGTGTGTGGTAGGGTGCGTGTGTGAATGAGTACATGCATGTGTACAAGCACATAGGTGCAAGCATAAGTGTGCATGCGTGTGAGTGTGAGCCTGTGTGTACGTGTGTGCTGAGAGCATTGTGGGTGTTGGTGCTTGTCTAGCCAGCCATCATGCCCTCAGGGCAAGTCAGAAGAGATCATAGGTATTTTGCATTCAATGCGCAGGTGAGGAAGCTGAGGCCCAGAGGACATAATTCACCTGGTCACAAAGCTGGTTTGTGGCAGACACTGGATCAGAAACCATCATACTACTTTTCCTTACTCTTTGCTCCTCTCTGAGACATCACCACCTACAAGGCTGATTCCTCACCTCTGCCTCCCTCAACTTTGTACTTCTTCAACATGAAGGCATAGGGCGTGTCTGTAATTCTAGATTAGTACCAAAATGTCCTTTCATGCCAAAAAGCACACAACCTTCCTTTGTCATCTGAACTTCTTTTCTTTTCTTTTTTTTTTTTTTTTGAGATGGAGTCTCGCTCTGTCGCTCAGGCTGGAGTGCAGTGGTGCAATCTCGGCTCACTGCAACCTCTGCCTCCCGGGTTCAAGCGGTTCTCCTGCCTCAGCCTCCCGAGTAGCTGGGACTACAGGCGTGTGCCACCATGCCTGGCTAATTTTTTGTATTTTTAGTAGAGATGGGGTTTCACCATGTTAGCCAGGATGGTCTCGATCTCCTGACCTAGTAATCTGCTCACCTCGGCCTCCCATAGTGCTGGAATTACAGGCGTGAGCCACCGTGCCCGTCCCATCTGAACTTCTTGAGTTCAGCTTCCATGGTGCTGCTGTTGGCATCACTTGTTCCAGGTCACTTGGTTGAGTTTGTTGGTTGTTCTCTGTTCCTCCAGTGGTCAGCACGTATCCCCCAACTGGGCTAGACCCTTATCGCAGTGGCTGATACTTCCTCTCCCTCATCAGTTCTGTGAGTACAGGGGTAAAACCTGGAATGAATGAATGAATGAATGAATGCCATCCCAATCTTCCATCTACATGATAAACTTTATCTATTTGAAATTGAGGCATGCAGGCTCTTAGAATATACAGAGATCAGGTGTGCTGCTTGCTTGTGCCAGGCTCAGGGTTCCTTGTACCTGACAGTCAGGCCCAGTGGGTCTCTCGAAAGCCTCCCTTCTGGAGGAATCTGCTCTCACATTAACTGTGCTCTGGATCTCCCTGTTTCAGCGTCGGGGTAGAGACAGCTGTGCTGAATAATGCCCCATTGATTCACCGTCAAAATCCACATCTTGTCTCGCCTCCGGACCTGCCCAGTTGTGATACTTCTTGGGGGTGGACTATAGCTTGAACAACTTACAGATCAAGGGAGGGAGAATCAAAGGCCACCCTTGGCTGTCAAAGTTCCCTTATTTCAGGTCTTTTCTTCTCCTTCTCCCATGGTTGCTGGGCAAATAGAAGGATGGATGTTGAACCTCTGAGTGCAACCAGCTCACATCATATTTGAAAACATTGAGGTTCAGTGACCAATACTGAGCTGCTCAGTCAGTGGCCAAACTAGGACGAGAGACGACTCTCAGTTCTGGGCTTTTTCATCCTCACGTAGCAGCAACCTGGTCTTACAAGGACTCCTCTCTGCAGGAGCTTTAAAAGGCCACTACTGTCCTGGACAGCCTCTCTGCAGATGTGCCGGGGGGAGGAGTGTCATCTTCCACGTGGACCCAGCACCTTCGTCCCAGTTGGCCATAAACACAGAGCAGTGGTTCAGGGTTCAGGGAAGCCAGGACTGGTCTTTGGAAACCAAAGAGTGTGCTCCTTCGCACCCTAGGTTCTTCGTGGGCGTTTCTTCTGTGCTGCCTGCTGGGCTGAGCGCTTAAAGATACAAACACCAGAGTCCCAGCCCTGTCCCAGGAGGACTGCAGTCTAACCTGTGCTCTGTTAACAGAGTTCTCAGCCTTGACTGCTCCTTAGAACCGCCTTCGGAGCTTTTAAAACTCATTGAGAACAAAGTGCTGATGTTGGGCAAGGGTGTTTCCTCCTTCCCTCCGTTTGCTGGGGGCTCTCTTAGATGATAATAGGGCAGGCCTGTGATGTGGTGGCAAAGTTCAAGAATACATATTCAGATTTTATTCCCATAGCCAAACTCACCAAGGTTGTCAGGACAGTGACAACGGTGAGGCAGGAAAGTGAGCACTGTGGGTCAACCTACTCATTTGCTTCTCAGAAGAAACGCCATGTTCCCCATCTCTGAATCACCCTTTGCAAAATGATTGCAACGCGAATGCGTATGTCTGTGAACGAGGGAGTGGAAACTTGCGTGGTGCATAAATCTGGATTTGGACTGTATAGCCGAGATCTTTTGGCTTAACTTTTTCACCCAAGCACAGCCTCAAAATGCCAGGGTGGCGTGGTAAAGAAAAAACACACAAACAACAATCACATCAATGGTTGAGCAATCTTAAGATTTAACAAAATAGAAGGGAAAAATCTTGCCAGATTACTACAAATTTTTATAAGTCGTTCCTTTACTGGCTGTTTGGTGATATTATCTTTTATATGCTAGCAAAAGGGAAGAGTTAACAGGAGAATGAAAAGCAGAGAAAGAAACTTTCTTTTGGTCAAACAGAACATCCTGTTTTGAGTTCTAAACAAACTCTTAGTTGTGGAGTTCTCAGTCCTTTGCCTCAGGCGAAACACAGCCTCTTCTTCCTAAATGTTTAAAAATATTTAGTGGGAGCAAACAGTGCAATGAACTTCTCAAACATCAAAACAATCTATAAATGGAAAAAAAAGAATTTAAATACAACTTACAGCTGGGCACAGTGGCACATGCTTATAATCTCAACACTTTGGGAGGCCAAGGCAGGAGGATCACTTAAGCCCAGGAGTTTGAAACCAGCCTGGGCAACATAGCAAGTCTCTACAAAAAATTTTTTTTCAAAAATTAATCAGGCAAGGTGGCATGCACCTGTAGTCCCAGCTACTCAGGAGGCTGAAATGGGAGGATCACTTGAGCCCAGGAGATTGAGGCTACAGTGAGTTGTGATTATGCCACTGCACTCCAGCCTCGGTGACAGAGTGAGACTCTGTCTCACAAAAGGAAAAAGAAAAAAAAATTCCACTAAAAACAATAAGAACTGTTGAATGTACCAGAATGCATACTGACAGAAGCACACTAATTCAGAGACATAATTTACTGAAAAATAGGAATCAATCCTTCAACACCAAATATGCCTGGTCCTCCCTCTTCTTATGGAAAATTTATTTGGCAAAGAATATTGTCTGTGTGTCATGACTAAAATTGTTGCTCACCTAGGGACTGTAACCGCCTGACTTACGGCCAGGTGTCGTTATTAGTAAAATATACGAGCTGCTACTGCTTGCCTTAAAGTCACTTTCCTCTGTCCTGCTAATACATTGTTAAAGAAAGTGATAGGCTCTTCACAAGCTACAAGGAACTGAAGTTCAGATGATCAGAATCACTAAATTGCAAAGTCTGTTGTGGAAATTTTACCCAGACTTTTCTTCAGATATCACAATTTGTCACTCTCTCATGTAGTGAGTCAAAATATTTAGAAAACGTATGAATGTCCTTGTTTCTGTTATTGTTATTATTATTATTATTATCATTATTATTATTATTATTTTGAGATAGAGTCTTGCTCTGTCACCAGGCTGGAGTGCAGTGGCGCAATCTCAGCTCACTGTAACATCCGCCTCCCCTGCTTCAGCCTCCTGAGTAGCTGGGACTACAGGCATATGCCACCACGTCCGGCTAATTTTTTGTGTTTTAGTAGAGACGGGGTTTCACCATGTTGGCCAGGATGGTCTCGATTTCCTGACCTCATGATCCATCCATCTCAGCCTCCCAAAGTGCTGGGATTACAGGCGTGAGCCACCACGCCCAGCCATGAATGTCCTTGTTTCTTAAAGTTTATTTGGTTTTGTTAAAATCTTGTCACTAATGAGGAGCTTTTATAGCTCCCAGACTACCTACGGCTTCTTATGCTACAAGACTATTTTATCTTCACAACTGTCTGCTAATTCCAAAGGACTCAGCTGATGATACAATTCCTGAATAAGAGGGGACCTTTGCAGGCAGCTCCCCAGCAGACTCCTCCTAATCTTCCCATTGTCATTCACCCCAAGACATTTACAAGGCTCTTTGTCCAATCTTCAGGCAGCTTTCCCTTCTCCCTGTGTTTACAGACACACACATTAAACACTAAGAGTTTGTTCATCGGTCACAGCCAGCACCATAAGGGATTCTTGGGGTAAAAATTATACACAAGCAACAAAAAATAAACTGCCTCCTAGAACTCAGCCACGGTTGCAGCCACCAAGCACCAAAGGGCCCTCTATTGCTTCATCTTAAGGCTGGGCAAGTCTCAGAATGTCTTTGACCTTAACCTTTGATTGATTCTATCCATGAAAGCCTCAGCTTACTGGTTTACATTTATAACACTGACAGATGTAACAACAAAATCCAGAAATCTAAGTAGTTATTGCAGTATGTTCCAAAATAGGTGTTCCAAATCAGATTCAGTGACCCAAGCTTCTTCCATCCATGGCTCTTCCATCTCCCAAACGTGTCATGTTGGTCTGCACCCAGTCAGCAGGAAAGGGTAAGAGTGGAGGATCTTGCAGGGGAGCCTTTGGGACCAAGCCTGGGATGCTCCCCACTTCTGTTCATAGTCCACTGGTCAGACTCAGTCACAAGCCAGCTTCCACCTATCGGGAGCCGGGGCAGCAGGGAGCCCAGGACATTTCTGTAGTCATGGACCCAGGAAGAACAGGAAATGGATTTGGTGAACACATGGTTGAGTCTCTACCACACACAGAACAGCTGTGTTCCTGGAAATTCCCAGATTTTGCCCCAAGCTTCTCTCTTGTGACCGATGCCCCGATCTGGTGCTGGACCCCTGCCTGTGTTACTGAGTTCTGCTCTTCTGTGTCTCTGCTCGCTGACCCCCTGTGCAAGCCGACCTCCACATGCCAGATTTCCCACTGGAGCCCTCTGAACATAACCTCACCTGCCAGCCCAGTCCTACACCCCTGGTGCTCCCCTCCTCATCCAGGTAGCCCCCTTGACCCTGTTACTAGGTTGCCCACCCTGCACAATTGCTCCTTCTCTAGTCCTCACTGTTCTTCCTCAGTACTGATGGGTTCCCAGCAGGGATCAGCCTCTCCCCAGAAGACTAGGCTTATCAGCTTTAGGACCAGCTGGAGGCACTCAGTGCTCTTGATACTTTTTCCTTCTAACTCCAGTTCCCAGCTGAGCTTTCTCCCTCAGGTACTCAGGTTCCTAAAGAAATGAACCACCCACCACCACTCATCCCAACCCGGATGAGATGCTTCCAGCTCCTTAACTTTTTCTAAATATTTGCTTCTTTAGTACGTTCAGGTCTTCTTATCTTCTCTCTTCTGGTCTTATTTTTAATGCACTTCAGGGCCTTAACTCTGTGTCTCTCTCTAACTGCCAAAGGAATCTGTAGTTTATTTTCTTTCTATTTATTCACCAACATCCACACTGCATTTATGATGTGCTAGGCACTGTTCTCCATGCCTTAGTATTAGCTTGTGTAATCCTCAGAATCCTATGAGGTAGATACATTGTTATCCCCATTTTGAGGTGAAGGAACTGAGGGACAGAGAGCTTGCGTACCTTGCCCAGGGTCACGCAGCTGGTAGCTTCTCCCAGGAAAGTCACAGTGCACTTCTTTGTTCCCCTAACAATACCACTGGAGACCTGTAGCTCAAAAAACATTGAGTCTTTTTTTTTTTGGATATGTCTTTTTTTATTATTATACTTTAAGTTTTAGGGTACATGTGCACAATGTGCAGGTTAGTTACATATGTATACATGTGCCAGGCTGGTGTGCTGCACCCATTAACTCGTCATTTAGCATTAGGTATATCTCCTAATGCTATCCCTCCCCACTCCCCCCACCCCACAACAGTCCCCAGAGTGTGATGTTCCCCTTCCTGTGTCCATGTGTTCTCATTGTTCAATTCCCATCTATGAGTGAGAACATGCGGTGTTTGGTTTTTTGTCTTTGCGATAGTTTACTGAGAATGATGATTTCCAGTTTCATCCATGTCCCTACAAAGGACATGAACTCATCCTTTTTTATGGCTGCATAGTATTCCATGGTGTATATGTGCCACATTTTCTTAATCCAGTCTATCATTGTTGGACATTTGGGTTGGTTCCAAGTCTTTGCTATTGTGAATAGTGCCGCAATAAACATACGTGTGCATGTGTCTTTATAGCAGCATGATTTATAGTCCTTTGGGTATATACCCAGTAAAGGGATGGCTGGGTCAAATGGTATTTCTAGTTCTAGATCCCTGAGGAATCACCACACTGACTTCAACAATGGTTGAACTAGTTTACAGTCCCACCAACAGTGTAAAAGTGTTCCTATTTCTCCACATCCTCTCCAGCATCTGTTGTTTCCTGACTTTTGAATGATCGCCATTCTAACTGGTGTGAGATGGTATCTCACTGTGGTTTTGATTTGCATTTCTCTGATGGCCAGTGATGATGAGCATTTTTTCATGTGTCTTTTGGCTGCATAAATGTCTTCTTTTGAGAAGTGTCTGTTCATATCCTTTGCCCACTTTTTGATGGGGTTGTTTGTTTTTTTCTTGTAAATTTGTTTGAGTCTTTAGAGCAAGGAAGGACTTAAAATCATTTGCCTAGCTGGGCTGGTTTCATTTTACGAATGTTCACTGAGCCTCTGTAGGGGAGGGGAAGGGGTTCGCCATAAGCACACAGCTGGGCGCTGGCAGTGTCTAGACTTGGAGTCCCGTGTTGTCTACTTGCTCAGTAATGGGCACTGTTTCTGCTCTGTTTTGTCCTGGCCACACATCAGCCTGTTAGACAGCCCTTTATCTCACAGGAGGTAAATAATTGTAATTCTTCTGAGTGCCCCCAAATTTGTCTGTCTTTCAAAAAAGATGAACTAGAAGGAGTTATTATTTTACCGCCATCCTTTACAAGGATGCATTTGTTGGGAGACTTGTACAAACAAACCACTGGCAAGAGAAATTCCCATTGGTGGCCTGACGGGCAAAAGGGTTGGCTACTGGGACAGACATCCTGCCCCATACCCCTCAGATGAAGCCATAGAGTAAACTGCCTACACTACATGTGCCGATAGCCGGACATGACATCAGCCTCGGGATTCCAGATGACCCTGAAAAGGCTAAAGATTTCCAAGACAAGAACACTTCAGTTTATAAACACAATCAAATGGCCAGAGGAGGTGTGTGCCTCATTCCGGGATCCTTGCAAAAGCTCAATGATTATGATGTGTGAATATCATCATGATGTGTGTCTAGAATGTACGAATATCTGAACGGCCCAGAGGTCTTCAGTCTATCACCCTGTTATCCTCGGATAATAGAGAAAGGATGAGGGAAAAGCCCAGGCCAAACTCCAAGTGGGACATTTTTTTCATGGCACCCAGGTGGCACTGGAGAGGTACACAGGCACCCCTTGCCCAGAATTCCAGGAGTACTTAATAAGGTAGTCTCTCAGGGGGCCACCTCGTTAGCTCAAGGAAGCATTTACCTTCCAAAGACAAATGAGTTCCTGGCTTGCCCCAGGTAAGGGCACTGTGTGTTGAACTTTTCACATTTCACGAGCCATCCTGGCTCCTGGCTTCCTGTCACAAACATTTATATTTCCTGCTCATTCGCCCCTAGTGTTCCAGGGAGTAGTGAGGTTTTATAATTGATAATTATCACATTTAGTGCCCCATAACGCTTTTCATCTTCAAAGCAGTTGGCAAATATTACCTAACACACCCACGATGTCGGCCAAGTCAGAGTTTCTCTCCCTATTTGGCAGAGAGGAGACAGCCTGGCCATGCGTCAGGTGAGCATCAGGTCACAAAGCTCAGAGGCTTCGTGGCCAGCTTCTTTCTTGTGTCACCTTTCCCTGGCATCAGATCCACTCCTTCCAAAAAGAACAATGTGGGTGCCTGTCCTAGGGGCACAGGCTGTGCTCTGTAACCCGTGGCCCTGCCACGTGGAAATCATCAGGTTATTTTTAAGCTCATTCTTTGCAGCAAGCCTGGTGGGTAAATTCAAGACTGAGGAACAAGAGTTAGTTTACCTCACAAATGGAAGTAATTTTGTAAGCTTTGAGGACTGAGATCTATGATGTAGTGGTATGCCCTGCATATCACTGTATATATGGGAGAGAAAAAGAGGAAGAGGAGGAGAACGAGCAGGATGGGGCAAATGGGCTCAAATGTTCTAGCAATTCAGATCAACTTTGCTCAGTAACCAGGGGCCTTAGAGCCACAGCCCATGAGTGAGCTAGTCACCCATTCATGCCCAAGAGCACAAAAACACAAAGTGGTATCTAGGGCGTGACATCAAAACAGCATTCATCAGGCCATTTGGTGACAAACAAGACTGGCCAAGAATGTGGCACTGTGTAAACAAAATGGCCCAGTCACTGTGTTTTTTATTTCAGTGGTTGTATCTCTATGGAGCTGCAGACATAAAAGTGGCCTTTCGAAGACCCAAGGAGCTTGAAATTTCACAGTAACAACTTCAACAAAAAAATGACTGTGTTCTGTCTACTTATATCCTTGTTCTGTATGTTCACAATTCTCTACCAGTTCATCTTTCAAATGAGAGACTTTTTTGAGTGAATTTTCAGGTAAATTCTGCCAACCAAAACTATTGTAACCAGAAAATGTATCTTCTTTCTGCTTGGGCTATGGCAAAATTCACAATGAATCTTCACACAGTTAAAGCTGGGCATGACGCTGTCTGCCTTAGTCACTGGAAATCCATCTCACTCCACCTGTGTTGCAGCTCATTTTAGGGTTTAAGGTTTGTGCCAAAACCCACATCTCCACCATCTCTCCCTTAAACAGAAAAAACAAAAACACATCTTTTGCTGAATTTTATTTCAGAAACAGGCAGGATTTACTACAAATGTGCTGTTTTGTTTTGGCTATTAGCTGAATTTATTTTTATACTTTTGCTTGCATATGCATGAGGAAAAAAAAGATGTTAGTTGAACTAAAAGAAATTTGAGCCAAACTCCTCTTGACAGTTAACCTGGTTGAAGTGCAGTTGACTTCTTGCCTATTCCGGAAAAGCAACCAAATGTTCCCAGTAGCTCCTTAATGCAATTACTTGATTAGAGAAAGGCATTTCATTTCCTAACCACTACAGGAATAAGCAATATAGCTGTCAATAATTTTTCAACAGAGCTTCAGGCATGGTGGTCACCATTCAACCACAATTTTATATGCTCATTAACGCATTTCCATCAATGCTTAAAAATTCACCTTCGGAAAGCCTGGGAGTCTTAAGGGATTTTGCTGTTAGGACAGCAACCTTCTCCTTCATCTGTTTTCAGGTTGTTATTCTGTTGCTGAATACTCAACACATCAATGATTTGCCTCAGTCTTCCGTTTAAGTCAAATCGGGTTACATTCAGTGTGCCTGCCCTCTTGGCTCCCTTTGAGTTCAGAGTTATAATCCTGAGAAAGAGTAATGCCATCTCCCTTTTTCCCCTTCATGGACTTGCCTAGCTTTTCTGACCAAGTTATTCTACACCACAGTGTGCTCTAATGATAAAAATAATTGCTTCCATATATGGAGCACTTACCATGGGCCAGATATAGTCCTAAAGTCTTTGTTCGTATTGTCTCATGCAATCCTCACAACTGCTTAGAACAATCATCCTCCAACTTTAGTAAGTGTAAGAGTCCCCTGGATAACTTTAAAAAAAAAAAATAGACTTCCTCCCACCCACAAAGATCTGGATTCGGTAGCTTCCAGATGGGCACACAGTGATTTGCAGTGTAATAGTCCTGTGGGTATTTCTGATGCAGGTTTTCTGTGCAACCATACTTTGAAAAATAAAAAACTGCCCTAGGAAGGAGGCACAGCCATTATTCTCATTTTTATAGATAAAAATCTGGGGCTGAAGAAGTTAAGAAACTTGCCCAAACTCACCCAGGAATCAAGCTGAAGGCTGTATTTTCCAACTCCGAATCCCATGCTTCTCATCAAAGGTGCACCACCTCTCACTTATTTTCCTTGCCAAGAAGTAATGTCAAAATCAGAGTAATTAATGCCAGCTGCCATCACAAATATTCCCATGTTTCAATGTCTTCATACCACCAACGCTTATTTCCTGCTCACACAAAGACAGATGCTTTGAAAACTTCTCCTCTGCGAGAATCTCTTCCACGCAGTGATTCAGGGTCCCAGGCTGCTCCCACCTTGTAGCTATGGCATCTGTAATTCAAGATATAATGTCACTACAGTGAGGGGAGAGAGGGTGGGTGGGATTATAATATAGGACACCTTTAAGTTCTCAACCTGGAAGAGGTTAGCTTATTCCCACTTACATCCCATTAACCACAATCTAATTAGTTGGTCCTGCCCTAACTGTAAGAGAGGCCAAGGAAAGGTTAGGATTACATGGATATTTGTTGAACACCAGAGGGAGAAGTCAGGGATATGTCATAAGCTCCTGAAGTTCCCTAGCATCGTTAGCCCCTGGGGTTGGAGCCCTAATTCTTTACCCTCCTGCCTTTGAGGCTCTGCTCCAGCCTGACCCCTGCAATGAAACAATCAGACAATCACTCCTGCCACAAGGAGTCAGAAGGGATATCCCAGAAGGGATCCCAAATAACTATTTCCCCTCTCCTTTTCTCCTTTCTCCTCCCACTTCAGTCAAAGACAGCTTTTTAACCCAGGCCTATGACTGTAGGACTGAATCTTATAAAAGTCATCTCTACTCAATTATAGCCAAATGTGTAAAGGAAGATGACTCTTTCTGTAGCTTAAGATATCACCACTGAAGTGATATGTTTAAAGAAAGAGACTTAAATGTGCTGGTAGATAATATCTCAAGTGACACAAACTTGCAGTTTGGTTTAGATCTGGGTCCACAGAACAAGGTCTAAAAGTCTATGACTAGTCAATGCTTTGCTGAAAACTTAAAGAAAATCATTTTGGAAATATCAAAGCCATTTTTTTGCAACCAACTTGCCATCACTTAAGCTCAACTTCTTGGAGTCCAGGCTTTCTTTTGCTTACTGAGTTTTCTGTTCCACTTCTTATCTTCCTCCATCCAAGGTACAACAAGCTTTTCTTGATACCTTCTTCTTAGCAGAATTAATTTCTTCTCTCTCTGGAATGCTCCCCACTGAGTTTATGTTTTCATTAGATCATTGGATCAAGTCACATTCAGACCATACTGTAGTGAGTTGTGGATTTGTCTTTCCTAAAGACTAATAAATATATCTTTTCCAGCTTTCCTGTAACTCCATAAGTTAGAAGTTGCATTTAGAGATCAGAAGAAAGTAGTCATTTAAACAAAATAAAAGTTTATTTCTTTCTTATGGTAATTCCAGTTGTAAGTAGCCCAAGGCTGACTGGGCAGCTCCACTATGTCATCAAAAACCTAGACTCCTTATATCTTTCTTCTCCATCATCCCCAACACTTGGCATCCATTCACAATGATGTTTTGTGGCCCAGGATGGCTGCCTGAGCTCTGGACATCATGTCCACATTCCAGTCAGAAGGAAAGGGAAGGAAAAGGCCCTTTAGAAAGCTTCCCTGGGGGTTGCATGCAGAAGTTATTCACACGACTGTGCCAAGCTACATGAAATGATGGGAAATGACATCTCTTACCTAAGCACACTGTTATCCTCAACAAAATCAGGGTTCTGTTTATGGCCACTTTTTGAAAGGAAGAATAGGAAATGGACATTGGGTATCACACAGAATTTGCACAAAACAGGCACTTGTCAACGCTTGTTGCATTAAATTAAGTTCACGTAGACGCATAATAATGCTGTAAAACGTAGATTTAAAAAAAAAAAAAGTCCCCAAAACAGAGACTTCTTGACTGAACTATCATAACTGTAGCCATCCCTTAAGTCTTTGTGCCTTTGTGCTTTGTGCCTGTCAGATTTTTAAAAATGGAAATAGCAATAGCCTTATACTTCAGTTGGAAGGGCAGCTGGGTGATGGCAGGAAGGCCACATCCTCTTGAGTAGCAAGCCTTGCGATTAGATGCCAGCTTGATCAGACATAGCCTGTGTGATTCAGCTCAAATTACATAACCTCACTGAGACTTCATCTGAAGATAAAAAGACCTACATACCTCCTGGTGTGAGGAGGTAGTTAATGAGAAACAAAAGACCTGCCTAACACCAGTACCCAGTATGTTCCCAGCAAACAGTAATTATGACCTGAAAGTGAGAAGAAAGAGCAGCTGCACAGACCTATGCATCTTGGTTATATTAAACGTCCCAAATATCAATTTCTTTTTCTGTAAAATGAGAACATTATTTTTTACCTTCTAGAGAGGTGTTGAAGAGATGATTAAATGAAATAATTAAATAAGAGAGCTGTAGAATCATAAAGCTATTGCAAACTTAAATATAAATTCACTCCTTCAAAGCATATATATTGACCCCATTCCATGCCAGACATTATCACGTATGAATAAAAAGTACCAAGTGGTGCCAAATTGCCACCTCAGGTACCCCCGTATAATGACAGGCCAATTCCATACTATTTTTTTTCCAATTTTAATAGCCATGTATATATTTTCTTTTTTATTATTATTATATTTTAAGTTCTAGGGTACATGTGCAGAATGTGCAGTTTTGTTACATAGGTATACACGTGCCATGGTGGTTTGCTGCACCCATCAACCCATTACCTAAATTAGGTATTTCTCCTAATGGGTTGCTATTCATCCCCTAGACCCCCATCCCCCGACAGGCCCCGGTGGATGATGTTCCTCTCCCTATGTCCATGTGTTCTCCTTGTTCAACTCACACTTATGAGTGAGAACATGTAGTGTTTGGTTTTCTGTCCTTGTGATAGTTTGCTGAGAATGGTGATTTCCAGCTTCATCCATGTCCCTGCAAAGGACATGAACTCATCCTTTTTATGACTGCATAGTATTCCATGGTGTGTATGTGCCACATTTTCTTTATCCAGTCTATTATTGATGGACATTTGGGTTGGTTCCAAGTCTTTGCTGTTGTGAATAATGCCGCAAGAAACATACGTGTGCATGTGTCTTTATAGTAGAATGATTTATAATCCTTTGGGTATATGCCCAGTAATGGGATTGCTGGGTCAAATGGTATTTCTAGTTCTAGATCCTTGAGAAATCGCCACACTGTCTTCCACAATGGTTTAACTAATTTACATTCCCACCAACAGTGTAAAAGCTTTCCTATTTCTCCACATCCTCTCCAGCATCTGTTGTTTCCTGACTTTTTAATGATCACCATTCTAACTGGTGTGAGATGGTATCTCATTGTGGTTTTGATTTGCATTTCTCTAATGACCAGTGATGATGAGCATTTTTTCATATGTCTGTTGGCTGCATAAATTTCTTTTGGGAAGTGTCTGTTCATATCCTTTGCCCACTTTTTGATGGTGTTGTTTGTTTTTTTCTTGTAAATTTGTTTAAGTTCTTCACAGATTCTGGATATTAGCCCTTTGTCAGATGAATAGATTGCAAAAATTTTCTCCCATTCAGGACATAGGCATGGGCAAAGATTCATGTCTAAAACACCAAAAGCAATGGCAACAAAAGCCAAAATTGACAAATGGGATCTAATTAAACTAAAGAGCTTCCATAATATTTTTAAAAGAAATTATCCTATTCAAAAGAATTATAGTTTTTTAGAATGACACAAAAGGAATTCCATGCAGCTTCTCAAGTTTGAGTGACAGGGGCCACTTTGGTGGGATTGCTGTCATTCCACCTCTCGCCGACTTTTAGAACACATTATGGTGTGGCTTCAAAACATCTGAGTCACCATGTGAACTATCCCTTGGGCAGATAAGTGGATGAAGTTTCCCCACCTGCAAGGATATGTCTAACACTCGGCAGCACTGTAAAACACGCATACCTTGTCACTTGACTTCCAGAGGCTATTGACAAATTGCTGCTAATGTCTCTTCTAACAAACTTCATAATGAGCTATTAAAGAGCACTACATCAGTAGCACTGCAATCGTTCACTAAATGTCAATAAAGGATTTATAAACAGAACTTTAATTATATTTTCTGGGATTCTGCAGAGTGTCAGTGCCTCCCCTAAACCACGCTGGAAGTTAGCACAGAGATGGACACCTGTGGGTCTTATGGTGGGAAATCTTGGGGGGCCATCCACAGGTACTCTGCCTACCACATATCCTCTCTGAAATGTAACTAAGTCATCACCTAACTATGTGTGCAATTTTTTTCTGAGACAAAGTCTAGCTGTTTCCCAGGCTGGAGTGCAGTGGCAAGATCTCAGATCACTGCAACCTCCACCTCTGGTTTCAAGTGATTCTCCTACCTCAGCCTCCTGAATAGCTGAGACTACAGGCACCCGCCACCATGCGCAGCTAATTTTTGTATTTAGTAGAGATGGGGTTTTGCCGTGTTGGCCGGGCTGGTCTTGAACTCCTGACCTCAAGTGATCCACCTGCCTCGGCCTCCCAAAGTGCTGGTATTACAGGCATGAGCCACTGAGCCCAGCCTATATGTGCAGTTATGTACAAGGCATTTCCTTGTTAAGAGCTTGAATCTTTTTGCTTATAGGCTCTTTTTGTTCATTATACTCTAGATCTGCAGTACAAAATTACTTTCCCATATTTCCTCAATACAGTTTCTTTCTCATAATTTCTGTTATTTATAATATAATTTGAAAAATAAAATATTACTTATGTGTACTAAACAACAAAATAAGATGCGGGTTATGAATGTTAAACAATGTAGCTGTGTAACAATGTAGCTATACCTATAACACTGTAGCTAGAAGACCTGTTGCAATGACTTAACTTTGTATCAGTCTCTCTCCTTCCAAAACCTGAGGGGCTTCCACCAAATAATAATCATGTTTGTTTAGCATTTGGCAGTTTATAAGGAACTATAACAATCATTTAATTTTAACTCAATTTGGTGAACGATCTCTAAGGCTGCTTCATGTTATAAAATTCTATGATCCTATGATGTCAGTTCAGCCGTGATTCTGTTATTCTCAGCACAAGATGTCAAAGCCCCATCATCCGCTTTATGCCAGTCAGTTCGGAGGGACATCACATGGTTTACCTGAAGGATCTATAAATTCCTTGAAGAAGGGCCTCGTGTATTATTCATCCTTGTACTCCCAGGGCCTAGTTCCTTGCTTGACAGAAAGGATATGACTAGTGAACATATGTTGTGCGTTGGCTAACGATGAGAGTAGGAGGCCCCCTTCCCACTCCCACTCCACGCTGTGACAGGACGGCAATCTTAGCACAGCCTCTATCAGCCTGCCCTCGCTGGCGCGGGTGTGGCATCCACAGCGATTGGGGTTGGAGCTACCTTCGTGGTTTTACTCTTAATTAACAAGTACACCTAGGGGAGGCCAATGTAGTAAGCAAAGTTCTCTTGCCTCATTCCACTGGTAGGTTACATCCTCAAACATCACTTTAACCATTCCTCAGCCAAACAAAGCATTCAACCCAGCCACATTGGAATGTTTCTCTGCTGAAGGTTGCATCTCTGCTTTTATTACAGAAAATTGTATTTTTAAAAATGACAAACACAATTCACTTTCCAGAAATTAACTTCACAGTTCAGCAGCTGGGGAGCGTCTATTCAATAAGACAGAGGTTACTGTTTTTGAATCTTGCCATTAGTAAAACTCTCCAGTAAGCCTCAGAAGTGGGCTAATGGCAATATTTAAACAACTTGCTCTACTGATACTGGTTGTTTAGTGAAAAGGACTTTGGTGTGTCATTTAGCTCATTTCCCCCACTTTTAGGTCAAATGTAACTAAAACATCACACACATCTGTTCATCTCTTTCTTCCAAATCTCCAGGCAGTGTAGCTGTTTGGGGGGATGGGGTAGGGAAGGAAATAAATGAACATCTCCAGGCAAGAAATTCTGCACATCCCGGCCGGGCACAGTGGCTCACGCCTGTAATCCCAGCACTTTGGGAGGCCGAGGTGGGCAGATTACGAGGTCAGGAGTTCAAGACCAGCCTGGCCAAGATGGTGAAACCCTGTCTCTACTTAAAATACACACACACACAAAAAGTAGCTGGGCACAGTGGCGGGCTCCTGTAATCCCAGCTACTCAGGAGGCTGAAGCAGGAGAATTGCTTGAGCCCGGGAGGCGGAGGTTGCAATGAGCTGAGACCGCGCCACTGCACTCTAGCCTGGGTGACAAGAGTGAAACTCCATCTCAAAAGAAAAAGGAAAAAAAAGAAAGAAATTCTGCACATCCCCTTGTTTAGGCACCCTGGAGATGGGCTGTAAGTGGTCTGCTCTGTACTGTCCTAGCTCTCCAGGTAGCCCCATCCTTGTCAATCAGTCATTCCCAAATTAGGAAATTAGGGAAGGGTAGACCATCACATCCACAAATGATACCACCTCATTCTCATCCCACATTCTCACAGCCCCAGAGCAAATGCCTGTGAGCCATGGCCCTGTCCCTGAGAGCCTGAACCTTGAGTAATTTAAGCAAAGCACCTTGGACCTCTTCTGAGAAATTCTCCTCTCAGAGCCTGTTCCTATACAGAACTTTTATAAAGTACTTTTGTGGCTGAAAACCCCGAGAGAATGAATACAGAGGAATGAAATGCAAGTCACTCTTGCTTGAGGTGGGGCAGAGATGGACTGATCCTCTTCCACAAGGCCCCCGGCATGGCCCCGTGAGGTCAGGTTAGGTGCACGTTGGCAATTTCTGCAGCTGTTGTTGGAGAGGTGTTGCCGTTGCTATTGATGTTTGGCTTATTGATGTTTGGCTTTTTAATTTATATGAAGAAATGATTTTTTAAAAAATATTTACCTATTCTAAATCTAGAGCTGAAATATGAGCCTTCATTTCAAAAGTGAAACCCCCCCCCAAAAAAAAAAAAAGATTTCTTTTGAATTTATGTCGGGGTGGGAGTGGGGATGATGAGGGTAATGGGGAGAGAGATGAAACAGCAGCCCGGAAAACCCACAGGAGGGGAGCTGACTGGGTGCTGGGGTCTAAGGCTTGGACGAGAGCAAAGAAGGTGAAATGTCCTCGGAGGACTGAACTCAGAGGCCTGCAAATACTTCCTCGCAGCATGACAGTCACTTTCCAAATGTTAGCAACATCCCACGTTGTCCAGAAGCGCTTCTATAAGGACCTCAGAGGAAACACTTTGGCGAAAGTTTGGAAGTTAGGAGTGGGTTCGTAGACAGCACAGCTGTGAAGTCCCTTCAGACTGTGGCGGACCTCTGAGGGAAATACAGGGAGAAAAATAAAGGCTTCTGTGGAGGAAAAAAGTCTTTTGTGCCATTTACCATGATAGACAGGGCTTCTGTGAAAACTATTTATACCACCAGTGAAATAGCTGTGCATTCCTGCCATCCATGGGACATGTTTATGAACACATCAGGGGAAAAAATGGACAAAAACAAAAGACAGGGGCTTCCTTATAATGATAAGGATTTCTGCTTGCAGGAAATAAATTAAGTTGTAGCATATTCACATGTATTTCTATAAATAATAAAATGTGAGATTGTTCAGTCACTCATGTAAGAGTGTGCGTGTGGGTGTTCATCTTTATTCTAAAAGCTGCCCCACCTAGAAGCCTTGTAAAAAGTCATCAATTTGAGCAGCAGATTGGTAAATAGATACATGTTTATATGGCACACGTGTTTCATTACATCAACATAGCTGAGAGTAATGGTAGCCAAAAAAATCTGAAACTTCATCCTTCAATGTTTATTCAACTAACATGTATTAAATTCCAGCTATGAACACAGGGCTATATTGTGCATTATAATAATAAATAAAATTTAGTCTCCAGACTCAAACATCTTATAATCCATTTGGTAAGATGACACATGCAAAGCCAGGGAGAACAGTCATTGAACCACTTGAGGCACAGATAGAGTGCCATGTGTGACCAGAAGAGGGAGAGAGTGTTATGACTATGGGTTGAAGAAAGACCATGGTAGAATTGGCCTTTGAGGTGGTCTGTAAAGAATGAAACTGCTTAACTAAGGTGAGGAGAAGTAGCTCATTACAGACCCAAGGGAGGACCTAGTGGGATGCAAGTGCATGAGTCTGAAGGTGGACGAGCTTGCCTTTTCTCTGGAGCTCAGCGACATGTGATGCCTACATGTAGAGTCACATAGGAATTACCAGTCCCTTTGTGATAAATGAGAAAACCTAGAGAAAGCCAAAATGTCACAGCCCAAACTCACTTATGACTGCCACCCCATCCATGTCTGTAGGTCACCAGACAGCCCTGACCCAGGAAGCTCTTGTACACTCAGCTTGCAAAGCTGTACCCTTTGATAAATAAAGCTCTGCCCCCAGCAGCCACTTCCTAAATTGATTCATCAACCACCTGTTGCTGTATTGCTATGAGACCCTCTACAGTCTTTTTTTTTATATAGCACATGAATCAAGCCGAGCTATGGAAAAGTACAGCACCTTATTGTAACTTCTCAAACATCACCAAAAGAGGAAGTCTTCCTGGAGACTATGTCAACAGAACTGGGCCTTGAAGGATGGCAAGTGCAGAAGTGTGAAGGAGGAGAGTCCACACAGCTCTAGGGGCATATACAAGGGGACAGAGAGGGGAATGTGCTATGTGATCTGAACCTCCCCCCAAGCCCATGGTATTTGTGGGACCATGGCTACATGCTTGAGAAAGAGCAGGAGAAAAGGTTAAAAACATTAATTTGGAGGGTCAGGATAGAATAAGGCATTTGTGAAGACAGAAATGTCACAGTGATATCATTTCTTTGGCAAGGTTCATCTGCAAAACGTGTGAGGCACGGAACAGAGTGGAAAGAGACTGGCATGAGGGAGAGCAGTTCAGAGAGGGAATTCATGAAGAGCTGAAGAGAGGAGGTGGCAGGACTAACTAAAAGTGGGACAGTCACTTGTTATAGTGAAGGTAGAATGGACAGAATTGGGCAACTAATTAAGAGGGAGAACCCTCTAGGAGAACAGGAGAACGCATCCAAACCTGGAAAACCAGGAAGAGAAGATCCTTGGTGAGAAGCAGTCAATGAGTTTGCTTTGGGATATGTTGAGTTCCCAAACTCATCATGAGGTGAGGCTTCCAGGTAGCAAATGAAGACATGGGACTGGAGTCTGAAGAGAAGCCAGATCTGGAGAAAGAGCTTCGATAGTTCACATTCATAGATACAATAGTCAAAGCCCAGGAAATACCCAATTCTACAAGAAGGTTGTACACAGAGAGCAAAGAAAGCCTTAAAGAATCTTACTTTAGGGAGCAAGAACAAAGAAGATGAAAGGAACTGTCAGAGAGGTGAAGAAAAGTCTCGAGTTGCCACAGTGTGGAGAACATACCAAGGATAGAGAGCTTTTCAAGGAGGGCATTTTCAAGGGTGTTGCAGAGAAGTCTGGGAGGGAAGAATTGAATCAACTGGTGGTACTTTGACATTTGAGAAAGCAATTTCAGGAGAGCAGTGGGAGTAAAAAGCAGGTTCCTGGGGCTGAGGAGTGGAAGATAGTGAGAATTTGGAGGTGGAAAATGAGGCTGCTTTTTGTGGGGTATGTGGCGGAGGAGTTGGTAGGGGAAAATGTACTCTCAAAGAAACTAGGCTGCAAGGCCAAGGTCAAAGGATGGTGGGTTCCACTCATTGGGCAAGCCTGAGCATGTTTGTAAGCACAGAGAAATGGACCCGAATATGTTTGTGAGATTGTAGAATTGTTTTATTTTTGAAAAAGAAAAATTCTAGGATGCCTTTGGCTGTATTTTATGTAACTATGATACTATAGTCCATCTGAAACTGTAGATGTGTGCATACTATAGTTCATATCTGTAAGTGATCAATAAATGTTTACCACTGTATGGCTGGCACATCACAGATACTCAACAAATATTTTTGGCAAATTATACATCTTGATAATATCTATATTGGCATGCCTGTTCTCCATGAAATAACTTATTTAACTGTGCTCATATTAATCTTAGTTATGAAACAGATCATTTAGAAGGTAACATTGGAAACAAAAGGCTAAACTCAGATACATAATTTGCCAGGCCTCATAAACTGTGCTTTGATGTTCTAACAACTTCCCAATAAGTCAGAAGCCATCTGTTAAACAAGCAATTCATTCAGAGTGGAGGTATTAACATTAAACTGTCTTTCATATAGTTAGTCATTAGTTATTATACTATCTGTCTCTCATATAGTATAGTTAGTAATTACTGAAAATAAGATAATCCTATTAATGGCCACAACATGATTCTGATGGTTAGTATATTCTCTAGCCACAAAAACCCAGACCTAGGCCTCCCCAATTCTGCCATTCACACTGCAGCATGTGCCATCTGTCCTAAGAGGAGACGACAGGCTCTCCTCTTCCTCCATAGATTTCATTTGAACTGTGAGAACCAAGTTTGCCAAATGACATTTGTGCTAGAGGAAGCACTCACATGAGGCCAACCACCCAAAGCAATACAATATTTAACCACATATTTCAGTGCTGGCATTCGTACCCACACAAATATTAACCAATCAAAACTTATAGTCTCCTTGCCAAATTCTCAGAAGAATGGCTGAAGAAGTATCACATGGTCTGAATCTATACAACTTTACCCAGATTCCTGTGTAATTCAGGGGAATTCTCTAGTTTTGTTTAGTACGAGTGAGAAACTCAAAGAATAAGAAAATTGTTGGGGACAGGCACAGTGGCTCATGCCTGTAATCCCAGCACATTAGGAGGCCAGCTGGAGGACTGCTTGAGTCCAGGAGTTCGAGACAAGCCTGGCCAACATAGTGAGACCCCACCTTTACAAAAGACAAAAATAATTAGTAAGGCCTGGTGGCATGCATTTGTAGTCCCAGGTACTTGAGAGGCTGAGGCAGGAGGATCACTTGAGCCCAGGAGTTTGAGCCTACAGTGAGCTGTGATCACACCACTGCACTCCAGCCTGGGTGACAGAGCAAGACCTCATCTTTAAAAAGTAAAAAAAAGTCTTGAGGGCTATAGTAAGCACAAGAAATTATTTCCTTAAACTCCTTTTTTTTCTTCCTACGCTATTAAAAAGGAAAAGATTTGGGGAAAAGAGAAAGGGTGTGATATAAGCAAATGCTCTATATCGGCAAATCTCTCTGTAACTTTCACCACTACTATCTCTGTCAGGCGAGCATAAAGTGAAAATATTTAGCTCAACATTTGTGTAGGAGGATTTGCGAGGGTTCCAAATTT
Organism: Homo sapiens; assembly: GCF_000001405.40. Taxonomy (NCBI): domain Eukaryota; kingdom Metazoa; phylum Chordata; class Mammalia; order Primates; family Hominidae; genus Homo; species Homo sapiens. Next base: position 34,943,775 of record NC_000021.9, on the reverse strand, counting down.
TCTCCCCACAATTTTGCAAAATCCAGTTGCCAATAATCAGGTAATTTTTACTTGAGTGCTTTAGAGCAACCCCAAAGACTGAATTTTATTTATCTCTGAGTCTCTTTAGGGGGTGAAAAAACATCAACATAAACAACTGAAGGAATATCACCTGGTAAAATCATTGACCCCACACCGGGACTGACTCCATGTTCCCTCCCCAAGCCATATTGGCTTTCTATAACAACTTCTGTCTTTTGTATGAAGTAAGATGGATTTTGATCCGTTGATCCCCTTATCTTTCTTTGGTGTAACAACTGGAAAACTGGCAATTCATGTGAAGTACTTTGCCAAGAGGATAGTAAAGATCCTTTTAATGTTTTAAGCATCCTTTGTTGAGTTATTGTGTGCTGGAATGGGCCTAAGGTCCATTGTGTGGTTCATGTTGGAGCCTGGATGGGTACATCTGGTAAAGACAGCAAAGAAGTTAAAGGGGGAAATGTTCCTCAAGACAGATTCTTTTCTGTTTTTCAGTTCCTGGGCAGTTCTTTGTATTTTTCCACACAGGGTGAAAAACACAGTCATAAAACCCCGAACAGTAGAACAGTCAGAATGAAATTAGTTTGTTTTCACTGAAGCATTTGTGCTTGTTTCCTTCAGAAGCTGATCTTGATGACATGATTGATTGTCCCTGTGGATCCTTCCCCTTTATGCTTTCCATATCCCCCAACTGCTCAGAGATTGACCGCGTGCCAATGCAGGCAGAAGGGACACGGGTTAAAAGCTGCCAAGGCGTACTCGCTGCCCTCAGCCCAACACAGGGAGGCAGTCCTAGGAGCTTGACTTGACTTCAGGGTTCACAGTTGATATGTGCATCTGGTCCGGGGAGAAAGAGGGAAACTTTCCTTCAACCTGACCCAAGGCTCTAAGCTCACTTGCTGCCTCACTCTTTTCCTCTCATAACACAAAGTTGTGCCATGCTGAGTGGAGCCTCCTGGCTCTGAAACCAATGTGGTTTGCCATCTAGATCAATGCAGACTTCATTGTGCACTGAATGCCAGCAAGAGAGGGGCATCTGGTGTCATCTCAACCATGGAAAGGGTACATTAGCCCTGCTAATTGTCCTCACCACTATGCCTTAAAAATCCCCACTCACCCTTCCCAGGTGGCTGCAAAGGATCACTCATATTCACTTTGTGTCTGATCCTGGTATTTAATGCCATTTGTATTCATCAGACTAATGGAAATATCAATTAAGCCCAGTCAAGACTAGCTCTTAGAGCAATAATGGACACTTGTACCTGAGCTCAGAGCAGAGGGAAGAAAGGCATCTGGAGGTAAATGGTGAATGACGGTCAAGTGACTATGAAACCTGCAAGTGAACCAATAAAGTTAAAGTATTGGTACAAATTTGTACACATTTATATAGCCTTACCAGGTATAGTCATCAGTGTACAGGCAAATGATTTTTTTTTTTTTGCTTGAGTGCATTAGAGAAAGTCCAAAAATGCAGTCTTATAAATCTTGGAAAACTGCAATTTAAAATAAGCTGTGGAAGATCACCTAGCCTAATAATTGAACCAACACTGGGATCTAGCCCCAAATTCTATCACTGTGAGCACACAGGCTCACTCCAACATAGGCGGAACCTCGGGGAATGATTTCTAAATATCCCATTACCATAAAATCTCTGGTATTTGAATCTCACTAATTCAATCTGGTATTTGATGGATGCAGCAGGGGGTGGCCGAGACATTCATAAAGTTTGAAGGTACTTTTTCTTCATTGTTTCCTAGTTTTCCTTGAGGAATCAGATGATATTTTGCATAGTTCAGAGTGCCCTCCAAAAGAAAATCAACAGTTTAAGGAGTTTTCTGCATTACTGAGATGAAGTAAGCTTACAAGCTTTAACTTGCTGCATATGTCTCTCATTAAAGAATCTTCCAACCTTCAAAAAAAAAAAAAAGGAAAAAAATAAAAGAAAAAGAAATCATCATCTATAGCTCAACATCAAACAATAAAACTATTTTCAGCCTTCCATACCATTAAGAAATTAGATTCTATACATTAATATTTCAGTTATCTGGCTTTAGTAAAATCACCTTCAAAAAGAATGGAGGTGAATAGAGATAAAACATTTTTTTGTAGAGTATATGGGCTGACATTTAAGTGAGTTCTTTAGTAAGAGTCTTAACATGTCATACATGAGAAGACAAGAATTTTGAAAGACCGATTGGTAGATTATGTTAAGACCCACAAAGCAAAGTATGTTTCTTTGGTCCCATGTTTGTGTAGGTCTTTGTGTCTCACAGCCAGGCTCTCTGTGTAGTGAAGTTAGATGCCCTGCTCAGGATGTGTTGAATTGGGCAAAAATCCGAACCCACATGAAAGAACAGAGAGCTATTCTTACAAAACAGCAGGTGGATTGTATTCAGGAGGAGTTCCAGGAGTTGCTGCAGGAAGAGAGAAATTCCAGGAGGAAAGGAGGGAGACTATACTAGTGGTTTAGAATACGGTTAGCATCAGCAGGGAGTCACTAGCTCCCTCTGCTCCTACCACAGGCACCCTGGAGGCACAGAGGCTAAAGGGAGCCAGAGGGACTCCTGGACATTAGAGGGAACACAGGGTTGTCACAATCGTGGACGAAGGCTTATCAGAGGATATTCTTGTTGTTCACACACTGGTCAGATGACTGAGGCTAGAGAAAGGGACAGAGTAATTCTGTCCGGACCTTTAGCATACAGGAACCTGAGGAAAGACCATTCCATACTCTGCATAGAAGTGGTAGCCACAATTCTTCTATGGCAGTGACAAGATCCGACATTTCTAGTTCTCTGTGCTGATATTTTAATAGTACTGGCTCATTGCTGCCATTGAGAAGGCAACCTAGACCTGAGTTTATTTCAGTCCAACTTGAAGGGAGCAAATATATTTTTGAAAAAGCCAAAAACACAAACCAAAGGTTTCTGAGATCAATGGAGGAGATGCCTGCTATTCCCTAAGTGTGTCTAAATTCCTGCACCACTTCTGAAAGTTCTAGATGAAGCGTCTTCTTACCTCATGTGGGGAGCAGCACAGTTCAAGGCTAAGTGGAACTGGTTAGGGGAGAGACTTCTGAAGAGTTTACAAGCCTTTTGCTCCTAGAATAAAACTCAATGTAGCTGATCTTGTTTCTTCCCTCAACTCTGACTTAGGGCATAAAGCACATAGGATGAAAATTCTCCTTTTTAATTCATCTCTGGGTTAGAGAATGTATATGTATATATGTGTATTCACCTGCACTCATACATGTAAGAACATGAGCATTGCGCTATCAGAGAACTGATGTTAAAAACCATGAGGAAAATTATTCCTGCTGGGTGCCATTTATTATTTTCTGTGTGTTTAGAACTTCGCTTGAGAAATTCTAGATTTTGATGATTAACATAAAACACTTTTAACTGGGACATTAAAGAACGAATGGCTGTGTACCACTTGGGAGATCACATGGAACTCTTTACTTAGGGTCCAAGAAGTCTAGGCTGGGGCTCATGTGGAAACTGCCATCATTAATTTTCCTCATAAAGCATTAATGTTTCCCCATCCCATTGACAGCTTCCATTCCACAAGATTCTCAGTAGCCACTTTCTGGCATTTTTTTCTCAACTCATACCACCCATGAGGCATGCACAGCAAAAAAACCATCGGAATTTACTGTGTACCAGAAAAAACTAACATGATTTTTTTACAAAAATCTGTTTGGACACGGAAAAGAATCCAGAAAAGTTATGAGGCTGAAATGCTCCAGCCTCATCATTGCAATCATGAAATGGGTGGCGGCTGTTGATTTCCCTTTAAATTAAAAACAAAAGAAAATAGGAAGGGGAGAGGCATGCTTGGTTACATGTTGCGCAATCGTTGGGCTAACCTGAAAGGTCTTGTCTGGGAGGAAGAAAAAATAAAAATAAAAAAACCTGGAAACAAAGTGATACAAAGATCACAGCATTTGAAATGTTCCAGAACTTTCCAAACCACTCTTATAGACGCTGGTTGGGATCTTCCCTAACACATCTTCCCTAAAACAACAGCTTCTACAAGCTATTGTTTTCACAGATATGTTTCAACTCCCTGGATGGAAAGGTTTTTTTAGGTCCTCTCTAGTTAGCCCCTGTTGCAGTGGGGGGATTTTTGGTGCTTATGTTCCAAACCTCCCTGGGGCCTAAGTGCTAGTGTGTATTTAAGGTGCTCAAGACTGAGACTAGAGGGCCCCTCTTTCTTCTCTCATTCTGATATGGCAGGTGGACCCGGATTTGCCTGGGCAAACTCTCTCTTACGTGTTTTCTGCTATGAACGTGTAACTTTCCTACATATCACACATGATCATTATATTCTTCTCCAATGGAAGAATCAAAGTCTATTTTAGTAGTAGATAAAGCTACACAGAGGCAAAATGACTGCATCGTCAATTGGCAGCCCAGCAGACATGACCATTTCTGCTATGAAAATAATATTTGTTCATCTGATGCTGTTGTCTGCAGAGGCAGCTGTTAGAATAAAAAAGTGTATCTGTTGAGCCTAGCAAAGTATCACATTCTATTTCTTGAACTGTTTTGTTCCAGAGGATAATTTTTTGTGGAAAATCTAACATTTGATCCATTACGATTCTCTAATGTAGAAGGCATCTATTAGATACAGCAACCATTTACTTGTTTTTACAAAGTATCAGATACTGGCAGAGTATGTTCATGAACTAGTCATCTGATTTATTTATACATTTCATCTATAAAAGTTTTGTGAAGGGAACATTTAAAATAAGAAATTTGCCGCTGTTTGAGCCGAATCTAGAAAAATGTTGTAACTATGAGTTTTGCCAGTGGAAGAATAAAGTCCCTTGATCTCAACACTTTGACACATAGGTAACAAAACCAAGATCACATTTTACCATCAGATTATTCTCAGGAGCCTATCTGATGAAAAGTTACTATCAGAAGGTTATTCCTTCTGCTACTCTATGTGCAAGCAAAAACATAATAGGGATTGTAATAAATGATTATATCAAGCACAACAAAATACTGAGAAGAAACAGAATGTTATCTGTTACAGAGGTTTTAATGAAGGGCCAAGTTTCCAGCCTCATTTTTAAACAATGTGTGTTCATCATTTTCAGACGATGTGTCATTTGGCAGGTCAGGAAGATCTCCACATATAGCAAAGCATTAATTTCCAAGAATAAAAGAAGGAGGAAGAGGAGGAGAAGGAAGAGAGGGAGGAGGAAGAAGAAGGAGGAGAAGGAGGAGGTGTAAGAGGAGGAGGAGGAGGATTGCAGAGCAGAAAGAAAATGAGAGAACTATAAAATAAAACTTGTCTGCATTAGACCCTGAGCAAGATATTAGACTGAGAGAATGTATCTAAGGTTAAGAGAGAATAAAGCCATTCCGATTTTTCATTCTAATAGGAACCTAATTTATCCCTTAATTAGTAACTGAAAGAGTTTAGTTAAATATTAAGTTCTGAGGAGGAGTCACTTACTTGTTGTTTTGATGGGGATGACTCAGTGAAAGAAGATAAGCAGAACAATTTTACTTCTCCTGGGAAGATAACTGGCATGAGACTACTTCAAAAAAATCATATTCAATACATATAGGCATTTAATATCTCAATCACTTCATGGTAACTTTGAGGCTTTTCACTGTGTGGATATTATGTAACTCATGATTTATTAATTGCTCCTATTAATCAAAATGTAAACTGCAGAACCCATACATGTCACTAAATGGCACGGCACTATGCATATCTGAAATGCAGGACTGCCTGCATTATCGAAGCCCTCAATGAACTAAGATTTGGCATGTTGGGGAAAATATGTAAAAGAAGAGATGATAAATTTAACTTCCAATTTCTTCTAGAGAAGGGGACCTTTTGTGTTACCATTAAATCCATGAGTCAAAGAGAAAACAATTTTAGAAAAAGAAAGCTCAACCTTGCCTGGCATTTTCTGTTGAAAATCTCCGGAAAGGCAGGAGAAAACTAGGATCACTGGGTCAGCGGGGATGTTCTCTTTCTTCCTGCACCCAGGCAACAGGGTATTGTATCTTTTCTTTCTGGTTTTTTTTTTTTTCATGGGAAACTGCACCACCTCATAGAAGCAGGTATAAAAGATGAGCCCAGAACCCCACATTGAGCCTCAAAAAACTTTCTGATCCAATTTCTCAGAAATTTTTTCCAATGGAAAGAAACTATTCCTTGAATATTTAGAGCGACTTCACATAAAAAGTGACTGTTAATAAGGTAATCTTGCAATATGCTTGATAGTTATTTAATTTATTATTAAGTTGTATCTTACAAAGGAGATAAAATGTATATACTGAGGAATAAAAGAAAACTTCATCGATTAACTTATAGGCATGATTTCAGAGACATTATCCCCAGAGCCTATGAGTCACTGGAGGAGTTCCAGCTCAACAATAGATTATTGTACCTTTTTTTTTTTTTTTTTTGGCTGATGGCCACAATGTTACAATGGCATGTTCCCAGGTCCATCTGTGTTTTTAAATATTACAGTAACAATAACAATAATAATAATAATTGAGTATTAAGAAAAGATGACATTAAACAGAGAATGTTGCATAAGTCAGTCCAGCAGAATAAATGATAACCTAGTCTTTGATTCAGTGAGGCTTTATTAGGTGACAGGTGACAAAGATTGGACCCATGTGTGCATAATCTTGCGTGCTTCAGGCCAGGCCTCTGTCTGTGTAGGGAGCAAAGAGACATGGCACGCCTAGGTCAGTCATACAATAGAATCCTTTGTCTCCCCTCTGTCTGTTCTGTGCAGAGTTTTTTAAATAAATACTTTTTAAAAAGCCAAATAGAGAATCATTTTCAGTTTTTAAATCAAATTAACCCCTTTTCCCACTAAACCACCATAAATTATAGTCTGGATAGGAAGAAAAAAAAAGAATTCTTTTCAACTGTCAAGTATTTACATAGAAATTACAGAAGATGTTATATGTTCTGCTAAAACCAGAGACGAATGCTTCGAGAGCTTTAAAACAGAGTCTTTTCTTTTCCACTCCAGCCGGCAATTACAGCAAGCAGACTGCACCCATGGGGTCTCCCGGCCAGGATCCTGCTAAGCGTTCTATCTGTCGATATTTCTTGCCATGCTGAGACTTTCTTTTGCTTTGTGCATTCGAGTGTTCTTGCAGTCCCATCCCTGGGCAATTAGATGAGATGCCACACCTGTAGCAGCCTCGTACATTTACACAGTTAGCAGCTTTTTATCACAAATGCCTTCTATGGGGACGCCCATCCTGTTTCCATTTAAATTCGTGAACATCTGTTACACAGGAGATGGGTTAGCTACCAAGCACTACTGTTAGATTTCTCGCCAGCAAGTCTCATTCCTTCATGTGGTTTCTGTTTTCTTCTTTAAACAGTTAATTATGTTTTATTCTTTCTTCTATAAAAGCTAAATTTAGCCAAGTTTTGTACTAATTTAAAACATTTTCTGGAAATGACAGAGTGCTATTTTTTTTTAAAAAAGAGGGGGGCTGAATTCTAAGTAGTTATCACAAATGAATATGAGGGGGGAAACGAACATGGCAGCTTGTGTCTTTAAGTCTCAAATTTTATTTGATGTATGCAGACAAACAGCACTTGAGTCATAAATTCAATTCACAGTCATTACTCACATATGTGTTGTGATTCAAAGGGGGGCTTCTGGGAAGGGGGGTCTCCTGGCTTTTTATCCCGCCATGTTAGTCACCTCTTAGTGTGGACTGAAAGTAAACTCCGAATTCTGTTTGTCACTGGCTGCAGCTGAGTACAGCCGTGTGCTATGTATAAACATTGGCAGATGTACTGTTGTGTATACCAACTGCATTAGCCCATTTGCTGTTTGGAGGTATCTATTATGTTTGCTTTTTAAGTTTTAGTCAACACGTTAATATAAGGAGGAAAACTATAGCTCTAGTGGACATGCTGTATCCCAGTGGTTCTCACCTGGGAAAGATTTTACCCAGGAAGGGACATTTGGCAATGTCAGGAGACATTTTTGGATGTGACATCAGGAGTAGGGGAGGCTAATGGCATCTAATAGGTAGGGGTTAGGGATGAGCCAAAACATCCTACAATACACAGCATAGCTCTCCACAGCAATGATTCATCCAGCCCAAAATGTCAAGAGTTCTGAGGTTGAGAAACCCTATGTTAACCAGGTTACAAAAAAAAAAAGTGTCTCAACTTGTTCACTGAAGGGCTAGCTCAACTATTATTGTCATTCACAGCAATCATATTCTTACCACAATACTAAAATTCCTGAACCCGAGAGTTTTGTTGAATATGTTCAAAGTCATATTTAAACATTATTTCATTTCTTTCTTCAACTTCCATATACCGTATGTGTTTGTGAAGGTATTATCTGTGTAAAAAATCAGAAACTAAGAAACCAGGCACTTGACTCTTAGGATGTTTGGATATCAGAGTCAGGATTTAAACCAAGGTTTAAGTCCAACCACATCCCAGTTAGGAATCAGCAATGCTATGACTCCGTGAAGGAAATCATGGCAGTGGAAGGAGAGCTCACAGCTGTAGGACCCATTTCTCGGTTGTCTTCAGGCTCCCAAAGAACACATCAACTAGAATCAGCTAACGCATGAGTGACAGATTATTTTCATTATAGAAGTGTATTTCTATTTGCTCTCTAAGCCTCTTTATTAATTTCACTCTTCAAAACATATACCACTGGGTTAAGAATTCATTAAATGTAAAGATGTCACATTTTGAATCATCAAATGTAGAATAAAGACAGAATCAAAAACATGAAAAAATAATAGCAGTAAGGGAGAGAGAGGGAAAATGAATATGGGGAAGTCTAAAAAATGAAAAAGGGGAAAAATGAAGGAATATGCCTGCTGTTTCCTAATGAGTAGCTGAAAGTCTTCAACCTATGAAGCCTCCTGGATCATCTGCCAATTGTTCAACACAACTCCCACCCCTGCCTTCATCCTCTTTCCCTGATTCACACCCTCATGGCCTCTTTTCATTACAGTCAAGGTCCATCCCAGCTTTGACCTCATGAATCCATTATGCCCTCCTCTGTTACTGCTAGACCTGCAGACCCAGTGTCCACAAAGATGCTCCTATATTCTTTATTCCTGCTTCTCTGGAATGGTTTTAATGCCCCCTAAAGCACCAGCATGTGAATCGACCTTTGTGTTCATATCATGGAGTCCTCTTAGCTCCTTGGTGCCTCCAAGGCCAAGCTTCCATCACCTGCCAAGACACAGCGAGCTGGACCAATATTTGTGTGGCAGGTTGGGTGTGACATGAATGTCAAAGCCACCCTGAATTGAGGGATTCTGCTCCCCTTTGTTGAACTTCCTTTGGGTGGTAAGCCAGACATTGTCATTCAGCAAACATGGTTTCAATAAATATCTAGATGCAATCAAGAGAAACATGAAAATGACATGGCCTCAGTCCTCCAAGAGTTCAAATCTAACAGAAGGGACAAAAAGTGTCTTAGCCTAAGATGATTAAAAAAAAATTAAAAAAAAACTTGACTCAAAAGCTTATATGCTTTTTGGGGTGGGGCAACAGGGTGTACAGTCCCAAGGAAGTAAAAGTGAAAGCAAAAGAAAAGGCACAGAGCTAGTCACAGCTCATGAGAAACTTAGCTAAGCCTTTGCTCTCTCAGGACATACACAGAAAAGCTGTACGAATCTGCTGTGTCTTAGAACAAAGGCAAGCAACTTATCTGCTGGATTCTCCCTATCCACTGCCTCTCATTGATCAAAAGTTCACCCAATACAGTATTAATTCCCCCTGCACTTGCAAGTTGTTACCTGGAACCCCCAGGTAGCCACTGGGAAATCCAAGCATCTCTAAGTTCTGGCCAAGTAGCACATAGGTACAGCTGACTCCTCTTGTCAGTGAGCATCACACATGGGAATTCTTTGGTCTGTGATGGCAATAGCAGCAGCTGTGGCTTTATGACAGTATCCTTTGCCCCATTTCCAAGGCCACCCAGACCCAGAAGCAAGACAAACTCCCAGGCACTGAGCCAGGAAGGTCTGGAGTGGTGCGTGAACGGGGTCCATCACACCAGTGAGTTCAGTGCAGTGTACTGCATGCCCAGCCAACCCAAAGACCAAGGCAAGACCTAGGAACTTTTTATTTCAAAAGGAACATAGGTCTTGAAAATACTCTACTTTCAGCTACTATACGTCGAACACAGTAAAACAACAGTATTTGTTCCCTTTTCTGGTAATAAATCCTAATGACTCCAGCTTGCCAGAAGTCATAAAAAAAACATCAAAACTTGCTGAAGGATTGATAACATCCCACCACTCATAAAATGTCAGATGTTGGATTCATTGTTAGTGACCTAAAACATTAGAAACTTAGATTCAATGGAAAATAAGTGTAAACACATCAGAGCAACACAGCCTAGCTCTGGATGTAATTTGACCTAGTTATGTAGACATTTGGAAACACTGGCTTCTACCTGAGGGGCTACTTGTAGCATGTAACAAGGACGCATCTCACAGTACTCATGCACTAACAGCTCTGCAGAAGGGCACTGAAGGTTGAGGAAGAGGTGTTTAGTTTGAAACAAGTCCACCATCGAGATGTTCCCAACCACTAATTTTCCAAGATAAACTGTTATGTCCTGTGTGTATAGCTTTGCAATCCTGATTAAAGCCAACAGCTTTGGGTGAACACACACCACATTATACCCATATCTGTCCCACAATTTTTGTGCAAACTCTCTTAATACCACTTCAAAAGCATGTGATCATTATGCACACGTACATGTACGTACTAAAGTGAGAAATAGGAGTAGAAGTGAATGCATAAAAGAGGATGCACATGCAATAAGAAGAGAGATGGGTATAATGTAGGACAGACTGGCTAATTGGTCAGAAAATCATGGATGAGAGAAATGGGTAAATGGGAGAGGAGTATGGGAAATGCCGGGGGTAATGAGGTTCCACTAGGCACCGTTGGTTAACATGAGATCAGAAGCATGGCATGAGCATTTTCTAGAATGTATCACTTAGTAGTGAGAGACAGTGTGGGGAAACAAACAGGGGTAAAATTTAGAAGGAAGGCAACTTGGATTTGAATCTCAACTCTACTACTTGAGTTAGTAACCTCAGTAGAAGGGGTATAATATTGTCCCCAATATTAGGGAGCCATAAAGATTCAATGATACATTGTATCACAAATGATATCACATAATGGACTCCTCAATAAATTGTAACTGTTTTACATAGGTAAAGATCACCGGCATGGTTTTCTAAAAGAAAATCATAAATCAGCTATATGGAAAGTGATATGCAGGAAGTAGTCGTTTAGAGGGGAGAACCCACAACCCAGCAGTGGTATAATGGTAGGTTTGAAGAGGACTGGAAAGCTATGTCTGAACTGGGGACATCTCTACAGAGGGCCCTGCCAACACCTGAAACTTAGAATGTATAAAATATAACTTGTCCTCTTTTCCTCAAAACCAGCTCCTCCTCCTAACTTTCACTTACTCTTTCATTCATTCATTAATTTATTATCATATATTACTCAATAAACATGTTTATAACATCTATACTGTAATAAGCACTCTACATGAAAACAGATAAAAAGAATACAACTCTCTATAAATTAATTACCTTCATTATAAATTAAAACACCCTCTCAATCATCCAAAATGGGAATCTCATGGTTATCATTTGCTCCAAGGCAGTTCTAATGTTCCCACATCTGCACTGTCCTTACCTTTTCTTATTTAAGCTCCTAGTTTATTGGTTATCCTCCCCCACTTCAGTCCATCTTACATATGGCCAAGTTTGCTTCCTAAAAGTTCAGATGTTGTCATATTGCTATAATGCTCAAGACTCTTCCACTCCCCACTGCCTAAGGAATTCAGTACAGACTTCTCAGGGCGCTTTGAACACAAATCCAACCACTCTACGCAGCCCTATCTCCCACTGTCCCCTCCACAAGCTTCATTCTTTATTAAGATGGGGACTATCTGGTATGCAGATAGCCAGCCACATCTTCCCCTCTTGCCTGTTGCAGACATCAATAATTGATCACAGCACTCATTCTTGCTGTGCTCAGTTGTGGTCTCAGTGTCCTTCCTTCAGCCAATTCCAATCAATCAGAGTTGGGACCCCAGATAAACCTTATTTGGCCATCCCTCCTCTAGTCATCTCATCAGATAAAAGAACCACAGTCTATTTAGGCGCATATATCACGTTATATACATATAAAATATAATACATATACGTGTATATATAATGTAATACATATACATGTGCATAATACATATACATTATATACATATATAATATAATATATACATTATATATAATATATTGTATACATTTATATATGCTTTATATATAATATATACACGTGTATATATTATATACATGTATATATTATATATACACATATATATACACATGTATATATATATATAAATGTGTATATATATATAATGCATGTTGATTAACTTGTTTTCAAATGCAGACAACCCTAGCAAACAAAGACACTACCTTCCAGACGCTTAGAAAAATAATAATATTATTGGAGGGATTCTAAAGAAGTGAATCACCTCTAGGCAGCACAGATGTGTAAGGAGGATTAGCACAACCCAAGTCAAAATTCCTTTTATGCGTTCATCAGAATGCTGGGCTCCAAGAATCACATAGAGAAACTCAGAGGTAAATTAGATAATCCTTCTACTAGACAACAAAACCCATCTGATTCCGGCCCAAATGAGAAGTGGGTGGCAGTGATGGGGCCTCTCTTGCCAATTCTAGCCAGCTCTGTCTGCTACCATTGTGACTGCTTGTGATCTCTTAGGATATTGGATGTGAGTTGCCTGGCAGATTCAACCAAGAAAGTTTGGAAGGTTAGGATGAGGAACTGTCATCTTCTTCAAAAAAAGTCTAGGAAGAAATGGGTGACCTTACAATTGAGAAACTACTTCTATATATGGTTCACTTGCAGTTTTCTTCCTTGTCTTTTCTCAAATCTCAAAATTTTATCTCTGAAAGGAATTGGGTGGAGTGTGTGTGTGTGTGTGTGTGTGTGAGAGAGAGAGAGAGAGTGTGTGTGTGTGGCAGTGTAGCCATTCAGTATTCATTCCAATTGAAGAACTCAATATGAAATCTAGAACTCTGGACTCTAAGTGGTGCAACAGAAATTTCCACGATTATGTAAATAGTCCATAATTTTACACTGCCTAATATGGCGGCCACTAGCCACATGTGCCCATTGAGCACATGTCCCCTCTTGCCTGTTGCAGACATCAATAATTGATCACAGCACTCATTCTTGCTGTGCTCAGTTGTGGTCTCAGAGTCCTTCCTTCAGCCAGTTCTAATCAATCAGAGTTGGGACCCCAGATAAACCTTATTTGGCCATCCCTCCTCTAGTCATGTCATCAGATAAAAGAACCAGAGTCTAGGTTCATACTATTCAATGGCTAATGTTAGTTGTAAAATTTTATTTATTTATTTATATATATATATATATATATACATACACACACACGTATAATATACATATATAATATGTATATATAATATATATACATGTATATATGTATATATAATATATATGTATATGTATGTATTTTTTGAAATTTGGTTTTTGCAGCTAAGAAATTAATATTAAATGACATTAATTTAAATTCAAATATATATATTTATTTTTAAATATATATCTTTATGAGATATATTTTCATGAGATATGTATATATATGGAGAGAGAGAAAGAATTTATTCTTGAAACATATGTCATTCATTTGTCCTTACAAAATAAAGAGTTGTATCTTATTCTTTTGCATCTACTATAGGGACTAATACTTAAAAGGGGATATATGAATACTTAAATACTAGGAAAGTTTCAGAATTTTCCGGGATGACAACAGTTCAAGGAATACCTGGATGGCAGCTTCAGGAGCTCTGAAGAGCTCACTGTAACATAAGGAGTTGTATGTGTGTGTTAAAAAGGATAGACAGTGACAGCAGAAGTGACTTGGGTAAAGAATATTCAACTAAGGTCTTTTGAGAGGCTGTAAGCTGGTTCTTAGCCTCATCTCTTAAAAAGCCAATTTTTGTTCATGTCACTTGTTATTCTCAGATGAATTATATATTGAGTATTTTAAAAATTTTCCTCACTGGTATTTTATTCAAAACCAGTGCCAGTCTCCAGTGTCATGTTGTTCAGCCAAAAGGTATTCCCTCAAGGTATTGATCTGGGCATCTTGGCAATCATGAAACTCAATGGCAAAATCTATAAAAAGTCAAACATATGAGAATCTCTCTTAGATAAAGAGCAGAGAGATCAGCGTCCTCCCTGGATGTACTCTTTCTCTGTTGTCCCTCACCCACCGCCCCTAAAAATGTATTTCTGAGAATAGATCTATTTCTGTGAGTTCATAATGAGTCAAATTATCAAAGCCATGCTATTTCCAGGTGATAAACTGCTGGCCCCAGCTTTTGTGTTTTTCCTTACAGTGGTCCATTCTACAGTGTTGCTATAGAAGTGTTTTATAACCAAATCCCTAAATAAATACACTGTGATTAAGTCAGACAGCCTGTTGAGAACCCTAACGTGTATATGATTTTCCAGGGAAGGACTGCATCTAATAATTTGCATTACTGAATTTGAAAGGTAATCTGCTTCTCATCTTCCATTTTTCTGGTGACAAGTTGCTTCAGGCTGATGTACAGAGTTGAGATAAAGAGGACATGCCTAGATGCTTTCTACAGGTTCGAGAATTTAAGAGAGAAGGGGGAGCTCTAAAGTGGATTTGTACACAAAGTGAAATCTACCCCCCCCCCCAAAAAAAATCTGTAGAAATAAGCTTGCAATACTCTCAGGGATTTTCTGAGCCCCGAAACTTAACACTGCATTGTGTGGAGACTGTTCTTTTTTAATGAGCTTGGCAATGAGGTGGAAGTAGTCATTATGGGATAACCATGGACACTGACCACAGCTGTGGGCTTAACAAAAAACACTACTGTTTTGAGTTGTGCATCAGATCTTTATCTCAAGAAACATATAACTTTGGCCAAAAAATCTAAATCAGCCTTCTAGTTGTAACTTGGCCTTTTTTTTTTTTTTAAGATGGAGTCGCACTCTGTCGCCCAGGCTGGAGTGCAGTGGCGCGATCTTGGCTCACTGCAACCTCCACCTCTGGTTACAAGCGATTCTCCTGCCTCAGCCTCCTTACAGGCATGCACCACCATGCCCAGCTACTTTTTGTATTTTTAGTAGAGGCGGGGTTTCACCACGTTGGCCAGGCTGGTCTCGATCTCCTGACTTAAAGTGATCCATCCACCTCGGCCTCCCAAAGTGCTTGTATTACAGGTGTGAGCCACCGCACCTGGCCTCGTAACTTGGCCCTTATAGAGATGGGTATCAAGATAAAGAATCTATGGCAAGAATATTTTACTTCAAATTCTTTTTGGTAGTATGGCCATTCAGTATTCATTCAGCTTGAAGAACTCAGTATAAACCTAGAGCTCTAGACTCTTAAGTAGTGCAACAGAAATTTCCACAATGATGTAAACGTTCCATAACTCTACACTCTCCAGTGTGGTGGCCACTAGCCACATGTGGCTACTGAGCACTTGAAATTTGGCTATTGCAACTAAGAAACTAATTGTAAGTGATATTAGCTTAAATTTAAATTATCACATAAGACTAGTGGCTATTTATGGATGTTGTCACTCCATAGTGATGACTAATTCTGGCCGCTTATTGAAGTTACTTGGAGAACTTTTTTTAAACACCAAAGACTGGGTCCTACCCCTCAAGGATTCTGATTTAATTTGGTATGATAAATAGCCTGTGCATTACAATTTTTTAAAACTCTCCAGGCAATTATAACGTGCAGTATATTTTGAGAACCACTGTTCTAGAGAAGACATTGCCAGAGCTAACTCGCTGGTCCATCCATTAGCTGTGGATGGATTCACATCTCTGAATCTTATCAACCAAATATACAGTTTGATTTGTGTCCCCAAAGCAAGCTCTTTTCAGACAACAGCCTTCACGAGCCTACTATGTGGCAGGCCCTCTGTCTATACTAACAGTACCATTAATGTGCTCTAAAATATTCATTGTATGGTGCTCTGCGCTTGCAAGCTTCCATCCATGTCCAAAGTAAATGGCAAATTCGAGGCAAGGGAACCTTATTGAATTCAGAGTCTGAATATACAGGTAAGTCATCTATAGTCAAAGGAAAAGGCTCAGGAGAAATGAGTAGCCCCCTGCATCCACCCAAGGCGCAGAGGAGAAGAGAAACCGTTTTTGACCCAGGGCACTTGCATGGCACTCACCAACATCTGTCCAAGACAAAGCATAATGTCTGGGAAACTAGTTGCATCATAGATAAGAGTCCGCAAATGAGAAATCCAATTCACAAATGAACATCAGCTTGCCCTACACGTGCGAGTCCAGAGAAATCACACATGTGGCTTGGTGTCTTGTGCATTCTGTGTTACGTGGAGTGTGGCAAGGGAAGAGGAGGCTGAAGCCCAGCCTGTTACTAAATTTGTTAATGGTACTTCCCAAGACTGACTTCTTTTCCTGCTTCACAATCCTGTAAACTCCAGCTCTTTAATGGCCTCACTTTCTTTATGAATTTTCCCCCTGCTCTTATAAAGTGGGAGTCAAACTTTCTGAAATACTTGAATTCACACTTTCTTTTTTTTCCTACTGCTGGCGGAGCAACTCTTTGGGCAGGCAACTGGTTCCTCAGCACTAAACGACTCATTCCAGCAACTGACCTTTGGACAGTGCTTTAGCCAAAGGGACCTCTGGGGAAAGGAAATGCAGTGAGAGAAACCACTCCAGAACTGCTGAGCCACCCTTTGTAGACACTATCTGCAGCTCTTCCTTGCCTCACACTTTTCTGTTGAGTAGTTTTGATTTTCTCTCTAAGGTGCTGATGTCTTTAGGGAATGTCTGTTTTATCTGTCTGGCCAATGGTGAAAGCTAAATGCTTTCACCATTCTTCCTGTGCTTAGAAAAGAAATCCTCTATTAAATCTTCAGTTCTTATTGCATTATGTTAAATCCCACCTGGAGAGACTATTTCACATACCTTAACCTGATATGTTCAAAACATTGGTTAAAAAGCCTGCTTTATAAGAAACCCCAAAGAGCTTTAGAAAAACACAATTTGTGTTTGTTGTAGATCAAAATGCTGACAGATTTAGTCAATAATAAATATGTGCTGTAGAAAAACACAATTTGTGTTTGTTGTAGATCAAAATGCTGACAGATTTAGTCAATAATAAATATGTGCTGTCTTTTTTTTTTTTTTTTTTTTTTTTGAGACTGGGTCTCACTCTGTTGCCCAGGTTGGAGTGCAGGGGCATGATCATGGCTCACTGCCCTACTGGGTTCAAGGGATCCTCCTGTCTCAGCCTCCTGAGTAGCTGACAGGCATGTGCGACCACTTGGGCTAATTTTTGTATTTTTTTGTAGAGATGGGGTCCCACTATGTTGCCCAGGCTGGTCTCAAACTTTTGGGGTCAAGCAGTCTGCCCACCTCGACCTCACAAAATGCTGGGATTACAGGTATGAGCCACCACGCACAGCCTGTCTTTTCATATTAAGCACATTTGTATTTTTAAAATACATACTTTTAATTATTAAAGGAATACATAATTTTTTTATTAGAAAATATAATTAAAGCAAAAGGTTAATCAAAATTACCCAAAATATTACCATTTAGAGATAACTTCTGTTAACAATTGTGTATATGTTCTGCCCTTATTTTTGCTTTGAATGACTGTGATAAGAATAAGTTAAGTGACAGAGAAGCACAGCTTTTCCATGGCCCAACGAGATGCACAAGGAAAGCACTCTATAGTACTAGCCTTTGGGAAAAACAGGTGACTCTACACCCTTCTGACTATTGTGAACTCCCATCTCCATTTCATGCACCCATTCAACATTTACGTACCAATTATTTCTCGAACCTCTTTCTGAGCCATGCTGTAATCATGCTAAAATATTTCATCATTTTTCTACCTCTAAGGATCTTACAATATAATTAGCTGTATTTGTTCCCTAGGGCTGCCATAACAAAGTACCACAAACTGGGTGACTTAAGCAAACAGAAATTTATTGCCTCAAAACTTTAGAAGCCAGAAGTCTAAGATCAGGAAGAGCCGGGCTTCCTCTGAAACAGGAAGGGGAGAATCCTTCCTTACCTCTTCCCAGTTTTTGATGGTTGCCAGCAATCCTTGACACTCCTTGGCTTGTAACTGCATCACTTCAGTCTCTGCCTTTGATATCACAAGGCTTTCTCCCATTGTGTCTGTGTCTTCCCATGGCTTTCCTCTTCTTATGAGAACACCAGTCATCTTGGATTAGAACCCTCCATAATGACCCATCTTAACTTGATTATAATTGCAAAGACCCTATTTCAAAAATGGTCACATTCACAAGTACCAGAGATTAGGACTTCAACATATCTTTTAGGAGGGACACAATTCAACCCATAACATTGAGGAAGTGAAAATAAACTCACATGATCCAATTCAAGAGTAATGAAAGACCTGTATAATTATGTTTTCAGATACGTAACCCAAACTACCAGTGCTATGGAAATTCATACAACTGTTCTAAAGGATAACATAGTTTGGGAAGAGTTTATGGACTTCATTGCACCTGCATAGAACTCACTGGGAAACACAGATTGGGGATGTTAAGGACTCAATGTTTGTATCCTCCCAAAAGTCATATGTTGAAGCCCTAACACCCCATGTGATGGTATTAGGAGGTGGGGCCTTTGGGAAGTAATTAGGTCATGATGATGAAATCTTCATGAATAGAATTAGTGCCCTTATAACAAGAGACATGAGAGCTTGCCTCCTCTCTCTCACACATACAATGTGAGGATACAATGACAGCATGGCCATATGCAAACCAGGAAGCAGGCTCCCTCCAGAGCTGAATCTTAATCTTAGACTTCCCAGCCTCCAGAACTATAAGAAATAAATGTTTGTAGTTTAAGCCACCCAGTCTATTGTAATTTGTTATAGCAGCCCAAGCTGATTGAGACAGGGAAGAAATGGAAATTTCAGGAAAGAGATAAAATTGAACTCTTCAGCATAATAAACATGATACTCCTTCAAATGGCTCCCACGTTCCTCTTTGGTCTCATGCCCAAGGAGACTTTTTCAGTGATACTAAACCGCATAGGAGTCTCCCAAACACCTTCTTCGTTTGTACCACCATGACTGTGCACATGTTGCTTATTCCAACTCGAATGTCTCTCCTCTTCTCATCACCAACACACCACAGCCACAGGTCAATTTCCTACTGTCCTTTAACAAACTCTACCCTGATATCACTAGCTCCAGGAATTGTGTGCCTTCCAAGACAATTAGTCACCAGCCACCCTGTGCCACCTCTACACCTTGTAGCTATTGAGTATTAACCTGTTGTACCTTAAGGAAAGAGACTGTGTTCCATTCATCTCCATATTCCCAACACAGAGCACAGAGCCTAGCACTTAGCAAGTGGTCATCAAAGATGAACTGAAATTTAGTTGAAATGAATTGAAGGAAATGAGGAGAGGAGCTAAGTTGGGCCTAGCAAAGGGACAGGATCCCAAGTTGGATTGATGGGTAAGCTGTTGTGAAGAGAAGTTAGCCATCATAGGGGAAGAGGCAAAACCACCATGGCGGGGGGTGGGTCACTGAGTGAGTAAAGGCCCCAACTTGTGAACTGCCCTGTCACGTATGAAAACACAAAAATGTCAATACAACAACAGCATTAGATTCAAGAGGGGGAAGACAGGAGATGTGGACAGTGGGCCCAGTGGCCAGGACCTCCTGGCACTGGGGACTATAGAAGGCTTTCAAGCAGGGAAATGTGTTCAGATTTTAACGCGAGAGACATGGCTCAGCAGCAGCGTGGAAGATGGCAAGGTGGGAGTCAAGGCCAAATCGAAGAGATCTACTAAGTAAACTCCAGAGACCAGCAGTGGGGAGGAGGTGAGGGACATAACCAGAGGATGGGGAGGTGGTAAAATCAACAGAGTTGCAGTGTTGGGAAAGAAAGACTTGAGCTTTTGCATTTGAATGATGGTTGACAGAATTGCTGTTCACTGAAATGGGAAATATAAGAAGAGCAGAAGGTATGGGGTCAGCCACAAGTTCAGGTTGGCCTTTGTGCACCTTGAATTCCCGTGGAATGCCTAGACTTTATAAACTAGGTCAACAACTAGGTTATGGTTTTTAGAGTTTGGACTTTTTTTAAGTAACAACTATAATTAGAGTTTTGTTTGAAATGAAGTTCTGGCTGTTCAGAAAGGTGCCACAAGTTTTCATGACGTCACAACTTAAAAACGTGCATAACTGTCATCAGGGTGAACAGGGCCGGTCTCATCACTATTCAGTTTCTTCACAAATCCAATTCTGAACTGGAAAGAAATGAAAACCACAAAGCTAACTGACAGTGACAGCCCACCTCTTAAGGAGCCCAATTTAAATATAGATATTTCATCTTTACTGTTGCACAAGATGAAAGGGAATCAGCAGCCCCTGGGTGCTTGATAGTCATTATTTTTCTTTTGGGGCACACTGAGCTATACAGCCACCCGTCCTAACGGCCAAGGATAAGCCATACCATAACAGAGGTAATCAAGACATAACTGTATCATGCTAAGGTGAGAAAGTTGGCTGTTAGGGTCTAATACATAAATAGGACATTGGTAATGACCATCTGTAGTTTTTTGGGCTTACATATTATTCTAATCAAGGCCATGCCAATTGCTATCTATTTTCTCCCTCTATAAAATAGGGTAATCATAGAACCTACCTCTAAGGATTGTTGTGAAGATTTAGAATGATAATGAAGGTGAAGTACTTAGAATAGTGTCTGGCTTAGTATAAGCGCTCAATCAATGGTAGATACTTATTCAGTAAAAATGATTCTGATGTTTTCCATCTGTTTATGTCAGAAATTCCCAAGCAGCAGAAACCCAAATTGAGCAGAAAATATCCAGCCTCTCCAGGTGTCACTGGTGCTATCCTACCAGAAGGACAATGAGGAAGAGATGAGGGAACAGGGGGCTTCCCCAGGCCTCACCACCAGGGGGGACTCCAGCAGGCAATTGTGGTGACCCTACTTGTAAGGACATCTTGCAGTTCTCCAAATTCCCCCATGCTCCTTCATCAGCCCATGTGATGTAGATCACTGTTTCTCTCTTTCTGGAAGACTCTTCACCCCTTCTCTCCCTTACCCTGTTAATACCTGCTTGGAACATCAATGTAACAGAGTAGTTAAGAGCTATAAAGTGATGTGCTTCTTACTAGGTATGTGACCTTGGCCAAACTAATCTCACCAAACCTTAATTCCTTGTCTTTGATATAAAGACAGTAAAGTACCTACCTCATAAAACTATTAAAAGAATTACATAAAATAAGAGAGATCAAGTTCCTAGCCCAGGGATGGTACATTGCATGCATTTCTCTTCAGTTCTGGTCTCTCCACCGCTACCAAACCCCTCCTGACAATCCTGGAAGGGCAAAGCACAACTGCTGTCTTCTCCTCTAGAACCGGCACACACCTTGCTTGTGGCACACAGAGCACCAGCCTCGAGCCCCCCACTTACAGTCCTGTCTCCTCTGTTAGAGACACTTGAAGCAGAATCCTCCAGATCCAGCAGGCTGCTCAGTACATGCTGGGCGGCCATCAAGTGTCTATTAAAGACATAGATGAATCTATCAGGAGGGTTGGAAGTATTCAAGATCAATTAATTAATATTATCCTATCCTGCCACAGATTTTCAAAAGGGATTGATCATAGTTGAGTCTGTCACAATTTTTAAAAATCAATTATGTAGGCCTGGTATGGTGGCTCACGCCTGTAATCCCAGCACTTCAGGAGGCCGAGGCAGGTGGATCACTTGGGGTTAGGAGTTCGAGACCAGCCTGGCCAATATAGTGAAACTCCATCTCCACTAAAAATACAAAAAAATTCGCCAGGTATGGTGGTGCACACCTGTAATTCCAGCCACTAGGGAGGCTGAGGTAGGAGAATGGCTTGAACCCGGAGGCAGAGGGTGCAGTGAGCCCAGATGGTGCCACTGCCCTCCAGCCTGAGCAACAGAGAGAGACACTGTCTCAAAAGAAAAAAAAAATGATTATGTCAATAGAGTGAATAAGAATGTTTATATTTGTGCACTCTTGTTCATAGCAGCATGGGTCGCAATAGCCAAAAGGTGGAAGCAACCCAAGCCCATTGACACACAAATGGACAAACAAAATGTGGTTTGTACATACAGTGGAATATTGTTTAGCCTTAGAAAGGAGGGACTTATGCTACAATATGGATGAAGCTTGAGGACATTATAATGAGTGAAATAAGTCAGACACAAAAAATACTGTACAATTTCACTTAGATGAGTTTCCTAGAGTAGTCACATGATAGAGACAGAAAGAAGAATGATGATTACCAGAGGCTGTGGGGGAGGGGGAAACAGGGAGGTGGTGTTGACTGGTTCAATGTGTAAAGAGTTTTCATTTGGGAAGACAAAAATGTTCTGGAGATGGAAGGTGGTGATGGCTGCACAACAGTGTGAATATATTTAGTGCCACATAACTATGCACTTTAAAATGGTTGGGTTCAGTGGCTCATGCCTGTAATCCCAACACTTTGAGAGGCCCAGGCAGGCAAATCACTTGAGGTCAGTTGTTTAAGACCAGCCTGGCCAACATGGTGAAACCCCGACTCTACTAAAAATACCAAAATTAGCTGGGCATGGTGGCAGGCTCCTATAATCCCAGCTACTCAGGAGGCTGAGGCAAGACAATCGCTTGAACCCGGAAGGCACAAGTTGCAGTGAGCCAAGATCACGCCACTGCACTCTAGCCTGGGTGATAGAGTGAGACTCAGTCTCAAAAACAAATCAAAAAACAAAAATACAATTGTTAAAATGGTAAATTTTATGTTATATATATATGTTACCACAATAAAACTAGAAAAAACATGAAAAAATGTTTATTTAGCTCCTGGTATTTACACAAAAGGACTTTCTTAGTGAGTATGTGGCTTGCCCATGTGGATGTGTATATATAACTTCTCAACATATCACATCACAAGAGAAATAGGGATGGCCTCAGAACGCAAGTTTTTAACTCTAGGTTTTATGTAAGGAACTGAAAAGTTCCTTAACAATCTAAAAGTTTAAGACCTTCTCCAGACAGTCATACCAAAAGATCTTTCCAGGTGTTCCCAGGTATGTAAAATATACAGCTTAAATATGAAACAAAGGTACAAATGCTTACATGGGATTTTTTAAGTGACTATCCAATTTGGTCTGAAACTGGTAAATTTCATGGTGTGTTTCCAGTTGGAAGCTGCCCCCAGTAGGTAGTACCAAAATCCACAAGCATTTTCATTCTTGCTTCACCTCATTGTGCAGAAATGGGACAATCACCGTCTCTAATAATGGCCATAATTTGCCATCAGGAGGAGAAAAGGCTGGGGTTTTGGGAAAGACCTTGGTTGTGGAATAAGAAAATAGTGAAAGAAACAAAAGAGAGTGGGAGTAAAGCCTCAAAGTGTGCCTACGTGCTAAAATGTATCTTTGGGAAAAAAATAATTGGGATTCCCAAAATTGGTAAAATAGTATGGAGCCAAGTTTCTAAATATGAAGAGTACTTTTTTCCTTGATGATGGTTATTTTGCTATGTCCACACACCACACATGCAATTAGAATTCATTTCAGTGTTTCTATCTGCACCTGGAAGGTCAGCTCCTGAAAGGAAGAGGCTTTTGCTGTCTGATTCACTGCCCAAGTCCAAGTACCTAACGCAGAGCCTGGCAAGAACATCTGCTCAATTACCGTGAGGAAGGAAGGAATGCTTAAACCTACTCCAGTATGTTTCAAAAATACAGCACTAATTCAGGATGTGCTTGTTCCTTTCACAATTTGATTCACATTGGAAAAGTTTCATCTGAAATAGTTCGTTCTAATGTCCTACAATCGTTATTTTGGGCAAAAACCTAAATCTAATAATACTCAATTATCAAGCATCAGTTACCAAAATGCATGCCACTTCCTGAATCTAATTTTGTTTCAATTCTATAAGGAGACCACTCAATCGAAGAAGAAAGTATTTTTATCTCCATGCTAATTTGGTAAATCATTTTTTCCCCGGAAGAGTCAGGCTCTGCTGGTGTGAGCCAAATATGTGGTGAGAATAAGCCACTAAGGAGTGAGTGAAGCCCCCAGACTTATTGCAGCAAAAGGCAGGCCAATGGTGCCTGGTCAAACCCACAGAGAGCAGGAGCTTCCATGCAAAATCGATATAGTTATGTAGTAAGTCAGTAGGTCAAGAAGTCAAAAACACGGGATGGGTCCCTTATCTGTTCTCCAGTAACAGGGCTCAAACGTAAAATGTGGTCTTGAATGAGTGTAGTTGTCTTGGTTCTCACTGGTCACCAGATCAGGGATCCCTCACAAAAGTCCCTTCTCTCCATGGTCATCACTTTTCAAAGACTATACTTGCAAATCCACCTTATTAAGTTTGAGTACCAAGGGAAACAGCTTCGACTAGTTAAGACCATGCCTCAGGAACCAAATTGTCTAGGTTCAATCCCAGCTCCTCCAGCTGTGTGATCTTAGGCAAGTTAATCAACAACTGTGTGCCTCAGTTTCTTCATCTGTAAAATTAGTGTAATAGGAACAATACCTACCTCATAGCATTGATGCGAAAGTGAAAGCCCTTTTTGTGTTCATTTATAATGAATTGATATATTACAACAGTGTCTGGCATATACTAAACATTATGATATATCTCAAAATACACTCTACTGTCATTTCACACATACATTTCATGTATCCTTTTATTGTATTTTATTTTTTTGAGACAGAATCTCACTCTGTCACCAGGCTAGAGTGCAGTGGCATGATCTCAGCTCACTGCAACCTCCATCTGCTGGGTTCAAGCGATTCTCCTGCCTCAGCCTCCCCAGTAGCTGGGACTACAGGCACACCACTATGCCCAGCTAATTTTTGTATTTTTAATAGAGACAGGGTTTCCCCATGTTGGCCAGGATGGTCTCGATCTCTTGACCTTGTGATCCACCTGCCTTGGCCTCCCAAAGTGCTAGGATGACAGGCGTGAGCCACCACGCCCGGCCTCATGTATCTTATTTCATGTACTTTTTTAAATTTGTGAAAGATTTACAGTATAGGCCTCAGGATTTCAAAGCCATGATATTCCTTCCTAACAAAGAATAAAATCAAGGGCATCCATGGCAGCACAATATATAAGATAAGCAAATTTTAAAACTAAAATAATCTGTTAAACATAGATCCTTCCTTCCACATAACCCTTGCAAGGGGGGATGACTATTTCACTGGGTACCAGTGTTAATCTGGCAATGCTGATAATGATCAGCTACATTTTTTTCAACTCAGACCAGGGGACAATTGTCACAAACCTATGTTGAGAAGTCTCCCCAAGAGGTTTTCAAGGTGAGAATATTGTCATGCCCCTGCATCTCTCATCTCATGAGCACCCCCAAGGGATTGGGGTGCTTGGATTATTGCATAGCGATTTATCAGATCAACTTGACCTTAACACACAGCATCATCACTTGGGTAAAAGCCAAGGACTTTTTTTTTTTTTTTTTTTTTTGAGACAGAGTCTCACCCTGTCACCCAGGCTGGAGTGCAGTGGCTCAATCTCAGCTCACTGCAATCTCCGCCTCCCGGATTCAATCAATTATCTGCCTTAGCCCCCTGAGTAGCTGGTACTACAGGCACCCACCACCAAGCCTACCTAATTTTTGTATTTTTAGTAGAGACAGGGTTTCACCATGTTGGCCAGGCTGGTATTGAACTCCTGACCTCATGATCCATCCACCTGGACCTCCCAAAGTGCTGGGATTATAGGCATGAGCCACTACGCCCGGCCAAGCCAAGGACTTTATAACAACCTCTCATTCTTCTGTTTATGCGTTTAGGGTCCTGACGAGCCATCTTACAAATTGATTCTGACTTCCAGTGATGATGATTGACTTGCCTTTCATACTGACCAAGCCCCACATTCATTTCAATGCTTGTATGAGGGCTCAACGTTCCAGGCTTTCTCGCTTGCTTTCTTTATGTGTCTGACCACCTTTCCATCTGTCTATCTTCTTTGAGATATTTCTGCCAAGAATGAGAGAGATATCAAGGGATGTTGTCATTTTATTAAATTTGTTACCCAGCAGAAATGCCTCTGATTGATGTAGTATTAAAACTCTGGTCAGCATTTCTCTTACTGTCTAATAACCAGTCACGCCTTTAGGTGTAGGATGTAGAATGCTAATGCAGAATTCCAATTCTTTTTGTTCAACTGAAAACTGCCTGATGATTTGCAATCATCCCAGTCACCCAGGCTAAACACCTGGACATCTGCATCTGTGCCCTAGCCTCACCCCAATGTCTAGGCTCCAAAGTTCTGAGTGTCCTCTTTCACCCTGTCTCCATCTGCTTTCTCTTTCCTTGGCTTCCACAGCCCCTTCACAAAGACATGTGCCCTATCTCCCAGTTGGCCGATGGGCTTTCAATCTCTGCCTACTCATTCTTTTCACTGATTCCTCAGGCTCTACCTGAAGCATGGTCACTTAGGTTTCTCTGCTGCTCAGAGTCCTTCTGTGATGCCCACCTGCCCATGGGAAAGAAGTCTCCAAACCCTAGCCATAGACTTAGTTATAGGACTTCTACTGTGTCGGAACAGCATGGGGTCACAGCATGGCCTTTGCTATTTTCAGTCCTGAATCTAGGTCCTGGCTCTGCCACTTGCTGGCTGGGTGTTCTTGGGTATTACTGACCCTCCATAAATCTGCTATTTTATGTATAAAATTAGAGCAATCATGATGCCTTTCCCAAAAGGATTTTGTGAGCATTAAGTTAGATAACACATAGAAAGACCTGGCAGCTCAGAAAATGCCGCCGCGACCCAGGGCTGGCCTCCCTTCCTGGCCTTCTGTTCTGCCTGGGCCCTCTCTTCCCATGCTGATATGTCCCGCAGCTGCATCCAACATGTGCCATTCCGTGACATCCCCTGTACTTTCCCTCTTCCTTGACTTTGCTTATGTCATGTGAGCTAGCTCAAATTCCTTTCCCATTTTTGCCTGTCTAAACCCTGCACTCTTTCCAGACTCAATCTAGTCATCATCTCCTCCTCCGAGCCTCCCTCCTCAGCCCTTTCAGATGGAACTCATTTCTCCCCCTTCCTGTGCTCCCATAACACTTGCCTTATACCTCTGTGATCTCATTCATTGCATTCTACATCGAACTCTCAGTATTTGGTAATCACACTGCCACTTCCACTAGACTGTGCATTTATTAACAGTGAGGGACCATGCCTTCATCAAATGTTACCCCTCAAATTCTCCAGGACAGGACTTTGCCCACGGGAAGGGCCCATATTATGTTCGTTGAACATGGGGTTCATGTTTGTTGCTTTCTTCCAGAACTCTTTAGAGTATATTAATGATCAGGTAACAGAAATTATCCCTTTCTCCCACCCGTGAAACACAAACTTATAGCAGCTGTAATGCAGCCCTGCATTTAACAGGGGATCGTGTGTCTGACATGCAATACCAATGAGCCACTGGCGTTGCCTTTCACTTGTTGTGTCAGAAAATCAATCAGTGACTTCAGCAAAATCTTGAGGCTTTCTGCCATCACTAGAATCATGGTAAATAATTCATGACTCTTCCCCCTCTCCCCTTCCCCACACACACAAAAAACTCTTCTATTCTTAACCCAAATAACTTTCAGAATATGGATTACTGAATCTGCTTGGATCTCATTACTGTACTTTCAAAGAGTTAAGAAGACAACCTATATCTCTGGGTAAAAGCTTTTCACTTCCAAAAACGAGGAATGTGAAGAGGCTGTTGATATTCAGCACTTCAGACCCCAGAGAATACTTTTTTCATATTTGTATAATGTTAACTTTTGTTCTCTATCTCAGCAAAATAACACTGACCTAGGAAAAATGGAATTTGCAAGCCTTAAAGTTTGAAGATAATTATAAAATGAGTCACCCAAACATCATTGATCTCTTGCACTTATTCCTCTGGTCTGACAACACCTTCCACTTTGCCAAGAAACAACAAATATGTTAAAATACATGATCAAAGTAGTCATGTGATTGTTAATAATATTTTACATTTGCATAGAATGCTTCTTCACATGCTTTTAAAATGCTTTTCCCCTTTGAGGCTCATAAAACAACCATTCTCTGCAATTAAAGCAGATTCCATGAACATGAGTCTTTTTGCCTATTTGTGTTTAGGCTGGACAAGGAAGAATGAATGGTCATGTAAACAGTTACCAGAGGAATGTCAAGTATTGTCCTCAGCTCAGCAGGACCAGATCAGTGATGAGCTTGACTTTACCTGTGAAGTGCTTCCTATACACACCTCTTCTTCCTCATAAAGGGTGCACTCCCTTGTCTCCACATAGTCATTAATTCTTCCCTTCAATTTTCCTCCTGTAAGTTTTGGTCAGAATTTAAGATGTTTCCAAAATATTGAAAAATCAAATAGCATAATATGTTAAGGTTTTTAAACACTTTTTCTACATCTTTCTTCTGGTACTTTGCAATTAAAAAAAAAGTTCAAGTCCTATTAACTGGGCAACTGCTAGGGTAAACAAAGTCTAAAAGCGGTCTCGTTGAATATCTCATTTAGTCCTCATAACGGTGCTGTAAAGGAGGAATCGTTATCCTCATTCTATAATTCAGGAAACTGAGCACGAATGACCAGGCCAAGGTAAGGAACACAGCTGAGAAGCAAGGCCTCAGCTCACTGTGCATCAGGTTTAAGTGGGCTCGTTCTGCCATCATCACATGTCCTGGCTTTACACTCAGATTGAAGGACATGCAATGAATGGCAGCCCTCTTGAGTTCCAAATCAATTAGGACACAGGCAAAAAGAAGTGGGACACATGCAGATCCAAATGCCAGCTCAAGGCCAAGTTGCAGAATGGGGCTGTGAAGTGCAGCCACACAGGCTTCCCAATGCTGAATTCTCTCACCTGTCTCAGGCGCAGTTGAACCAGTGTAAAACATGCCACATGAAGACACTGACCAGAATGTGTGCTTCCTGCAGGCACTAGCTCCAAGTGGAGGGAGGGAGGAGGGAACTGAGTTCCCTGAGTTGCCACTTCCTTCTCCCATACGCCCAACTGACCATATGAAGGGGAGAAAGGCCAGAGTGATAGCTCCCAGAAGTGGGGAAGAAATGCTGCCCCCCGTGAAATGACCCTGTCAAGAGATTCATATTGTGGGTACAGTAGGTGTTGAAATATACATGGTGACTTCCTGGCAGTTACAATATCATCCTCATCACAGAATTGCCACACAAATCCCTACAGAAGCCAAAATGTCAGGAGGTCCTTGTTCCTAATGCTCCACTGACTCAGTGCATGACCCAGGGCAAGCCACTTAACTAATCTTGGTCTTAACGTCCCCATTAATAGTGTCTGCATTGTTGATGGGAATCCTCCCTGTGTATAATTCTTCTATCATGGAATGTCAATGAATGGATCTTGCAAACTCAGCTACAGACAAACTCAGCTCCTGCCAGGAGACAGCCGCTCTCAGAACAAAGCTCATATTTGCCTCCTTCCAAGAGTCCTTAGCAAACCACGTTTTGATGGAATGGCTCCTGCTTCACACTGACTGAGAGAGAATTCCCTCGGCATAGCCTGAGTGACTTTAATCCAGAGTGTTGGCCATATTGAGTAACAGTAGGTTATTTTATGCCTCCTGAATGTTCGAAGTCTGAGCAGCTACACACACTGGAACCCATATTTTACCCCATTGACAGCCTGGAAAGGACATATGGTTTAGATTTTTAGACAACACGCCATGTAAAAAGCCTTTCCTTTTATAGAGGCATATTTTTAGAGTCTCCTAAGCTAAACTCTGGGTGGAATTTAATCCATACAGCCCTCGGTTCAATCAAGAGCCAAAACACAACTTCGTGTCAGTGTAATACATTGTTAACTGATACGTCAGAAAATCAATTAATTACTTTTAAGAAGCAATTAAAAGTAGCCCTACGATGCTGCCATGTGAATTATTAAAGAATACAATGTAAAGGGTCCCCATGCCCACCCCAGATTGAAACCTTGTGGCATAGGGTGGTGCAAAGTATGCATTCTGCCCTGTCTCAACTGAAATTAGTGTGAGTTTGAAGGGGCAAAAAAGTAAAGAGAAGGTGACGAGGCTTAAGA
Organism: Homo sapiens; assembly: GCF_000001405.40. Lineage (NCBI taxonomy): Eukaryota > Metazoa > Chordata > Mammalia > Primates > Hominidae > Homo > Homo sapiens. The sequence continues at coordinate 34,913,526 of NC_000021.9, read as the reverse complement.
CGTGTGGTGTCCAGCTGACGCAGAAGGCTGCAGATGCCACCAACCACTGTTCCCAAAGCTGACACTCCTGGCCTGGGGTTTCCATTCTGTCTCTACACCATCTCTGCAGGAGATCCACTTCCATCTGCACCTCTCCATTCTTTTGTGGGTGAACAGCCCCGCATCAGAACCCAACAGGTTTCTTCCTTTCCTGAGCCCAGTTCATCCCAGAGAAAAGTCTACGCAAAGCCACTGCTCCCTCCTTCTCCTGCCATTATTTCTCTTCTCCTTCTCCTTCTCCTTCTTCTTCTTTTTGAGATGGAGTATCCCTCTGCTGCCCAGGCTAAAGTGGAGTAGCACGATCTTGGCTTACTGCAACCTCCATCTCCCGGGTTCAAGCAATTCTTCCTGCTTCACCCTCCCAAGTAGCTGGGATTACAGGTGCCCACCACCACCCCCAGCTAATTTTTTGTATTTTTAGTAGAGTCAGGGTTTCACTATGTTGACCAGGCTGGTTTTAAACTCCTGACCTCAAGTGATCCACCTGCCTCAGCCTCCCAAAGTGCTGGGATTACAGGCGTGAGCCATCACGCCTGGCCTCTCCTGCCATTTCTATGCCTGCTTCTAGATTAAACTAGACCAGGTGAAGGCCCCCCAGCCCCACCCCAAGTGAAAGGCCAGGGGCTTCTCCCCACACCCTAGTTTGCATCGGTTTGGAATGTTGAGCTCAGATCCAATCACTACTCATCTGTTCATATCCTATCTGTCATCACACATGTCCTGTATATCTGGAAACAATTACGTGACTGATCCGGAGTTTCAGGTATGCATCAGATGTGTGCTTTCCAAATGCCTGCATCTCAAAGACTAGGAAGGCAATGGGAACAGTCTTCTGAGGGTGTAAAAAGAGGGACCCAGGCTGGGGCAATGGGACTGAGGGGACTATATAGATGAGTCTTCCTTGCTGTGTTTCTGTAGTTTTGACTTGGCCAGAAATGTTTTCCATCGGAATGAGAAAAACCATATATTTGCATAACCAAAACATCGGTGCAATATGTTAAGCAGAGGCCTCCTCGACCTACTGGCCAGTTGTGGTTGCCACTATGCCAGAAACTCAGAAGTGGTTGCTTAGGTTGTTGACCGCAGCAACCTCTAAAGCCCTCAGGGCACCCAAGAGTATCGCAAAACAGAGAGGACGGGTGATGGAGATTTCCCAGGCTTCTAGCCTTACTGCCACCCAGTGATAGAAGAGTAAGTAGCAAAGGAAAATATTTTTTCACCACTCAATGCCTGGCAGTCATCATCTCCTTGCTCTGAGATCTAGGATGCCTCAGGGTACGTAGGCTGGAGGAGGTGGCAGCTACAGTTCATTGTCATCGATTGATTCATTCATTCTTAAGAAGTGTCTGTTGACTATCTACTCAGTTCCAAGCACTTTTCTTGATGCTGGGCAGTGAACAGGACAAAACTTATCCTTCACTCCATCCACTCCCTCTGTCACTTGGAGGATGGACAACAAATACATAAACACAGAAATCAAATAAGACAAATGCAATGGTGAAAAGAAACCCGTGCATGTGACATGATAGTTGTGATGGTTCAGGGGTAGGGAGCGGGGTTACTTTACCCATTACTTTAGTAGATGACGGTTGAGCAGCCATGGGGAAAACTGGGGGAGTTTAGAGACAGGAAAGTGGTCCAGGCAGAAGGAAAGCCCCTGAAAAGGTCCTGAGGCAGAAAAAGCTTGGCGCGTCTGTGAGACAGACAGAGGCTATGGCAGAGCAAGCCGAGGGAGACAGGTGCTCCCAGGTCTAGGTGATGGGCTGGGCTGGTTTCCTCCAGGGCCTGGAATTCTGAGTGCCCTGGAAAGCCGTCAAGGAGTTTGGGTGGAGGAGAGACACAATCTAATGTGTATCACTCTCTGGCTGCTTTACTGGAGTGGGGCAAGGGCAGAGCTGGAAGGATGGCCAGGGGTTCACTGCAGTGTGGGGAGGAGACATTCGCTGCCCAGGAGGGTTGGCTGCAGAGGCTGTTCCTCTTTTCTCCCAGCCACAAACTCCAACCCTGAGCAGACTGCAGAGGGTTCCTCTATCTGAGTATGGGTTCAAATGCAGCTGTCAGGCACCTTGGTGGATCTCCCATTCCTCTGTCCTCATGTATGTAAGATCTCCCTCCCAGGGTTGCTATCTATGAGATGTCTGGTAATAGACGCAGGTGGCAGCTGTTGTTAATATCACCTTTGTTCCTTACCTGATCCCAATAAATGTATTGTCGACATTGATTTTCATCAACCTTTATTCAGCAAATATTTGTTAAGCACCTACTCTTCTTCTCCTGGGTCCTGTACCACCACTAGAAGCAGCTGTATGATGCATATCAGGAAGAGACCCCTTCCCACCTAATGGGATAGCTCGTCCTGCCCCCAGTGAACTCCAAAAAATGCTTTCTGTGCCCTCTTTGCAGGCCTTTTACTGAAATATTATGCGATATTTAAATAAAACATCAGTATGAGCTAATTGGAAGGCTGAGGCAGGAGGATCACCTTGAAGCCAGAAGTTCACAGCCAGCTGGGGCAAATAAGGAGACCTCATGTCTAAAAATGTTTAAAAATTAGTGGGGTGTGGTGGCGTGTGTCTGTAGTCCTAGCTACTTGGGAGGTTGAGGTGGGAGGAGCCCTTGAACCCAGGAGCTGGAGCCTGCGGTGAGCCACTGCACTCCAGCCTGGGCAACAGAGTGAGACCTTGTTTCAAAAAAAAAAAGAACAACAATAACATAACGACAAAAAATACAAAACACCAGCATTTGCATTCAGAGTCCTGACTGGAAGCATGTGATTCAGGAGCAAGCCCGCCCTGGACATGGTCCTGGCCTGGATGAGGACTGAGGCTGGCATCCACTCACAGGGCAGCACCTGGACCCTGTCCAGCATCTGAAGAGGGCTTCATCTGGCACAGAACAATTGCAGGGTTTCACTGGGGAAGAGCGAGGCTTTCTGTCTCACCCTCATGTCCAGGGCTGGTGACAGAGAGGACAAAGGGCAACCGACAGTGGCTTTTGCCTCTGCATTTAGCTTTCATTATACAGTTCTTGACTTCAGAAAGACAGTTCATTTGTTTCTTAGTTCCCAGAAGCCAAAATGAATTCTGTACCAGAAAAAAAAAAAACAGTTCTGAAAATTATCTTCATTGCTGGAGTTTCTATCAGGAAATTACCAAAAGGAGAAAAATAGGACCTGGGAGAGTCCTGAGTGCTCCAGCCAGTGAGGAGAAGGTGGAGAAAGCAAGAGAAGTTGGAGCCCTTTGCTGGCTTGCCAGAGACTGGGAGCCACATGGATGTGGTTTCCCTGCAACAGAAGGCTAAGGGTGAGCTGCAAAGTCTGAGAACCCACTGGGAAGACAGCACTGAACTAGGAATATGGCGAGTGTTCCAGCTGGTTTGTAGAAGCTGACTTCAGAGCCAATTTATGCAAATCTTGATTTGTTTAAAACTACATTAATCACTGGCTTCTTTCAGTGGCCAAGCTGGCCTGTAGAAGTTCCTCACACTGCAAAACACTGGGGGCAGCCCAGGCACAGCTTGGTAGATAATAGTTGAAGAAGAAGGAGGAGGAGGAAGAGGCGGAAGGAAGCAAGGAGGGAGGAGGTAAAGAAGAAGAAAGGAAAGAGGAACTGGAGGAGCAGGAGGAGGAGGAGGAGACAATGGAGATCATGGTGTGAGCAGAGGAAATTTGATGAAAGGACCCAGAACCCTAAAGATTAAGTTTTAGTCTTGCTAAAATGTATCAGCTTGGCTATACTTTGCAACAATGAAACAAGCTCATCTCTCATGGAGGATGGCCCTCTGTAGCCAGAGACCCGGGGGACTTGCCTAAGGCAGTCTTCCAGACTCAGCTGAAGAGGTCACTCTGGAGAAGTGCAGGTTATCAAATAGAACACCATCTTTTTTTTTTTTTTTTTTTTGAGGAACAGTGACCTGGTCTGTATAAGAAAGTGATACTCTGTGTTTGTAGCCACATGTGAGCTGCACTGAGAAATTGCCTCTGTGCCCAGAGAAGGAAGGAGTACCACCTTCTTCATCTATCCCATCCTATATTTTCACTGTTGCAGAGGAGGGTTTGATGTGAGACATGCAAAAAATGACAAGGGAGGAACAAAGTAATAAACCTATCTGATGTGCTCCAAGTGGATTCTCTCTGTTTTCCACATTTAAAAGATATAAGTGATATGAGCAAGCATTTTAATTCCTCAAGCAAGGTTTGATACTCAGTTCCAGAGATCACCATATCAAAGGCAAGCGAAGCAAGAATCTTAGGGTCGGGTGTACTGTCAGGAGCATGGGGACTGCACACGGGAGTGAACACAGAGTGGTCCTGGTGTACTGTCAGGAGCATGGGGAGCCACACGGATCAGACCCCGAAATTAGCCCTACCTGCAATGCGGCCTTTAGTACAATCCTAGACAAGTTGAACTTTAAGATTCAGGTTTAATTTGTGCAAAACTAAAAGGCATAAATTATTGGTATAGGATAATCTATTGCATTATCTTCTAAAGGTAATGAGATTGTACATCTTACCCCTAGCACACACATACACACACACAGACACACACACACAGACACACCAGCCCCAAGAAAATATAGAAGAAAGGTCAATGGCTCTGTTCCTCTTTCTTTAGAATTATAAGATAAGCCTGTTACATATCCTGAATCATTGGTCCCATTCTATGTATATGCAAAAGAAGTTCAAAGGCTGACTTTGACAAAGGGTGTTTGGAGAAGGATGATAAAATGTGTCTGATAAAACAAACACAAAAGACTTTTGCAATAAAGACCTACAAATTGGGAAAGCAGGACTTGGGCAGCAGGGTGTGAAACTGTGTTATCTACAGCTTCAGCACAAAAAGATAGTGGCTTGCAGCAGAAGTCTTTATCTGGCCTTCACAAGAATGGAGATTGCACCTCCCCCGACCCCCCTGTCCACAAAACCCAGGAAACACCTTGCAGAGTTGATGCAATATTTGCTATCCCAGCCCTTGGTGACAGTTAAAATAGTGTTACAACATAAAATTGAGCAACGACCTTGCTGTATCATCCAAGACTATGTTTTATACTACTTTTTTTCCCCGAGGACATTTTGCACATTTTTTAGTTCCTCCCTTACTTTCAGTTCAGATCATTAATGGGAAGAAACATTGTCTCTTCTTCCTTTCCAATACAATTTAAAAATACCTTCCTGATTGACACTTCAGGAAGAAGATTAATAATAGTTACCCTTTTGCATCTCATTGCATTATTTCTTGAGAATTTCAAAGAATTCTCTGTATCTCTTCTTGGAGATGTATCATTACTCTGTTCGAATGACTTTTTTGGGGCTGGAGTTTAATTTATGTGATTGCAATCAGGAAACCACTTTGAAAGGGAAGAAATCCATTTAGCTTTGCATGAGTTGTAAATTTTCTGTAAATACAATTTCATAAGACCCTCCCTTTTTTAAAGAAGTAGCAAAACGGCTCTTGGAGGAGTGGCAGAGCATGGGGGTGGACCACAAATTCACAGGTCAGGGGGTCCCAGATCAGCCACTGTTTCGGGAGCTTAGAAGAGCCACTCACTTTTCAGAGCCTCCTTTTCCCTCTATAAACTAAATGGATTGGACAAAATGTTTGCTAAGAATCTTTTCACCTCTAAACAAAATGACCCAATGTTTGCTAAGAATCTTTTCGCCTCTGAACGAAATGACCCAATGCTATTCCACAGAAGGATGGCCTTCAAAACAGCTTCACTCTGTTTTATTTCATAATAATCCTTCACCTCTCATGACTGTTTAGCTTGACAAGGCACTTCGGCAGTTATGATTTAATTGGTTTTCTTGATAACTTTTACATGGCATGATTTTAGACTTGGCAAAGGTGGAAGCGGAGGCACAGAAAGGAGAACTTCAGAGAGTCACAGGGAGCCAAACACCAAGTCAAGTAACAAATTGAGTACTAAGAAAATAAGACATTTTAGGCTAGAGGCTTGCAAACTTTTTGAATAGCAAGAAACAGTAAGAAGTAAATAGTATGCCAGGGCTCAGGGGAGATACATCAATCAAAAAAAGAGCTTCAGGAAGCAGTATTCACCCTTACTACTGATGAAGCACTCTATTTTCCAGTTATTCTGTTCTATTTCTTCTTCTTACCTTGCTTTTGTTATTATTATTATTAACAACCAATCTATGGGTCACAACCTATTGTTTAGAAGTCACTGTTTAGAAACTTTTCACATGGCAGCATACTTCTTTTTGCTAAATTAGAAGTCTATATCTCCTTCTCTGTGCCCCTTACCTGTGGGCAGATGCTAAGTGGGATTCTCCTGTTTAGGTTTTCTTGCTGTCAAGAGCCCCCAAAGACTGTACACCAGGAAAGTGCTGTCCTTAGAGTCAAGGTTTTCACTGAAGGGGGCACATGACCCTCCTGGCTGACTTTGAATACACGATCAAGTCCTCATGAATAATGAATACTAATGACAATATCAAAACACCTATTTGCATTGTACACTCACTAAAGTCAGAGGGAGAATTGGGGCTGCTCCCACAAAAGGGCACGTGACTCTCTAAATAAAGAGCTTTAATGCATTTTATATTTAAACCATAAGGCCATGGGCTCAAACCCAAACTGAGATGGGCTCTGCTTCTTAAGTACTATTCTGGAAAGGCATTGAAATATTTATCCATCTATCTGGGTTCTGTGTTTCTAAAGCAGTTCCTTTCCTTGTACTGCAATCCAGAGTGGGCCTGTTTGCAAATCCCCTTTAACTGGAGAGTGGCTGCCCTTCAGAAGCAAAAGGAGTCCTTTGGGAAAGTCATTGTCTATGAAACTTATTCAATGAGAACTATGAAGAACAGCCTTTTTTTATTTAAATGCATGTAATTCAAAGATTGTCTACTCTGTGCACTGACTGGGTCAAATTCTTACTTTCACTGCTCCATCTCTATGTGGCCTTGGGCAAGTTGTCTAACTTCTTTAAGCCTTAGGGGATAATTGTTCCTAAATTAATAGTATTACCAAAAGGATTAAATGACATAATGCACAGAAAGCCCTTGCCACAATGTCTGAAGCTCAGAATAGCTCAGTAAATGTTAAGGACCTCTACTATTTGTCCACTAAAATTTGCTCAGTTGTTATAACCCTATTAGCACAAATAAGGCTTTTGCTTTTGAGGAATGAATTCCACAGCTTTCTCTGTCCTCACGGACTAGCAACACTTAATGGATTCCTAGTGACGAACCAACCCAGTTTCTTAAACCCCCAAACCTGTCAAAACCCAGCATAACCCAAATCTAATGCATTCGTAGGCTGCTGTTCTGCTACCCAGTCTCTTCCTGGTATGATAAACTGTTTTCTTGACCAACAAAGCCAATAGTATGTACACTTATATATTAGTTTAAAAAATAGAAAAGTACCACATTTACTTTCGAAAATCCAAAACTTTGTCTCAAAGGGGAATTCAGGTTATTTTCAGAAATACTGAAGCTCCTTCCCTTTTGTTCATAGCAAAATAAACAGACCACCAGGAGAGAGGATTCTTGTTTTATAGGTTGCTATAGAGGAGTTATGTGAGGTATACATACTCAGGGCTTCAACATTTAAAATTTTTAAAGATCAGTAAAGAGAGGATGCTTTTTTTCTAGAGAAGTTTTTATTTTTAGGTTCTGTAGGGGGAAAAGCTACGTGATAAGTTTCAGATGATCCAGCATTTTCTAGATATTTATCCCACACTTAATTTTTTTAGATCCAGATATTTCAAGCTTAGTAAAAACCAAGGAAGTATTAACTTTTGTTGTATCCATTCTCTGTAACTGAAGAACCAATGTGCTTTTATGCTTCCATATAACTTCCTACTTTGTATCCAAATTTCCTAATTTTACTCATAAGCATTCTAGAACACTTTAAAGATGACAAGTTAACAGAATAACATTCTGGCTAAAGAAGTTTTTCTCTTGCTCTTTACCTTAAGGCAGTGTCATATCTTCACTAAAGGAATGTCTTTTGGGGAGAGTGGGATTAATTAAATCTGTGTTTACCATGATCAGAAAAGAGCATCATACACAACGGTGAAAATAAAGCTTACACATAATAACGTTATTTCCTTCTCATTCCCAGTAACGGAGGGGTTAACCTGAAGTCTTAATCCATTTCCACTCTAATTGGGAAAGGTGGGGGATGGGGAAATCATTTAGGTAGCAAAATGAAAATTGCTAGCCTGGATATGCCTGAGGCAAAAAGAAAAGAATGAATTCTCTTGTGAGCGAGATTAGTGAGGGGGAAGAAATATCTACATCTTGCACTTCATTTCATGTTGTCGTTCAATTTGCCGGTGTTAAATAATGACCTCCAGAGCAGTGGGTGAATTGGGAGAAGGGGGCGTGCGGGTCTCCTAGAGTGAGTTCACTGTGCACGGTGTCTGGGCACTATGTGTCTATCATTCAGCTCAATCAGGACCTGACTCAATTTGACAGCGCAGCTCCCAGGTGTAGAGGTTTGCAGACTAAAAGTGGAGCCCCCACTGGCATATTTGGTAAAGTTTTCTTCTTTCCTCCTTAGAAGTCTACTTCATTATTTGGTGTTTTTGGTTAAAGAGAAGGCTAAACAAAATGATTTCTATTTTAGAAACTTTACTATTTCTGCATTAAGGAAAAAGACTTGATCTAGAATATTCTTCTCTAAAACGTGAGGTTCTTCCTAAACCGAGAAGTTGACAATTACAGAACCTCCTAAAACAGAATACTTCTGAAACAATCTTAAAGTCCACATTTATGTAAATATTTGCTGCAGGCCCCCCTTGAGAACTTACCTAGAAGTGCTGTATCAACCAATAATACATTTTAAATTCTCCTCAAAATGGGTATCTTCACATGCATTTGAATTGTTAAGATAACTAGGAAAGAAAAAAATGGGAGTGTGCTATGTAGTTACTTAAGATTAGTGCACTAATTGGTCAGTGGTTCAACTAGAAATGACCTATAATTTATTTTTGGGCTCATTTGTGGTAATATTTTGGTGATCATCTGTTTCTTTGCTCTGGCTGTTTTCAAAACAACCTACTCTGCAAAAATATGTGATAACATTTTTCAAGTGTTGTTTGTATGTTTCTAATAATTTTTGGATGATCTCTGAATATAGATTTCATTGCACGTATAAATATAAATTAAAAATTAGCTATCAAGTCATATCTATTTTCAGATGTTTTAGTTTAATTTTATTAAAAAAATCTTTCCACTCTTTCTCTCTACCTTTCAAAAAGATAACTCTACAGAAATATCACCATTTTTTAATTCAAAAATTCTAGCAAAATTTGCCTTACCTTTTAGAATATAGTTTTAAATGGTAGTATTTTTCTAAGCAAGTCCAAAACAATCATATAAAAAAGTTTAAATCTCACTTAACTATTGTTTGAGAGGTAGACAATGATGTTTTATGAGAAGTCTCCGCAAAAAATGTTTACTATTCCATTTCAATGTATTACCCATAAAAAGGTATCATTTATTGAATATCAATTGTATAATAGTAATAATGTAACCTGAAAATATGTAACCATTACAATACAGATCTTAGCAGTTTCATGAAATTTAGAAAATATAATTACGTAATTAGAGAATAGGATTATTACTTCTATTGTTGCTTTTTCCAGCTATTTTTTATTTCAGACTACAACATGAAATTTTAAAGTTTTTGTAAACTATGGCAATTTCATGACCCCACAAGAAAGCAGGATATTGATAGTCTTAGCCAACTGTTTCTTATAACAGTCTGTTTTCCAAATTTGAAGATAACAGGATTAATATGAAAGTATTTGCCATCTTATCCGAGTGCCTATAGAATACTCTAAGGCTGATATTTGGCAATTTATTATTTAATTGACAAATGTAGATATCTCAGCACTTCCTTCACAGATCAAGACCTTGTAAGCAAGACTGAGATCAAGGTCTTACTCTGGATTCTTGAGTAGACTTTCTATGTCCCAAAACAAATAGGTGATTCGGCACCCAAAATTTAGCTAAAGCTTCTATATTCCCTTTCTAAGGAATTCTGCTATGTTTGTGGGAAATTTCTCTATAGTCTATATGGGATCATAAATAGGAAAAATTTTATTTTAGTAAAAAAGTCACAAATTTGAGGTAGTAACAGTTGTAATAATAATAATGAAGCTTATCTGTTTATTGAATAGGAATTAAACTATATTGTACATCCATATTATTTTTAAACTATTATTTTGTAATATACATAGTGAAACTTCACTAATTTGGTGGGCATGGAGTAAACAGAATTAATCAAAGAGCTGAATTGTAATATTTTTAGTGATTATAATAATAAATTATTTTGGATAACACTGAGTAACTGTGGGTCTATTCTCAATCACCATGTAAATTATAGAATACGATAGCAACATGTCTGTGATTTTCTAGAAGATGCAGAATCTCAGAGTTATTTTTATGTGTATACTTGTTTTAAATCATATCTTCTTGAATCTGCTTTTTAAAACAGGCAATACTTATGTGAAATTAGAGAAAACCTATGTGAAATGGGAAAGTCCTTAAAATGTCCTATCTCTAGTTGATTCTGGGTCCTCTTTTTCCTTCCTGGCCCCTTCCCACTCGAAACCCAAGTTCACTCTAGCCATATGCTGACATGGGTAAGCACCAGACCCGGGCCGATTTCCCACAATTCCAAGTGGCATTTGCATAAATGTTCCTGGAGCTGGAAAACCCACCTTGTCCAAGCCTCTTGTTTTGTGGATGAGGAGGCTGAGGCTGGGGCAAGGTAAGTAACTAACTTGCTCACATGGCTAGTAACAAACTTCCTACAGGTTCCTCTACCTTATGAGATAGTGAGTACTCCTGCACTCAAATATATTGGGGTTCATGTTAATTGCATGAATTAATCCAGTCATCAATAACTCTAAATCTTAAATTTTGAATTTGGAATCTGAGTGAATGATTACCTAGCTATCATTTGAAGATAATATATTTGTGTGTGTGAATCTCATGTATACCTTTATATAGAATATATATGTATTTATGTCTTTATAATATATATTGATGTCTTTACTCCAAGTATCCAAGAATTAGTTGTCCATGTAGAAATTTGCTGTTTCAGCCAGCTTTGGGGTATTTCCTTTGCCTGTCCTGTACCCACCATTGTCCACATTTAAGGTCTAACATAGACCTACCTACTGCTCTACCAGCTCACCAAGGGTCGTCTTATCAAGCTGGTCTGCAGTTAATCCCCTACCCTCCTCCCTTCAAGAACCAATTAAAATCACTCTGTTATTTTTGAACACAAAAGTTGCTTAAGGAAAAAATACTTTCTATCTCATAATTCTCCTAGTGAAAGAGTAAATTATAAACACAAAGAATCCAAATAAATGATTCTGTTTGGGAAGGAGCATTTGCTGTGGGATAGCATGTGGGACATGAGGAACAGGACCCCTGCTTTCAATTCATACATTCATTCATTTCTTTTTTACTCAACTTAGAAAAATCATGTCACATTTCCTATTCATTGTGGTGGAAATAGCTTTAAATATATTAACTAAAATGCCTCAAATAAAGCAGATTACAAAAGAAAGCAGACTCCAGAAGTATTAGCAACTTTATAGACTCTGCATCTATCATCCACCAGAAAATCTTACTAGTGTGACATTCGCCAATTAGGGAACTGAAAGCCATGGACAAGTCCCTAAACTCCCCTCCCTGGAGCGCAATTTTCAGATGCTCCACTTGGATACTTTCTCACAATGCTTAGCTGAAGGATATCACTCGAAGAGAAGACTGGTTTCATGTGGAGAGTGACTTCTCAGTCTATCTCTTAAAACATAACCTCTGTCTGTAGCTGACGGAACCAAAGAGCATGTGGAGAAGGGCCCACACCAAAGAGAATGTGGAGAAGGGCTCACACCCTTTCCAGGGTCCACACGTTGGCCCCTTAACCTCTGTCTTCAACCCGTAAGACTAACAGATAGAAACTGGTATTGTTATTATTATTATTATTATTTATTTTTGAGACGGATCTGGCTCTGTCCCCCAGGTTGGAGTGCAGTGGTGCCATCTCAGCTCACTGCAACCTCCGCCTTCCGAGTTCAAGCGATTCTCCCGCCTTAGCCTCTCGAGTAGCTGGGACTACAGGCACGCGCCGCCACCACGCCCAGCTACTTTTTTTATTTTCAGTAGAGACGGGGTTTCACCATGTTGGCCGGGCTGGTCTCAAACTCTTGACCTCATGATCCACCCGCCTCTGCCTCCCAAAGTGCTGGGATTACAGGCGTGACCCACCGTGACCAGCCAGAAACTGTTATCTTTGCACAAAAGAGACACTTGGACCTTCAGGGGTTCCCAGCAGCCCCTTAAGAACCAACACAGGCAAGTAGGGGCAGTGGTTTCTGTTGTGAACCTCTCCCCACATTCCCGCTCCTTGGTTATTTCTTCTGATGAGGATGGATTCCATAGCTTAGACCATTAGACCAGTAGCTCCCTCACTGAATTGATCTATTACTGTGTTTTAACTGGTAGATTGCCAGCAAACTGAAACATTGATGGCTTTTTGAAAAATTTATATGCTATATTTCAAAATAAACCTGTTTATAGGAATTCCTATTTGAGAGTGAGTATCGTTTAACCAATTGGAAATTCTATTTTAAAATCATGGCCTATTAAAAATAGAACCTCCAATTTCTGATCCATAATGCTTATATTTAAAAATACGTCAGGTGTGTTTCATAGGGAACTGGTTTTGCTGGAAAAGAAAGGGACAGGAGATGCTTTTGTAATATTGTTTCCGAGCTCAAGGAAACCAAAGCACTGTTTTATAGGCTGAGGCATGCATGACTGGTGAATGTTAAGTGGAAATGAACAATGTGTGAGATTAACTTGTGGCTATCCATGGCTGTAAAAATGCATTAGTGGTGTTGTCAGTGGTTAGTAGGCCTTTGCAACTCAGTTATTGCTGCTGAGTATGTGTGTTCTTCCACCTTTGAGTCAATCAAGTCATGCTGTAATAAAAATTCTGAACTTTGCTTCAGGACAGCTCAGAGGGAAAACACGAGTCAAGTAAGATGCACTATTTAGTGGTCCTCACTAACAGCAGTTTAAAAACAGCTCACTCAAGCACTAGCAGACTAGTAGCAAAATTGCTATCCAGGGTGAATTGTGTTTTGAGTGGTTCCTGTAGAACTGTACTGTCCAATATGGTAGCCACTAGCCACAAATGAGTATTGACCACTTGCAATGTGGCTAAACCAAATTGAGATGCGCTATAAATGTAAAATACACACAGACTTTTGAAGACATAGTACAGAAACAAAAGAAAAATGTAAAATAGCTCATTAATAATTTTCATATTGATTACATGTTCAAATGACAATGTTTTCAATAGATTGGGTTAAATAAAACATATTAAAATTTATTTTGCCCATTACTTTTTTAATGTGGCTACTAGAAAATCTTAAATTATGTATATGACTCTCATTATATTTCTATTGGATGTGCTGCTCTAGAATAAGAAAGAATGTCCACATAGCTTTTGTTTGTTTTTTGTAGAGATGGGGTCTTGCTATGTTGCCCAGGCTGGTCTCAAACTCCTGTGCTCAAGCAATCATCCAGCCTTGGCCTTCCAAAGCACTGGAGTTAGAAGCTTGAGCCTCTGAATTCAGCCTGTCCTAATGGTTTAAAGGCAACTTGTCAGGATCTAATAAGGAAATTTGACTGGTAATACAATGTTTTGACCATCTTGCAAGCTGCTGGCTGCAACCGGGCACTCTGCAGGCAAACTGCATGGGCTGAGAATGGGTGAGCTGATTACTAAATCTTAAGTGTCCTCATTTGTAAAGTGAAGGGAGTAATGATGGACCACTCACTGCTCAAGAATTAAATGGGATAATGTATGTAAAGCAGCTCCTTGTGAGGCCTGATAGAAGATGTACTGGTGACTTCTATTACCATACTTGTCTTGGTCAGCTCAGGCTGCTATAACAAAATACCACAGACTGGGTGGCTTAAACAGCAGACATGTATTTCCTCACAGCTCTGGAGGTTGGGAAGTCTGAGATCAGGGTACCAGCACGATTGGGTTCGGTGGAGGGAGGGAGGGAGAGAGAGAGAAAGAGAGAGAGAGAGATCAATCTGGTCTTTTCTTATAAGAGCATTAATCCCATCATGAGGACCCCAGCCTCACAACCTCATCTTAATCTAATCACCTCCCACATATCCTACTCATAGCAGCACATAGAGGATTAGGGCTTCAATGTGAATTTTGGAGGGATACAAACATTCAGGCCATAACAACAGCTTAAAAAGTCCAATCGCACCAGGCGTGGTAGCTCACACCTGTAATCTCAACACTTTATGAGGCCGAGGTGGGCAGATCACTTGAGGTCAGAAGTTCGAGACCAGCGTGGACAACATGATGAAACCCCATCTTTACAAAAAATACAAAAAGTACCTGGGCATGGTGGCACGTGCCAGTAATCCCAACTTCTCAGGAGGCTGAGGCAGGAGAATCACTTGAACCCAGGAGGTGGAGGTTGCAGTGAGTGGAGATCATGCCACTGCACTCCAGCCTGGGTGACAGAGTGAGACTCTGTCTAAAAAATAAAAATAAAAAGTTCTATCTGAGATACTGGATCCTCCAACTCTGAGTGCAGACCTTGAACCAGCGGCAGTGGCAACACTGGGAGCTTATGGGAAACCAAGAATCTCAGGCTTCTTCCGAGACCTGCTGAGGCAGAATCTGTAGTTAACCAGACTCACAGGGGCTCAGGTACGCATTCACTTTCTGCAGTGCTGCCTAGGGAATTTAAAGGTGAGTAAAACACAGCCTCGCTGGCAAGGTGTTCACAATCCACTGGTGCGTTTGTGTGGGAATGAGAGTGAATCTAGAGAGATGAAGACAATTATCTGGTGGGCTGTTAGGAGGCTCAATAAAAAACACCCCTGCTCTCCGGTGATCCACAATCAACAGTGAGATGACAAAGGAGTCAAGCAGATGGAGATAAAAATACCAGCTTGGTCACTGATAGAACTTTTGGAGAGCATGGCTTAGGTATGTGGCTTCCTGCTACTGAGCTCCAGAAATAGGGAGACTCACTCACCAATACCCAAGCAGTGTCTCCCCAAAAGAATAAGGAGAGGGAAAGAGCATGCCCAGGGTACTTGTTTTCTTATTGCTGTAAAACGAGCAAATTGCCAAGCTTAGCACCTTAAACAAATTTAGCCCACAGTTCTGCAGGTCGGAAATCTGGTGGTGCTGTACTAGATTCTCTGCTCACAGCTTCATAAGGCCAAAAATCCAGGGGTTGGATAACCTGAGCCCTTACTTGAAGGCTTTAGGGAGAAATTCACCTCCAAGCTCATGCAGGTAGTTGGCAGAATGCAATTCCATGGGGCTGTAGCATAGTGGCCCTCGTTTCCTTGCTGGCTGTCAATCAGGGGTCACCCTCGGCATCTAGAGACTGCTCTCTAGTTCTTGCAAGTGCCTGCTCTGTCTTCTAGCTACAATGCTGACTTCACTTCTGCCCCAGCCTGAGAAAACACTGTGTTTGTAATGGTCTCCTGTGATTAGATTAGGGCTACCAGGAAAATCTCTCTGTTGCATGAGTCAAAGCCAACTGATTAGTAACCTTAATTACATATGCAAAAAAAAATCTCTTTTTTTCCATGTAACATAACCAGAGCATGACAACTCATCATATTCCCAGCCCCAGGGATTAGGGTGGAAAGTTTGAGGGGTTCATTTTATGCTTCTGCCTTCTACAACCAGTTTCTGCTTCCAACGCTACTAACTAGGTAATTCAATCTTTTATGGTGGAGGAGGAATGAGGGTGTAAAAAGAGGTCAAGAGTTTTACACTAAGGAATGTTGTTCCACATGGAAACCTGAAGCCAGGGAAGGGGTGGTTCCACCACTTCCTCTCACCCGCCCCACCACCCAATATATTTAAATAGCTATAACCCAAAATATATTATAATTCAAGTCACATAGGAGATGTGGAAATGATGATAAAGCATGTGATTGGTCTTTAAGAGGCAATTTCACCTGAGGCAGAAGGATCTGCCCCCCTCCAAGATGAGGACAGGAAGGGTAGCTCTTAATCCTGCAGAACTGTGCTAAAGACCTTGCATTGAATTCCAGATGCCCAGGAGAACACAGCAGAACTATGGTGCAGGAGACTAATCTGGAAGTACTGTATACAATTAGCAGGAACCCCCTTTTTCAGAGATCTTTGTAAGAAATCTTCAGAGAGGTAATGAGAACTTGAACCAGAATGATGTCAATAGGAATTGAAAGGTGGGGGCCGAATTGTTATCAACCAAAGAAATCAAAAAGAGATCTTGGCAACAGACTGGATGAGGGCAAAGATCAATCCATGGATCCAAGTCTGGAAACTGGGAGAATGATGGTGCAGTGGGGAAAACAAGAGGAAGACCTGGGTTGAAGTGGAAACTGATGAATTTTATTTTCAGTAAAATACACATGGCAAACACTAATTTTCTCAGGTTGCTTCCATCTTACACACATGCACACATATATATACACAAACACCTCTCAACACTGGTCTTTCTCTCCTCCTGCTACCTCACCAGTTTCCCTCCCTCCTCCAACAAATTTCATTCTCTCCTTCCCTACATCCCATTCGCTTTCTACTCTCTGCTCCATTTCTGCTGCTGCCACTCAACTGAAGCTCCTTTGGCAAAGGTTACATGGCACTCTCTGTAGACAAATCCAGTGGAATATTTTCATATTTTCAGTCCTTGTTTTCATGGCCCCTTTGTGGCCTTTGGGCCATGGTTTTCCTCCAAAGCTGGCATTTTCCTTTATTCTTTTCTTTTCTTTTTATGAGACAGAGTCTCATCCTGTCTCCTAGGCTGGAGTGCAATGGCACAATCTTGGCTCACTGCAACCTCCGCCTCCTGGGTTCTAGTGATTCTCCTGCCTCAGCCTCCTGAATAGCTGGGATTACAGGTGCCCACCACCATGTCTGGCTAATTTTTGTATTTTTAGTAGAGACAGGGTTTTACCATGTTGGTCAGGCTGGTCTCGAACTCCTGACCTTAGGTGATCCACCTGCCTTGGCCTCCCAAAGTGCTGGGATTACAGGCGTTAGCCACCATGCCCGGCTGCATTTTCCTTTACTCTTATTACTTATTCTCTCCTCTTTCTTTTCCTAGCTCCATCTCCTTGGTTGCTCCCTCTTCTGCTCACCCTGGAATGTTGATAATCCCAGAACCTGAGAATGGTCTCTTCTCACTGGAAACAGTCTCTGAAACTAGCATAGAGTTTGATTGTACCCTAGATACAATCTGAAACTACAATAGATATTCTAAGGATGTTCAGCTCATTATTTCTACATGAAACCTCTCCCCAGAATTCCTGTTTTCCCCACCAGCACCTCCTATTCTGTTCTGGGCATCCAAAGCTCAGAGAGACATCACGATGTCTCTCTGTAAACCCGCTGTTTCTGGTCTTCTCTACTACTATTAAAGGACAGATGCTGGGGAGACTCCTCCCCCTCCCTCACCTCAATCCCCTCTTCCATCTCCATTGCTTAATCCAGATCCTCATGACCCCTTGTCTGACAACTGCTATAGCTCCCCACTCCTCATCTCTACTCCCTCCAACTCACCGAGCTGTTGTTGACAGACTTATTTTTCTAATATATATATTAATTTTGTTATTTCCCTGTTTGGCTTTGACAGATCAATTTTCCCGCATGTTGAAGTTCACATTTCCTCAGGTTGCTTGTGCTTCCAATGACCTATCTACGTCTATGTATTTTTGAACTGCTGCACTCCCTCCCCCACTCCCCAACCTGGTCTCAAACCTATGCCCCAACTGTACTGGAACTGACACACTGATGTGTTTCATAAACTCACGCCCTTATTCATGATGCTTATTCAGCCCAGAGCACCATTTCCCCACCCCACCGTCACCTCCCTAAACCCCTCCTCTAGCTCTTTGAACCACCTAAAAATCTACCCAACCTCCAAAAGTCAAGTCAAAAATCACCTCTGCTAGGAAGGAAGTCTTTCCTGAGCCCACCAGGGGCTGTTGGCCCCTCTTCCTCTTATATTCCCTCCCACCAGTTCCTGGGACCCTGGACATGTGTCCACCAACAGCCATGACACTTCTTTACTCTCATCTGTTTGGTGTTTGTCATCAGTGAGCCTAGCACCTTGCCTGGGACAGAGGAAGCATTCAAGGAATGCTGAAGGCAGGTGAATCAAATACCTTGTATCTAGGAAAGTCCTAAAGATGCCCTTTTAAACTAGTGGAGGTGGGAAAAGACTAAAACGCCATTTTATATTATTATCAATATAAAAGCTTCTCAGCCAAATGGACCTTGGCTTTCTCCTCAAACTCTGTGGATGACAGAAATGACATTAAAATCTGACTCCTAATGATATGAGGTTTGCATGGTGAAGAATTTCCAAGATATTTTCTGATCTAGACCCTGAGACGGGGGGGATAAAAGTGAAAGATGAGATCAGAGTTAATTTTTTAGAACTCTACCAAGGATAGCCACAAAAATAATCATGATCCAAAAGGAACATAGCTTACCATGCATGTGGACCTATATGTAGATATGAATATGTGTGTGTGTGTGTGTGTGTGTGTGTGTGTGTGTGTGTGTGTGTGTGTTTCTATGTAGGTCAAGAGTGATGTGAATTTGGGCAAGTTACCTGAACTCTCCAAGGGTGAGGTTCCTTATCTGTAAAATGGGGGTAGCAATGATGTTCTTGTGAGGATTAAATCAGGCAAAGTATATAAAAGCACTTCACCCATTGCCTGGCATATAATTACATTCAATGGGGGATGTAGGGAAGAGAGAGACAGAGAGAGAGCATGCAAGCTAGCACACTGGAGGATGGGCTACCAGATTCATTGTTCACTGTCTTAAACACACGCAACCTCCCCTCTCTTGCAGTTTGGGTTCTGGCATCTTTAACAGTTTCATGGGCAAATCACTTCAAACCTCCACAGGTGCTACTTCACCTGGGCAGCAGTTGCTCACCCCCTACCCCTTCCCCCTCCCCAATTTAACCACACTTGCTGTGTTCTCAAGGCTGCTGATACACAACAAACTAAGAAAGTTTTTAATAGTTACCAATCACAGTTTTCAAAATCCACTCATTTTTGCCCTTGTTTTTGGGTTTAAAAAATCCTGGCATTTTCCTCAGAATTGCTGAACTATTAGGTGTGTAGATGAACTTGTGTTTTCTTGCTCTCCTACTCCAATTTCTTAGACTCAGACATGGAAAAGCTTCTCTGGGTCTCAAGACATAATTTCCAGGGTGCGTGGTTCCGCTGGGTGTGCTGTCTGGTCAGTCTTACCGTTGTGGATTCCACACCCCCACCCCACTGCCCCAACACCTATTAAAGCTGAGCTGACGTAACTTCAGGATACATTTATTATTTCTTACCTTATCATTCACAATTAGTGCAAATGATTAGTTCTCTGCCTTGCTCTTTAAAAAGAAAAGTCTTCATGGAGTCATTTTATCTACTTGTGAACCACAATCTCGTTTTTTTTTGGATGCTCCTTTGAGACTATACATATTTAATTCCTTTAATATTTCATCATAGAGCAGTCCTTCAGAACCTCTTATTTTAGTTGTTCCTTTTACTTTGGCAAAAATATAAGACTAAAGAAGCTGCAAATCTTGTTTTCCTGCCTATTTAAACAGCATCTAGAAATCTGAAGTAATTGTCTCCTCTTATTTTAAAGGTTTTTTTTTAAAAAAAAAAAAACAGCATACTAAATATTGTGGCATGGAGTTGAAAGCTTTAGGTCTGCAGCATTTGAAATGCTCAAATCCTGTCTTTAAAGAACAGTATTTCCTCTTTGTGACTCAGTGCTGTTATCAATATACAAGGCTGATAGAGTAATTTCAAATTCACAACATTATATGTAGATATTCAAAGGAAAGAAAAAGAGCTTCATGTGACTTTGCTTAATGGGTTTACCTATAGTTGTAAATGTATACAGTAAGTGATCCATATTTGGGAATTATCATGTAACAATTATTTCTAATAATAATTGATATAATCTATTAGAACTTGTGAGAGGTTTCGATGTAAATAATTTACCTGCCTAGCAGAGAGAAGGGAAGGAGAGTAAGCAGGGGAAAATGTTTCTAAAATGTCCTATCATTGGAAGTAAATGATCATAAATGTTTTTGCGTTAAGTTAGGGTTTGGTTTTAATTTTCCCTTGAATTCTAATGTTCCTACACCTTCCAAATATATTTTAAATCTTCATTAAATAAATCACATTTTAATCACACACGGAGCTTAAAAGAGGTGATTCTATGACAGATATTCAGTATTAGCTAGTGAAGGAGAACATTGGTTGAAGGTACCTAAAACCACGTGCATAAGGAACAGTTTATTTCTTATTTGGTGATTTACTATTTCAAGTCATTTTTGTGTCAAAGCTATAAAAATCTCCAGTGCTAAAAAGTGTAAGAAGAAATGAGCTAGCAAAAAAAAAAAAGTCGGGGGAAAGTTAATTTTTAAACTTGCATTACTTTTATTTTCCTACTTTCTGTTATTTCAGAATGCATACTTGGAATGAATCCTTCTAGAGACGTCCACGGTATGTTAAATTCCAAGTTATATTTTTAAATAAAGTACACACCTTCATAGATGTGTATATGATTTTATATCTATGTATCTCTATGTATAACTTGTGATATAATTTAACCAAATAATTAAGGCTGTTTCTGCTGATTCCAATATACTTAAAAGCAGTTCTCCATATTGTAAATGTTATACCATATAAAATATTTCAATGAAAGCTTAAATGATACCCTCAGTTCTACAGCGTTTACCATAGGTGCATTCTGATGCTATTAAATGCCTCTATACAACTCTCTAAAAACAAAACAGAGCTTGGCTTCCCTCACAGCCCAGCTTATTACCTGTGTTATAGCAGTGGTAATGCAAGATTTTTATGAGAGTAAAATGTTTACTAAGCATTCCTAAATTTTAAAAAGATTAATTTTAAAATGTCCTCAGCTTGCTACTTGTGAGGTACACAATGGGTTTATGAAGTGAAAGTGAAATCATCACACATTAACCATAGCATCCCACAGAAACATTCAGATGGAGGAAGGATGTAATGGAAGAACTAAGGGCTCTCCTCCCCCCTCTCATAGTAATTAGATTTGAAAAGTGAAGTAATCTCAAAGCCACTTCAGAAGAAAAAAATGTTTAATTAAATTCCAATGTTCAAAACTGGATAGTGTGTATGGCAGGTGATTTGTACATACATGTTACTCTTCATCAAAATTGTTTTCCATCCCTGTGACATCAATACAAACTGCAGCTATTTGGTTCCAAACCATAGCAAGATACATTCTATTTTTTAAAATGTAAATGGTCATTTAAAATAGAAATAATTCTTTTAGACGTACTGCATTTTTACAAATGTGATTTTGGAAATATATTGCTCGCAAAGGGTAATTTTAAGAGAATTGTTGAGATTCTAATCCCATCTTTATGCATATTTTGGGGAGGCTTTTGAAAGAGCAAAAAGGTAAAAGATTTAGTTATCTTCTGAGACCACCTATAGTTCTTTACCTAAAGTTGTAGAAGAAAAACGTCAATGCACTGTTACTGTTTTCCAATGAAATTATTTTTCTTCCAACTAACCAAGCAGTACTTTTTAAATCCACTGCAGAAATGTACATTTCATTCCTGTTGTGAGCCGTTTTCAATTCTCCTCCCTCCCTCTCCCCGCAACAAAATTTGGAAAAATCTGTCACGTAGCATCCGCCCAACGTATCGCTTCGTTGTATTTTTTTTTTTTTTAATTTTGCATTATGACAAAAGTAAATTCTAGCATTACTCCAGGGAAACACTGGGAATGAACCTGGTAATGTTTCCTTTCCTTTCTCCCTTAGGCAAAGGAAGGGGAATTCTGTATTGTCGCTAAAATGAGCGCTCTTGGTGGAAAGGAATTCCTCACTTCGTACACGCTGTGGCTGTCCTTGAAAGTGCAGGCTCCGTAAAATGCCCGGCCGACTAAGGGGTTCCCTTTCCCCGGAGCCCCTGCCTCTTTCCATTCATTTTAGATCCTCAGTAAGGAAGGGCAGAGGTTGGTCTGTTTCTTCTTTTCAAGAGGGCACCGCGCTGCGCAGTTAACAGCCTGCGCCGCTCCGGGGAAACCCAAATGTCCCGCGATCCCATCGAGTCAAGGAGCAAAAGCTGTGATTGCTATCAGCTTTTTGTCGGGCTTCAAACTCGGGGTTTATCGGTTGAAACTCCTAGCTGAGCAGCTCCCACGACGCTGCCTCTGACGGCTAAACTCGGTGCATGCAAGGCTGGGACCAACTTTCCTTACTCGATAAAGGAACTTGACTCCCTCCTGGGAGACCGCAGCCCGAGTCCGACTCGCAGCCCCCGTCGCGGGGTTTAGGGTTTTAGGCAAGCGGCCCGAGACCCAGAGGAGCCTCCCTGGACCTTTCCGAGGGGCAAATCACCCGAGTCTGCTATTTCCCCTGGAGTCAAAAGCCTACTTTTGGAGCCGCCACACCCTCGTGCTCCCTCCCGCATCTCGGGGGTTCCGGGGGATGCACGTGGGGGTGGCCCCAGGAGCCCTGGGTGGGATCTCGGGGAAATGCATTGGAGACCAGGCGAAAAGGTTTCCCTTGCCCAGAACTTGCCTCTAGAGCGGGCCGCGTCCGAACCCGCAGGCAAAGGCGCTGCGGCCCCTGCGGGCGGGCGGGCGCGCGCGATGCACTCTTCTCAGGGACAGAGTTAGAAAGTGGACGTTTGGGCGGGGGGAGGGGGGGATTTACAACTGGAATTAGGCTTAAAAAAATCATTTTAAAAGAAAAATGTAGTAAGTTTTCTTTCCGAGACCCCAGGTCCATTAAAACAAAACTGAACTCGGGTGCTGGCAGTGCCCAGGGGGAGCGGAGGCGGAGAGGGTTGAGGCCGCGGGCCGCCCGCCTTAGCCCCCCGGAAGCCCGGGCTCCTGAAGCACAGATAGCCAAGAGCGGCCCGAGTCAAGCCCCAGGAACAGGGGCTTCGGGAAGAGACCCCGACCGGGCCGCACAGCGGGGAGGCCTGGTCCGAGAGTCCCCACCTGGCCGGCTGCGACTCTATATTGGAACCTCGGAAACGCGCCTTGGCCGTTCCAGCTCAAGTGGGCTCTGGGGCGGCTTCCTGTCTTTTATCCTCGAACGCTAGTTCTTCCCGGGCGACCCGAAGGCCACGAGGCGGGCCGCACAGCCCCGCGCCGTCGGGGGCGTTCCGGGAGCTCCGGGGACTGCGCGCGGCGTCCAGGGAGGGCGGCTGCTGCCCCCTGGCGTCCGCCAGAGCCCGCGGCGCGTCCCGACAGCTCCGCGCAGTCCGGGCCCGCCCGGGAAAGGCCTCCACGCCAGTCAACCCCGGCCCCCTCCTGCGTCCGGGCCCGCGGCAACGCCCGGGGACAGTCCCTGCGCGGCAGCGGCCACAGCACCCTAGCCCTGGGGGAGGGAGGAGCGGGCGTCAGGGGCCCCGTGAGGTCGGCGAGGGACCCCCGCGCCGGGGAGCTTAATTGAGGGGCTCCGCGGGGACCACAAAGCAGCCCGCGGTGGAACGGGGCCGGGATCCGGGGACTGGGTTGCAGCCCCGGGGTGGATGAGAGGCCCCGGGAGGTGCAGGGCCCGGCAGGGAGGGCGTGGAGGGACTCATGGTGACGGGAGCAGCCTCCGCTGGGAGGGAGCCCCGCCGGGCGGGGTCGGAGTTGGCAGCGCACGCCGGACCGGGGGCGGGGCCCTCCGAGCTCCGCGAAAATGCCCGCAGCACCGCGGGGACCGGCGCAGGGGGAAGCGGCCGCCCGCACGCGAAGCCGGGGTGGGTTCCGCACCTGGGGCCGCTCGAGCGCACGGGGGCGGGGAGAGGAGCGGGGGCCGCTTCCGGGGAGCCGGAGGGGAGACGCGGGGCCCGGGCAGGCTGTCCGGCTGCTGCGGGTGCCGGCGCTACAAGGCCCGGGAGCAAGCCGCGTGGCTGCTTTCAACTTTCCTTCCAGCCGCGCGTTCTTGGGGTCTTTCCTGACTAGGAAACTCTTCGCTGGCCGCTGACGCACGCAGCAAGTGAGACGCGCGGAGGGATCGAGCCGCGGCCCGGGCGCAGCGGTAAAAAACACCCATTACAGAAACCGACCCAAGGGAAGACGCTGAGAGCAAACGGCACGCGCGGACGCCGTCCGGCCTCATGCAAGGAATCAGCGCCGCTTCGCCGCAGCTGCCAGCCGGACGGTGCAGGAGCGCGGAGTGGCTCCCCCGGGCCCCGCGGCCAAATCGCACCCCCGCCCTGGAAGCGGAGGCCTGGCCCTGGGCGGCCGCGCAGGATCTGGGGCCGTCCGCGGGCTGCAGCCCGGTTCGGGAGCCTCGTGGCGGCCACTGCGCCTGCCTGCAGCGGCTCGCGGGGCCGGGCCTCTCCGGGTGCGGCGCGCCGGCCGGGTCCTCCTCGGGCCGGCGGGGCCTGCTTTCTTTTTCCAGGTCTCCGGACCGTGGCCACTCGCGGAGCCGCACAAGCCTGCGTGTGGCTGCGGAAAGGGGTCCGCACGCGGGCGGGGCCCCGGGCCAGCATGCAGGCTTGGATGCGGGGCGCGGGGGTGGCCTCCGACTCCCCGCCCGGGCTGCGTACAGTAGCGCGCGGCGCGGCGGCGGGGGCGCGCGGGCCAATTCCAGGAGCCGGCGGCGGCGAGCCGCGCCCTGGCTGATACCGGAAAGGCCTGTGATTGGCCGCCGGCCGCCCCTATGCAAACGAGCTGAGGGAATGGAATTCCTCCGGCCGGGCTTACAGTAAAAGCACGTTCATTTCCAGGCACTCTCATTCATAGAGCCAGCGGGCGCGGGCGGGACGGGCGCCCCGCGGCCGGACCCAGCCAGGGCACCACGCTGCCCGGCCCTGCGCCGCCAGGCACTTCTTTCCGGGGCTCCTAGGGACGCCAGAAGGAAGTCAACCTCTGCTGCTTCTCCTTGGCCTGCGTTGGACCTTCCTTTTTTTGTTGTTTTTTTTTGTTTTTCCCCTTTCTTCCTTTTGAATTAACTGGCTTCTTGGCTGGATGTTTTCAACTTCTTTCCTGGCTGCGAACTTTTCCCCAATTGTTTTCCTTTTACAACAGGGGGAGAAAGTGCTCTGTGGTCCGAGGCGAGCCGTGAAGTTGCGTGTGCGTGGCAGTGTGCGTGGCAGGATGTGCGTGCGTGTGTAACCCGAGCCGCCCGATCTGTTTCGATCTGCGCCGCGGAGCCCTCCCTCAAGGCCCGCTCCACCTGCTGCGGTTACGCGGCGCTCGTGGGTGTTCGTGCCTCGGAGCAGCTAACCGGCGGGTGCTGGGCGACGGTGGAGGAGTATCGTCTCGCTGCTGCCCGAGTCAGGGCTGAGTCACCCAGCTGATGTAGACAGTGGCTGCCTTCCGAAGAGTGCGTGTTTGCATGTGTGTGACTCTGCGGCTGCTCAACTCCCAACAAACCAGAGGACCAGCCACAAACTTAACCAACATCCCCAAACCCGAGTTCACAGATGTGGGAGAGCTGTAGAACCCTGAGTGTCATCGACTGGGCCTTCTTATGATTGTTGTTTTAAGATTAGCTGAAGATCTCTGAAACGCTGAATTTTCTGCACTGAGCGTTTTGACAGAATTCATTGAGAGAACAGAGAACATGACAAGTACTTCTAGCTCAGCACTGCTCCAACTACTGAAGCTGATTTTCAAGGCTACTTAAAAAAATCTGCAGCGTACATTAATGGATTTCTGTTGTGTTTAAATTCTCCACAGATTGTATTGTAAATATTTTATGAAGTAGAGCATATGTATATATTTATATATACGTGCACATACATTAGTAGCACTACCTTTGGAAGTCTCAGCTCTTGCTTTTCGGGACTGAAGCCAGTTTTGCATGATAAAAGTGGCCTTGTTACGGGAGATAATTGTGTTCTGTTGGGACTTTAGACAAAACTCACCTGCAAAAAACTGACAGGCATTAACTACTGGAACTTCCAAATAATGTGTTTGCTGATCGTTTTACTCTTCGCATAAATATTTTAGGAAGTGTATGAGAATTTTGCCTTCAGGAACTTTTCTAACAGCCAAAGACAGAACTTAACCTCTGCAAGCAAGATTCGTGGAAGATAGTCTCCACTTTTTAATGCACTAAGCAATCGGTTGCTAGGAGCCCATCCTGGGTCAGAGGCCGATCCGCAGAACCAGAACGTTTTCCCCTCCTGGACTGTTAGTAACTTAGTCTCCCTCCTCCCCTAACCACCCCCGCCCCCCCCCACCCCCCGCAGTAATAAAGGCCCCTGAACGTGTATGTTGGTCTCCCGGGAGCTGCTTGCTGAAGATCCGCGCCCCTGTCGCCGTCTGGTAGGAGCTGTTTGCAGGGTCCTAACTCAATCGGCTTGTTGTGATGCGTATCCCCGTAGATGCCAGCACGAGCCGCCGCTTCACGCCGCCTTCCACCGCGCTGAGCCCAGGCAAGATGAGCGAGGCGTTGCCGCTGGGCGCCCCGGACGCCGGCGCTGCCCTGGCCGGCAAGCTGAGGAGCGGCGACCGCAGCATGGTGGAGGTGCTGGCCGACCACCCGGGCGAGCTGGTGCGCACCGACAGCCCCAACTTCCTCTGCTCCGTGCTGCCTACGCACTGGCGCTGCAACAAGACCCTGCCCATCGCTTTCAAGGTACTGGCCCGGAGAGGGTGGTGGGAGGACAGGCGGAGGCCGGCGAGGCCGGGGGAGATCCGCGAGGGCAGCGGCCAGGCGGGCGGGGCCGGATTCTGGAAAGGGGCCCCCGCAGCCCCGGGTCGGTCTTCCTAGCTTGGGATGTGGGGGATGCTGTGTTGCCGTGGCGACCCTCGGGAGGCACTCGTCTCAGCTTTCTGGGGCGGCCTCCCAGGAGGGCTGAAAACATCAGGGTGTCCCCAAAGATATCCACTGGGAGCCGGTCGGGACCTCCCTGGCAGGGGCCTTAGCTTTGATACAAAGTAGGAAAAGTTATAACCCAGCCCGGCAGAGACAGCCCGTCTGCTAACTTACTGCTGCCCCTACCGCTGGATTAACACCCAAACCATTTTGTCTTCCTCAGATGAAAGGATCAGGAAATAAAATAGTAAGACTTTTCTGCCTTCAAGTCAGTGAAAAGAAACTAACTAGGGAAACTGTCAGGGATTTTTTTTCCCCTTCTCTAACCGCCCTATAGGAATTAGCATGTCCAAAGTCCACAGCGGGCGTAGTTAAGTTTGCAAAAGTTTTCTGAAGAGTTCTCTGAGCTTTTTAGCCTGCTCCTGCCAGAAGCCGCAAGTATCGAATCCTGTTTCTTTTCCCGGAACCGTTCTGAATGCTATCATCAGCTCACCTAGATTAAGCCAGGGGTAGCGAAAGGTGACGAGGCTGTTTTCGGAGAGCCAGGGGTCCCAGCGGCCCGCTTTCCTGCTAGAGGAGGGGGCGGCGCGTAGCCGGAGACTTCAGCGCGGCGGCTCCAAAGATCTCCCTTCACTTTTCACCCCTGATCATCCCCAAAGCTTTGAGCTGCCTTTAAAAACCTTGACCTTCAACAGGGGTATGAAAACAACCCCAGGCGTTTCTAAACAATCACCCTACTACACTAGCAGCAAGCAGTAGGAATTTAATTTCTGCAGTGGAGATTCTGTTTTGTCTTTGGTGGGTTTGAAAAGATGCGACTAAGTAAAATCAGTGCGGGTCATTTCCTGTTCGTTTAAAGGGCGAATCAAGGCAGGTGGTTCCAAGTGTAAAGATAAGCTACTAAAAAAAAAGTTTAAATAATTGTCCCCTTTAAAGGGAGATTAATTTAATATAAGCTTTTTATAGTTCCAAGCCTCAGCTGGGTCTTGATCTTATTACAACGACGAATATTCACTTTTTAAAAAAGTATTGTTGCGGTTATTTTTAAGCTTTATACAGTTTCCACACTTAGATTGTGATTTCTAAAACAAAACGAAATTTGCAGTTGGCTGTGTCTATAGATTGGCCTCTTTTTCCACTCACTTTTCTAAAAGCAGTTTTTTTTGTTTGTTTTGTTTTTTAGTGGGGGTGGAAATGAGGAGAAGGAACGAAGGAACGTGGTGGCTTGCTTGACTCTTTTTTCCCTCCCTCCGTTTACTTAGATTTGGGTTTGGGAGACCATTTTACTTTTAAATCATTCTAACCCTTTGCCTAAATGGACTCAGCGATGACTCTTTAGGGCACCCGCATTGAGAGGGGACCCAACAGGGTTGGGCCATGGGGTCACTATCAGATAAAGAGCAGAGGCAAGACGGGCTGATAACCACCAAAGGCCATTAAAACCTGGCTGCCCCAATGCACTAGGGCTCTAAGAGATTTGTGGCTTCCTTTTGGGGGGGAAATCAGGGTCTCTTCTGAACTCCCTCCTCTGCCAGGGAACCCACACTCAAATATATTAAAAGACTAAATGATTAATAAATAATCTTCAGGAATTGGAGCAATTCAGAGTCTCAAGCCATTACATGAAAGTATTTATTTTCTTCTAAAAAATGAAAAATTATACATATTGCTTTTATGAGCTGTCAGAATTCTTTCTAGCAGAAACCATAATAACCATAGAGTTTCCTTTTTAAAATGACTTTTGGCAATTCACTTAAAAACAATTAATTTGTTTTATTGAGTGATAATCTATAGGCTACTAAAAATCCAAATACAGAGCTCTTGAAAAAAGTTCAAGCAGATCCCCTGAGAACATTTAGGGGAAAGGAAAGGATAGCAGAGAAATCAGACCATTTGATTATTGTCTGTCACCACCCCAATCCTCATAAAAAGAGGCTTCTTCCTGGAGGAGACCTGCTCACTGCATAACTAGAAGAGTAGACAAAATGTTCAGTGAGACAGTAAACGTGAAGGGATAAAATGTTAGGGATAAAAGCAAGCAAAACA